>NC_000010.11:124744462-125055943 GCF_000001405.40 Homo sapiens | reverse complement strand
CTGCCCACCTCGGCCTCCCAAAGTGCTGGGATTGCAGGTGTGAGCTGCCACGCCTGGCCAGTTAGCTGCTTTTAAAGTCATGCATGCAGCTAAAAAGCGTTCCAGCCTCTTGGAGCCTCCTCCTTCCCACAGTCCCACTCCTCAGAGGGACTCCCCTGCCAACAGTTGGGTATGTGTCTACCTGCCTCTTTGATTTTTTTCTTTTCATGATTTTACATGCTAGTCTGGCTTTTTGCTTCTGCAGATGTTCTGTGTCTGCTCTGGAGAGCTCTCCCTTGGAGTGTGGTTCGGGGATTGTGGGGTGTGGCTTTGTGAGACGTAGCCGTGTTTTGCATCTGGCTGGTGTGGCTCAGTCTGACTCCACAAGCCTCTGCAGTGCTGCTTCTGGGGGAGCGGGAGATGTACATCGGGGTCCTAAGGACATAGGACTAGGAGTGACCTGGCCATGTTGAGTCTCAGGTTCTCTGAAGTTTGGATTTGGTGACCTCTACAATCTCAGAAGGCTCCAGAAATGCCGTGATCCTAGGAAATCATCCAGGGCCACCCAAGCATCTGGGCACATGAGGGCATGGCACCTGCGTGGTTTTTGCAGCCTTCCCATTTCTGCCCCTTGTGTTGCAGTTGAGGCCAGCTCCTGCCTCGGCTCATGGTGTTCCCTGTCTCAGAAGCGGCTGTGTTTGTGCCCTGAACCTCTGTGCAGACTGCCTTCAATATTTACCTACATGCTCTTTTTCTCTGAGAGCTCAGACTTAATCGTAGCTGCAGTTCAAGGACCACTTTTAAGAAAAAGCAAGAAGGTCTGTTTACCCAGTGAATTACCATTCAGAGGGGGGTCTAGGAGGCTGCATTCTTAATGTGGGGCCCAGGCTCTGATAGATCTTTTTAATGTTCCCCAGATTTATGGGTGTGCGTGAGTCAGAGTGGAGACCCCAGGGTGCCTGAGTTAACTCTGTGCATGTTGAGCGTAGCCCTGGAATTTATTTTAAGCATCTGGGGTAAGTGAACATAACAGCAGACTTTCCGTTCCTTCAGCTTGTACGCATTGCTGTTGTGAGGAGAATAGCGTTTACCCCAAGAGTTTACAGAAGTGGATATATCACAGACCTCATGTCAGTCTGGGCAGCGGAGGATTTAGAGGGTTTCGCTTGTTTTTTGTTAGTGTTCTCTGTCCTGTAGGTAGTATAAACTAGACGCCATGCATTACAAATGTATTACTGTTTTTATCTTTTCTGTTGAACTGTACTGTGTCAGTGACCATAGTCAGTGTGATAGTTTGTGTAAAGGGTTGTATTAGTTATCTATTGCTGTGTGACAAATTACCTCAAAATGTAAAGGCTTAAAACAACAAAACTTTATTGTCTTGCACTGTCTATGGGACAGGAACCTGCACAGCTTAGCTTGGTGCCTCCTGCTAGGGCCCTGACAATGTTGCATTCAGGATGTCAGTGGGGTTGTGGTCTCATCTGAAGGCCCGGCTCGGGGAGGGTTCAGCTTCTCATGGACTGTTGGGACTGAGGGCCTTGGTTTCCTGTTCCGTGGGTCTCTCCTTAGGGCAGCTGGCATGGCAGCTGGCCTCTGGGAGGGAGGGAAGTTGGCAGGGAAGATGGGAGGATGCCCACACTGGTAGCCACAGTCTCTTTTAACCTAATCTCAGAAGTGACATCCCCTCACCTGTGTATACTGTTTACTGTTTGTTTAGAAGCAGAGCTTGTACAAGGACATGAATTCCAAAAGGTTGGGGGTCCCCGGGGGCCATGGGATTGATTCTTTTTCTGGCATCCACAGTGTAGATGGGATCTGCCTTATTCAGGGAGAGGGTCATGTTCAGCTTGGAAAGCTCTCAGTGGGCCTCTGGGGAGGGGCAGTGATTCAGAAAAGCCTCCATGGCCCTCAATTCATGGCCCTCTACTGTTTTGTGGGCACGCCTGTGTCACCGGTGGGTGGCTGTGCAGAGCTATCCGGCTTCGGATTCCCCAGAAGTCCTGTAGGGGCTGGAAAGGTCACTGAGATAATGTGTGTGCAACCTCAGTGAGGGTCCCTGTGTGGAATCTGATCCTCTGCCGGGTCCCTGGTTTCTTGTGGAGCTGGGCATGAAGGGCAGTCTGTGGCCAGTGCCCTGCCCTTCGGAACTATGTGGCATCTCTCCTTTTCCAAGTGAAGTTCCCATTTCCCTTCCTGTCTTCCCACTCATCAGACCCGTCTACACCTTCGGCTCTGGGCTGAGATCTCCCCTCCCATCTTCAGGAGCGTGTCTGAGATGTTCACCCCGGCATCATCTGAAGTGCTGTCTCTGAAGCCCAGAGGGTCTAACCTCAGACCTTCCAAAAACCAAAACCTATTAGCCTCACCCCTTCTCTGCCTCTCTTGAGCTGAGCCTGTTGATTTCCCAAGGGCCTTGGGAGTGGAGCAGGCTGAGCCCAGGAGCCACTCATCCCTGGGTGTCCTCCCTGGGAGAACCTCTGGGAGGGGCCTGGAGAGGACAGAGGGCCTTCCTTGCACTGCTGTGTTGGGGGATGCCAGGAGGGGCTGCAAGAATCTGGACTGCAAAAGACCTTTCACTGTGTCCTCTTGCTCTCTGTTCGGCGGGCAGTGAGGTTGCCATTCAAAAGATAGAGTGGCGGGTCATTTTCAGTGGGCTCCTCCTGCTCCCATGTCCTTTGTGTTGACAATGCACTGGATCCTTCCTGGAGGTGAGGGAGCCCCGGCCCTCCAGAGATGAACCCCCAGTCGTACTCCAGAAACCTGGGAGAATGCTGCACCTGCCCTGAGGGGCAGCCTTGGCTTCGGTGGCCCCGTGGATTCATGCTTGAATTATCCTGGAAGTTGTGTGGGGTTTTGTTTTCTTTTTTTTTCTCTCTCTTCGAATAAGCCTTTTGTACTCCTAAAGTTCTGTGTTTTGAAGAAATAAGTACACTTGGGGTCAGCGGCTGCATGCTGCGTGATGCGTATTCATAAACTTCATTCTGGGGGAAGAATTTGAGAATGGACCGGAGAGAATGCTTTGACAGTCAGAAAAGTTTTTCTCAAAATTTCCCATGAACTTGGGAAGTGTGGAGATGCACGTGGCTGTCCCAAAGCCATATGAATGGAGTTGATCCAAGCGCCCAATTCCAGCCTGAGATCCAGTGGGCGCTCCGTCTGGGCTCCCATGGGAATGTGTTGGGGCTGCCGCCAAGCAGGAACCGATGGTGCCTGTGATTGTGGACCCCAGATTCCTGCTGGAGCCCACACTATGATACACAAAGCCCGGACTGAGGCATTCAAAGGCACAATCACCATCCGTTTGCTGCTGGACCCCAAGGGCGTTCTTGATAGGTTCTTCCCTCCTCTGTGGGCCGTGTGGGGATCACCTTTCTTTGATCTCCCAACCCTGGCATGAGGCTGATGGAATCTTCTGGGTGTTGTTAACACAGACAACACAAAGGCAGGACGGTCCAAACAATGAAATCCCAGACATGGAGCACAGAAAACAGCTTAAGGGAAATAAGGTTAGAACATTCCCTCCTGGGTCTCTCCCCTGGCGAACACAGGTCTGAGCCTCTCAGGAGGCTGCTCCCTGCGTGTTGTGGGGGTCAGCTCTGGGACCTGCAGCCCCTCTGACCACTGCTGGGAAATGGCCACGGGCACACCTCAGGCCGTGCGTGTTGAGCTGTCTGGGGCGAGATTGGAGGGTGAAGGTTGCCTCTCCCCATAAAGCAGGCTTGGGTTGACTTGGAGCTTTTTAATAAAGCCAGGATTCTGCACAGATTGCTGCCCCTGCATCACAACCAGGCTTCCTGCCGGGGGGTCCTGAGCTTGCAGGTCTCAGCAGCGCAGACCCCCACCGATAGGTGCGAGCCTCCCGTCTGTTGGCATGTGTTGGCGTGCTCGGGTTGCTGAAAGAAGGTTCCACAGACAGGCCAGGACAGAGATGTGTTTTCTCAGAGTTCTAGAGGCTGGAAGTCTGAGATAAGGCATCCGCAGGGGTGCTTCCTTCCAAGGATTTGAGAGAAGCCCTGTCTCCGTAGCTTTTAGATGCCATCTTCACGTCGTCTTCCCCCTGTCTGTGTCTAAGTGTCCAACTGTCCTCCTTTTTATGAGAATATTCGTCTTGGATTAGAGTCCACTCTAATGACCTGTTTAATTTGATTGCCGCTGTAACGACCTTATCTTCAAATAAGGTTCCATTCTGAGGTCCTGGGGCTTAGAACTTTAACATAATTAGGGGGGTCCATAATTCAACCTGTAACAGTCAGTGTGTGACCTGTGGGCATTTAATTGAAAAGGTTTCTTTTTTTTTTTTTTGGTTGGTTGGTTTCTATTTTGAGACAGAGTCTCACTCTGTTGCCCAGGCTAGTGTGCAGTGGCGTGATCTCAGTTCACTGCAAGCTCTGTCCCCTGGGTTCAAGCAATTCTCCTGCCTCAGCCTCCTGAGTAGCTGGGATTACAGGTGCCCACCACCACACCTGGCTAATTTTTGTATTTTTAGTAGAGATGGGGTTTTGCCATGTTGGCCAGGCTTGTCTCAAACTCCTGACCTCAAGTGATCCACCCACCTTGGCCTCCCAAAGTGCTGGGATTACAGGCGTGAGCCACCATGCCTGGCCTGAAAAGGTATTTTAATTGCTTTGGGGACTTAATTGACATCAAGACCATAAATGTTCAGGCTTGGATGACTATGGCAGGAAGTACATGAGGAGTGGGCCTCCAGGGACCTGCCTTTCCCTAAGGGTCTCCATGTACCGTTTTCGAATGGTGTCTGGGGTGGGGACATAAACTTGGGATCCAGGTATCCTGAGTCCTCGGACCTTTTTTCCCATTTATTTGTCTGGCTTGGGCTCTAACATGCACAATATCCCCATAAAATGTCTCAGAGCAGATTTTTAAATGGCCATTACCTTGTCAAGAATTCTCCAGTGGGATTTCATGTAAAATTAGGATCCCTGATGGTAGCTCACGATGAGCTGTAATTCTCCACATAGGTGACTGTATTCATGGGCACCATCCACCCTCCTCATCCAGATGTCTCCCTCTCCAGAGGACTTTGGTGCAGGAGGCCTGTGAGGACCCCAGTTCATTATGACAAGGTTGCAGTTCTCTAGAAGATTCTCATCAGGAGCCTTGTCTACTCCTCCCCAGCAACCTCTTTCCACTAACTTATATTTTAGCTATAGCCTGGAACATTCTGAGCTATGATGAGTGTTAAAATGGGGTGGTGTACTCGTCAGAGACCTGGAGACCGGGACTGGAAGCCACTGTGAAACAGGTGAAATGATTCAAGAAGACAGCTGAACCCCAGCGACACCCCATAACAGAAACAAAAGAACTCTTGTGAGCCGCACCCCCACCCTTCCTTTTCCCGGCATTTGATAGGCAAAGATGAATTTGTGTGACACGGGAGTGTCCCACCCTCCTCCTCCCCATCAGACTCTGCGAGACGCCCGCTCTCCCTTTGGGTGCAGTCATGGATACCAAACAAAGCCTTCATCCCTCTGGGTTTCCGTTACGTAGCCGTCTTCCACGTGAAAACCGTGTTAAGCAAAATGAATAGCTGCAAGCTATTTTATTTCATGTTAAATAACTGTGGATAAGACTAAGATTTTTCTCTTTATGACTCAGGTTGAAAAGATAAGGTCTGGGAAGCGGTGTCTTTGAATCTAGAGATTTTCTGGAGTTAGGGATGTCTGATTTCTACATATCATTTCCACGACCTGTCGCAGGAGACAGGGTACCGGTGCCCCATGATGCTGCAGAGCGGCTTTTGGTGATAGAGACGCATTATGGAATGTGTATACTTGTAAGGACCCAGGCATAGAGTATCTGCCCTCATAAAGCAAACATAATCCTCCACTCCTGAGGTCTGAGTTGGCTCTCCTGGATGCCAGCCTTTGCATGATGAGTGATGCCTTAGTTGAAATGAAGGATGGGCCACCCCAGGTGCCTGGAGCACTTTTATCCCAGTGCATGCCCAAACTACTGGTGTCCTAAACAGTTGGCCCCACAGACGTGGGGTTTGGGGAGCTGAGCTGTGCACTGGGGCGGTGGCTACACTGGCCTGGTCACGTCAGGCTGGGCAGAAGAGTTGGAGCGGGGTGGCTCAAGAGTCTTGATTTGGTTTGACTCTATAACTTGGCTGGCATGGAACTTGGAAGGCTGGGTCCCCACTCCTTCAGCAGGTGGGCCCCTTTGGAGGGAGCCGTTCCTGCTTGTTTTTGAGATAATCTCTCCGGACACTTGGCAGCCCAGCCAGCGTTTGCTTTGATAGCTTATCTCTGCCCGTCCAGCTTGAACTCCCCTTTCCCACCATCTTCGACCATGCCTGCGGGTCTCCACCTCTCCCTGGCCACCATGTAGCCCTCATTCCTTGCTGAAGGTTCCACACTGAAGTGGGTTGTACAGAGGAACCTCGTCCTGGAAAGTGAAAGCAAGTCCCACTGAATGTGACTTGGAGCAAGCTTGTGAGGTATTCGTGGCATCAGAGCCATGAAGAGAAGGTGGAGAGGCGCTGCCTGGGGGAGGTGGCACCGGAGCTCAGGTGGGGGCTCCCCAGGATCCGCACGTGTGTGGGGTCTATCCAAAGGCATCCTCTGCCAAATCAGGCCAAGCATGTGCTGTATCACTCAGTGGTATCCTGCTGCTGTGACAACTGTGGCGACTTTGAAATGATGGTAAGAAAGAGTGTCCTGTGACGGTGGGGACTGAATTAGGCACATCTGTCTCCCGTAGTGGGGCATTAGTGGGCTACACCAGCCCCTCCCATTCTTCTCCAACCAGAAACTGTCAGGTACCCTGCCAGTGTGGAGAAGAGGTGGCCAGCATCTTAGAACTTGGTGAAAGGGGTGTTGTGTGTGTATGTGTGTGGTCAGGTGGACGTGTGTGTGTGTGTGTGTGTGTGTGTGTGTGTGTGTGTGTGTGTGTCTGTGGTCAGGCGGGCAAATTGAGGCCAGAGAGCACATTAATGTGCATTCTGGCCAGAATCAATTCCTGGGGAAAGTTGGAAAAATCTCCTTTCCTTTCTAAATTAGTGTCTACCAGGAAAAAAAGTTGTATATCTTAAGATCATACTTGTCTCACAGCAAACTGATCCTGGTGTTGAGTCAAATTGAGCCTGTTGATCAGGTGTGCATAGTGCTCCAGAGGCTGTCATTTGTAATGGAAAGCCTAAGGGGCATTTGCGGAGCAGCCCAGCCGGCCCCTCCCCAGCACCGTCCTCTCTGTGTGTGTTCCGTCTCTGCCAAGTTGTTTCCAATTTTCAACACTAACTGGTTGCTGTCAGCAGACGTAATGGAAAAATCATTTGTCAGGGTGGCCCCTGGCTCCCTGGGGTCGGGGACTCCACACCCTGGGCAGGGAGCCTCCCTCCTTCTTGGCCTGTACCTCCAGTCACTCCGCTGTGAAAGTGGGACCCCCAGCTAGCGTCTCGGGAGATAAACAAGTAGGCGCTGGCGCTGCATCCCCTTTCCCCTGGCATATCATGCTCCTAGAAACGAAGCATCTGCTGCTGGAACGGTGAGACCTTCTGCCTCTTTCACATCTGGAACTTTCGGGGAAATGCAGCATCTCATCCATGGGCCCAGGCCTTCCCTTCTAGGAGTAGCTGATCTTATTTTCTCCAGGTGCTTGTAGAGCTTAAGTTGGGATAGAAATGAGGATGGTGGCTCATGGCTGTCTCTGCAGCCTCTGGAAGGCCATGCAGGGTGTGCAGTGCCCTCTGCTGGCCAAAGGGCCCCATCGCTGGACACCAGGCCTCCCTTGGGCTGGGCCAGCTCCCAGGAAGGGCTGCAACAGGAAAAGGTCAGCCCACGTGGGGGTTTCCATTGGTTTTGAGAGCAAGCAGAGACTGCAGAGAGCATGTCCTTATACAAGCATTCTGGACCCTACGGTGTCAAGAGATGAGTGGGCTGGGATCTCAGAAGGCCAGTTGGGTTCCCCTAAGGACAGTAGAGGCCCCATAAAATCAGTCGAGGATTCCAGGCCTCTCTGAGGCAAAATTCAAAGGCAAACATCTTAAAAATCTAACCTGAAGATTTTTTTTACAAATTCATATCTCATCATTGCAATTTGTTTGATAAGTAGCTAATTCCTATAATTGCCTTTATTTGATATTTAAATACAAGGGCAATTCATGTGTTAAGTGTAAGCTAAATAATTAAAAGTTAGGAGGATTAAATCTTCCCCCATTTCATATATTAAGACAGCAATGTTTAACATTATCTCATTAATAATTTATTATATACTATATGATACATATAACACAGTGTTCTATAATATGGTTACAATTGACAGTTGAATACATAGTCTAATAAATTGTATTAAGTTTTGCATAGGTTTAGCATATAACCTCCAGATATTTCTCTCCAAGAAGTGTAGCTTGGTGGCTCTTGCCTTTGCAAGTCCTCAAGTTCAAAACCCTTAGTGGCCATCAGTCCCCTGTGCTTTTACACCATGCTGGACACAGCAGATGTATTGTGTGTGCCCAATTGTATTGTGTGTGCCCAGTTTCTCTGCATGACGTTCAGATATAAACATTCTGGAATCATTTCTTGCACACTGTATGTAACAAAAGATGAGTTTTCTGGTGGAACCACTTCTGTCTGCCTAAAATTTGAGATCACTAATTTTTTTTATCTGTTCAACCAGTCTTCTCGGCTACAGATCAAAATTTTCATGCCAGAGTAGGAAAGAGAAAACTAGAAAAGGAAAAATTGATCTGCATTCCTGATTCCTCAAGTCTAAACAGACAGGAATAAGAGGTGTCATTTAGTTTGTTTGCTTATTTGCTTTTATCCCTTTTTTTTTGCTTAACCTTTATTATTAAATAACACTATTAAAACTAATATACAGTTTATTTTTAAGGCATATTTGGAAGACAAGTTCTTTTAAACTGTGTGAAAATCCTAAACACAAGAATGGCTCATTTTCTTTAGCAACAAAGACCAACACTTAATTTCCATTATGACACAAATCAAACAACCAATTAGGAAAATCACAAATTCTTTCTGCTCAAGTCTTCTGTTCTTGATTATAGCTTTTAGCAAGTGAAAATATTTAGAATTTTGGAGTCTTGCATTTAACACGAGGAAATGTATTTTCGTGTGCTAACAACCCTTAACCAAAACGGGAGGATTTACTCAGCTTTGTTGGCCAAGGGAAAGCCTGGTTTTTAGATTTGCTCACCTCCTTCTGTGTGGCAGCCCAGAGCCTCATAGTGTGCCCTCTCCTAGCACTGACTCCATGTGCTCAGAGACTTGCTGTGTACATTTCTTTGATGTTTCTTACTCTGTGTAACTTACAGGGGCTTCACTTTTAATTTTTTGGTCATTTCAAAGCCCCTAAGAATGTTTTGGTGGGAGTTAGATGGACAGAACAGAATCACAGATCCACATTCCTTAGCCTCATATCCAAATTCTTTTTTTTTTTTTTTTTTGAGATAGAGTCTCACTCTGTCACTCAGGCTGGAGTGCAGTGGCGGGATCTCAGCTGACTACAACCTACACTTCCTGGGTTCAAGCGATTCTCATGCCTCAGCCTCCCCAGTAGCTGGGATTACAGGCGTGCACCACCATGCCTGGCTAATTTTTTGTATTTTTAGTAGAGATGGGGTTTCACCATGTTGGCCAGGCTGGTCTCGAACTTCTGACCTCATGTGATCCACCCTCCTTGGCCTCCCAGTGTGCTAGGATTACAGGTATGAGCCACTACGCCTGGCCCTCATATCCAAATTCTAAAATACTCTGATAGCGGCAGAATTTGACCTGCCCTAAATTGTTGAGTCTATTTTTTATATTCTTTCTTAATGCAGTTGGGTCAGTATGATTATCTGTTCTGGCACAGGCATTTAGATGATTTGGGGGGTACACCGTAATAGATTGTGGAAGCCATGTATTTTTTTTTTAAACCCAAGCACTTGTGAATTCTGTAGCATACCTAGCCTTGGGGTGTGGGAAGTGGATTGTAGCCCTGTGTTGGCTACAGCTGGGTTTCCTGCATTGCATCAGCCCTAGGGAATTAGAGGGTGGGGCCCTTGGAACTGATCGAGGGCATGTGACCAGGGTGTGACCATGTCACTCTGGGGTTGGGCTGCTGGGTGCTCCCTGGGGAAATATGAGCTCCCTAGCCTTTCTTTGATGGTGGAACCAGAGTGAAACTTCAATGTGTATATTAGAAAGGGTCACGACTGGGCTTGGTGGCTCACGCCTGTAATCCCAGCACTTTGGGAGGCCGAGGGGTCAGGACACCTGAAGTCAGGAGTTTGAGACCAGCCTGGCCAACGTGGTGAAACCCTGTGTCTACTAAAAATACAAAAATTTGCTGGGCTTGGTGGCTTGTGCCCAGCTACTTGGGAGGCTACAGCAGGAGAATCACTTGAACTCGAGAAGTGGAGGTTGCAGTCAGCTGAGATTCCCTGGGCAACAAAGTGAGAATCTGTCTCCAAAAAAGAAAGAAAGGGTCCTGCTAGTTACCTTTAGGGCATGGTATGGGGGCCCTTGGAGAGGGAGATTTTCCTGTACGCCTCTTTATTGGTAGTGTATAGGAAGTCAGACACCCTCTTAATTCCCAAAAACATAAAACTAAATTTGCAAAAATTAATAAATAATCAGGAAGCAATATTCACTTTTGGCCATTGTCTTAGTTCGGGCTGCTGTAAGAAAAATACCATCGACTGAGTGGCTTTATTTCTCACAGCTCTGGAGCCTAGGAAATGTAAAACTAATGATCTGGCAGATCCAGGATCTGGGAGGGCCTGCTTGCTGGCTGTAGACCTCCTGGCTGTATCCTCGCGTGGGGCAGCAAGATCATCTATTGGGTACTACGGACTGGGTAATAATCCTGTTCCTGAGGGCAGAGCCTCATGAATCACCTCCAGAGGCCCAGCACCCAGATACAATCACTGTGGGCATTAGGGTTTGCACATTCACGAATCCAGCATTCAGCATGGAAGAATTTTAGGGTACACAAGCATTCGGTCCATAGCTGCCGTTCTGAAAATTGGCTCCATTAAGCTCATTTCCTATCCTGATTTTCTCAAAAAGCTTCATTTCCTTCCTTTAAAGTACAGTTTTAGTAATTTTGTTATTAATTGTGGTGTTGCGGTTGCCATTTAATCAAAGGCTGGGCCAGTGCTTTTTGACCCACTGATCCCTGACTCCTTTAGGACGTTTATTTTGTTATATCTGGCTTTGCTGTTGCTTTAAGTTTGAGACAGGCTCTCACTGGGTGGCCCAGGCTGGAGTGCAGTGGCTTTATTCACAGGTGCGATCGTGGCACATCACAGCCTCAAGAGAGCTGCCCGTCTCAGCCTTCTGAGGAGGGAGACTAGAGGCACACGCCACTGTGCCCTGCTTATATCTGGTTTTTAGTAGTTTTTTCCAAGTGTAGTTTACAAAATAAAATGCTCATCACCCGTTCAGAAGATTCTACCCAGCTCTCTTCCTAAGAAAGACATCTGTTGCACAAGTTTGGCTTCTGAAGCCTATGGAATGTGCTCTTTTGAGGTGGCCTGAGCACATGTGGCTGTTAACTCCGGATGAAAAGTCAGAGTGTTTTCTGGGCAGAAGTCATTGGTGGGCTGGCGTTCTCAAGGCCCTGTTAACTGGCACCGTATCTGCAGATGTGCCGCCAGCACCACACCAGCAGGATCCTCGGCTATGTGTGCAAGAGCTGGGTGTCACCACCGCCTGGACTGTTGCTGTCTCCTCATCTTGGCACAGTGGTCGCACAGGCTCCTGGATGAGCCTGTGGGTGCACTGAGAGGCCCTGTAGGCTGCGGTGAAGGAAGCTTTCCAGGAGTGAGTCCTGTCGTTTGGGATCCCAGGCTCAGAAGGGTGGTGGACCTTGTGCATTGATGCGGCCATCTGGGTTGCAGGGAATCTTTTCTTCCTGCATTGGATCGCCTCAACCTCTCAAACAGAAAGTCTGCGCCCCACTCATGCTTAACAGTGAGATCTGAGTTCTCCGGGGACACACTCAGAGAACTTTGGCAGGACTTGCTTAACTACGATGATATTAATTTGTGAGCATATTGTGAAACTCGGTCTGCCTTTATTAACAGAATGTTTAAATAGATTTCCTTGAAAGAATTGAAAGCCATCATCATGTTTAACTGGATTTGAGAGAAATTTCATTTTGAAGAAAGGCACTGTCAAAGGCATGCACTTACTCTATAAATCCCTTCAGCTGCCTATTCTTGATGAAGGCTAGGAAGTGGAGTCAAGAAATCGAGAGGGTCGGCCGGGCACGGTTGCTTACACCTATAATCCCAGCACTTTGGGAGGCTGAGGCAGACAGATCACGAGGTCAGGAGATCGAGACCATCCTGGCTAACACGGTGAAACCCAGTCTCTACTAAAAGTACAAAAAGTAGCCGGGCGTGGTGGCGGCACTTGTAGTCCCAGCTACTCGGGAGGCTGTGAGGGAGGAGAATGGCGTGAACCTGGGAGGCGGAGCTTGCAGTGAGCCCAGATTGCGCCCCTGCACTCCAGCCTGGGCGACAGAGCAAGACTCCTTCTCAAAAAAGAAAAAGAAATAGAAAAAGAAAAGAAATCGAGAGGGTCTATAAAACTGAGTTGATCCCAGGTTTTTGTGCTGTGTAACCTTAAGGGCGCTTGGTAGAGAACCTCATGATGGTGGCGAGGAGCTGGTGATGGTCATTGAGTAAAATTAACCTGCCCAGATTTTAGACTGTGCTTGATGAGGGGAACCCTCCCCTTTCCCCTGCCCTTGATTCTGGATATGTTGGAGTTTGATAGCCAAGCAAGGGTTTGTAAAATGTGCCGTTTTTCCTTTTTGTTCTCTCACGTCTTCAAAAATGTCACATTCTCTGTGATACCTCCACGGAACAAATCTTCCATACCCGTCCCCTCTGGAAACAACCAAGTATCTACAAGTGGCTTTCTTTTCCAAGCCTTGTTCATCTTCAGAAATGAGTTGAATTTCTTGGCACCAAATATTTCAGCCCTAGATCACAGCCCTCACTTAAAGCAAATAAAATTTAAGGTCCACGTTTCTGATCTTTGGTTGGAGTTTGGCCTGTGATACCCGTAACTTTCCTTTTGGGAGGAGGTAGTGTTTCTTGTGCGGTTTGGCTTCAGGGCACTCTTCTTCCTTTTGAAAAGATACAGCTTTCCTGTTGACCTTGACCTTCACTGAGGTTTACCTCCCAGCCTCAGCCAGAAGGGAATGATTATTCGCTGCGGGGATGAGTGTGCAAGGGGGTGTCAAAGGAAAGGCAGGAGCAGCTCACAGAGACCTGCAGGCTCCCACCGAGTGTTTTTGTGCATATCCTCACTGGCTGGTCCTCACTGCCACTCTGGGACATCACAGTGACATCCCATTCTACAGACAAGGAGCCTGAGTCTCCAGAACAGCTCATCCAAGCTCATTCCACGAGTGGGGTCTAGAACTCCCTCCACCCACGATTCCGCCCCTGGCATGATTTGAGGAACAATTT
Organism: Homo sapiens; assembly: GCF_000001405.40. Taxonomy (NCBI): domain Eukaryota; kingdom Metazoa; phylum Chordata; class Mammalia; order Primates; family Hominidae; genus Homo; species Homo sapiens. Next base: position 125,042,514 of record NC_000010.11, on the reverse strand, counting down.
CAGCAGAAGTGGAATAGTGAAACACGTTCCCTCTGCTTTTGTTCCTTCCTTATTTGTGCCCGTATTGTTTGGTGTTTAGGGGGGAAAAATTGATTTATGAGTGGAGCCTGGTTTTCATAGCAGGCATCACCAAGAGAGCTGTGATGTCAGGGAGCCCAGAGCCAGCGTGGATCGGGGGTGCTGGCTTGCTCAGCATGGAGACCAGCTGGAGGCCGCTGTGTGCAGCTCAGCTCTAAGGAGGGCCTGTGGCTGTCATTGGAAGATGGTTATGTTAATTAAGTCCTCGTAAATAGCTTGCTCCTTGGGAGGGCTAAGGAGGAAAATGTCACATTTCATACATTCTTTTTGCACAAGAGATATCGGGGGAGAGGATTGAGGCTACACAAGTCAATGGTCACTGCCCAGACCAGACCCAGAGGCTGGTGGCCTTGGGAGCCAAGATGGCCAGCCCTAAACATGGGTCGGTGCCACTGGCCTGGGGTGTGCAGAAAGGAACCCACAGAAGGTCCAGAACAGAGTGACCCCCCTCCCCCACCCCCACCCCCAAAAAAGCCAGACATGGGAGTCAGCCTCTTTTTTTTTTTTTAATAGTGGAATATTGGCGTTTGTGGAAGCTGATGGCTGATCTTTCCTTTGATTGCATGATTGAGATTCTACTTATCAATTTTTCAGGAAGCCATCTAATTATACAAATTAAAATTCAAAGGAAAGCAAAAGGAATGATTACGCCTCACTCGGGGGTTGGGGGAGGAGGGTGTGAAACCCCCCTTGCCTCAGATTATAATGCTGTCATTTTTCATCTCCGAGGTCTTCACAAAAATTAACTGATTAATTCTCTTCCCCCCTTGGATGACGCAGCTGATGTGGAAATCTGTTTTTACAACAGAGTCAAGGAGGGGCCAGACTGCAGTTTGACCATCAGAGCTTGCGCCTGAGCAAATGACAATTGCTGGCCCGAGCCTCCCTGGTCAGCCTCACCTAGAGTCACTTGTGGGTGGGGGGGGGGGGGGTGGGGATGGACAAAAGCTCAGATCAATAGGTTTGGCCCCCCGCCCCCACTCCAATAACTCTTAAGTTGGCTATAGTTAGGGACTCTTTTTTTGTGTGGTTACCTTTCAGAAAGCCCAGCACTGGCTAGGCGCAGTGGCTCACACCTGTAATCCCAGCACTTTGGGAGGCTGAGGTGGGTGGATCACTTGAGTTCAGGAGTTCGAGACCAGTCTGGGCAACATGGTGTGAAACCCCATCTCTTCAAAAAATACAAAAATTAGCCAGGCATGTTGGCACATGCCTGTAGTACCACCTATTAAGGAGGTGAGGTGGGAGGATTGCTTGAGCCTGGGAGGTTGAGGCTGCAGTGAGCCATGAGCTTGCCCCTGCATTCCAGCCTGAGTGAAGAACAGACCCTGTCTCACCAAAAATAAAAAAGCCAACACTAGCAAAACCAATTTTTAAAATACGTCCACATGGATCTGCTCAAGGGTAACCCCACACATTCTATGACAACCTCCATCTCCTGACTGATCCGATATGGTCAGTCCCCGTTTTGGGGGAACTTCCCAATCGTTGAAAGGGTTTGGTATCTCAGGGATGTTACATTAATTATTTATGTGATTGGAAATTGTGCTTTTTCGTAGCTCTTTTATGGAGAATCACGTAATTATCGCCATAAATCTTTCGGATGCCTTTTCAGCTTCGTTGCTGGGAAATTAGCCGTTAACTTACAGAAACCTGGTAGACCTGCAGTCTGACCTTTTGATAAAGTAACTCTTAATGTTTTGCATAACTGATGACCGTACATCATTATCCTCATTTCTACCCCTTGGGCCTCATTTTTATCTTTATCTCTCCTCTTTCTTTCTGCTAGATCACTGAGAACCACTTTTTCTGTGTGTGTGTGTGTGTGTGTGTGTGTATGTGGTTGTGGTGGTGGTCTTAAAATAAGACTGATTTAATTGTATTCCTTGGGAAAAAAAAAATACAGAAGACAATAGAGTGGGCCTTAAATGTTGTTTCCCAGTTGAGATTCAAGCCACCTTTTTTTTTTTTTTTTTTTTTTTAAAGACAGAGTCTTGCTCTGTCACCAGGTTGGAGTGCAGTGGTACAACCTCAGCTCACTGCAACCTCCACCTCCCAGATTCACGTGATTCTTTTGCCTCAGCCTCCCAAGTAGCTGGGATTACAGGTGCCTGCCAGCATACCCGGCTAATTTTTGTATTTTTAGTAGAGACGGGATTTTACCATGTTGGCCAGGCTGGTCTCGAACTCCTGACCTCAGGTGATCTGCCCGCCTCGGCCTCCCAAACTTCTGGGCTTACAGGCATGAGCCACCGTGCCTGGCCAAGATTCATTAAGCCTCCTTTAATCAATGTAAAGAATGCAGTTCCAGAGCAGTGACTTAAAAGCTGGGATATTGGGGACAGCTGTTAATGATCTGGACCTCACCGGGCACATTGGTGACAGTCAGAGGCTTCCAAAGTGCTCAGATCCTCCTGAGAAGGAGGATGGGCAGCAGCTCCTCTTCCCCAGGCCGCAGTCAGGTCTCCCTCTAGAGAATCCCACATACCCCAAACCACATGGGAGACCTTTCTTGCCTCCTCCATCAGCCTCACCTCTACCTGAAACGTCATGGGGATGGTTACACTCTCACACTAAGAAATACTTCAGCCCATATAGCTGGAACCAAGTGTCAAGGCCAGCAGCCTGGGACCCTGCCCTTGCTGGTGCTGACTGCGGTCCCCTCCAGCTGCAAGGAAGGTTCAGGAAGGCGGCATCGGAGGAACGTTGGTTAGGAGCTGCTGGGGCTTCCCACCCGCGTTCTCACGTGGTAGAGTCAGGGTTTTGTGTTGTGCTGAGCTGTGGCTTTGACCCCTGACCCCTGCGCGGCTGTTTTGGAAAGCATTGTTGTAACTCACCTGGCAGCAGGCCTTCGCAGAGCCCCTCGAGTCGCCACGGTGTGCGTCTGCATCTCAGTGTGAGTGCGTTTGGGGCAGGTCCAACTGGCTGTCACTTGGTCTCTGCCACTGGAATATAATTTATTACACTTCAAATTGGTCAGTAAATTGGAATTTATAGCCCTAAAGTTAAAAGCAAGAGATCTGTTGGAATTTGCTGCTTCCAGAAATAACTGACGATTGTCTTGTGTGCATTCACTTGCTTTCTATTATGAGATAAGAAGCAGGAGGCGGCTGAGATGCACTTGGTGCAGCCTCCATTCCCAGTGCTTTGGGAAAAGAGCAAGTCCCATGTGTCCGCATGGCAGGTTCCCTTATAGAAAGTAGCAGTTAAGTCCCCAGTGAGCTGTTGTCCTGTGCCCAGAGGGTCTCCAGAGAGTAAGGATTCTTTTCTCCTTGTTTCAGGGTTCATAGTGGCGTCATGCACGCAGACTCCTGCAAGTTCCCCTAAGTTCTTAGAGGACTGCTTTGCCTTTTGATCTGAGAGTTGCAAAGTTCCATAAAGAATGGCCCTTGTGGATAAGCACAAAGTCAAGAGACAGCGATTGGACAGAATTTGTGAAGGTAAGAGCGTGTTTGGCGGTTTTTACCAAACATACGTAGTCCCTCACTCAAATCTTCGCTGGCTGCTCCCTTGAGTTGGCTGTGCCACTCCCCAAGCCAGAGTCCCTCCTCCGATTCCAACACTGCATACCATTGGCACCCTCTGCTGGGTGTCCTTGGCCGTGGGCCTGGCCTTGGCTTAGGACAAGGCCTGGCTTCTGGGGCGGGGTTGGGGACTAGGAGGACAGTTTCAGGGCTGGTGGGCCCTGAGGTCTATGTCTTCCATGTACCTAAGGTTATTTTGCATATAAAAGATGGTGTTGATTAGGACCATCTTTTTTCACTTCCTGAAATCTCAGGACTTTACCTGTTTTGGATTAAGATATTTACAATGCTGAATTCCCTGATACTATGAGATTCCTGAAGAGCCCAGCATTGCCCCTCGTGGTGTGTTCATGTCCCTGGTATCTTTGGAAATGTCTGGAAGTGTTCTGTTCATGAAAGGAAAAATAAACATAATTAAAATCTAATGGAAACCTGGGGACAAAACTCTGAAGTGTTGATTAAGCACTGCGCTCTTCCAGCTAGCGGGTGGTAAGAAACCAGCGTGTGGGTTCGGGTTTAGGGGTGAGTGCACCTGCCAGATGGGGTCAGTGCTACAGGGCTGCTCTTTGCTCAGGGTGATTGCTGGTACTGCCCTACAGGGTGGCTCTCGGAGGGAAGCGAAGATGGCTCCGCAGCCCCCTCTGCACCCTTCACGCACACGCTGAAGTTTAGTAGCTGACCCACCAGTTTGTGGACAGGAATATGCAACCCACAGGGCTTCCCCTGCAGCTGCCCATATGGAATTGTCTGTCCTATAAGTAGATGTGGCTCATGCCACACGGGGTGGGGACATCATAGACATTCTGCTGAGTGACTCCATGGCCTCACAGAACTCTGCGCTGCAAGAACACAAAAGCACTGACATTCCTGGGGTTCAGTATAAGGAGTTTGGCGTTAAAGGGTTTTTTTAAAGTAAACATTCACAAATTATAAAAACCTACAGAGAGGTTGGTAGGATGGTACAGTGAACACCAATATTCCATTCAGTTTTCCAGATTCTTTTGAGGGGAGATAAAGATAGAGATATACATATAAATAGACACTGTGTGAGTAGATGATGGATTTTCTTCCAGAACCATCTGAAAAAATTCAGGGGCAGCACTTTACTCTGGACTACCTATGGCATGGCACCTTTTATCCAATTTCGTACTGCTCCCAGTACCGGAATGAACCCCAGGAATCTAACCTCAGGGACAGTATTGTCTAGTATAGGCTGCATATTCGCATTTCCTCCACGTCTCTTTGCCTGTGCAATAGATAAGGGTCACGCATTGTGTTTAGTTGTTACATCTCTCTAGTCTCCTTAGTCTAAAATTATCCCCTGGGCTTTTTTGACTTTCAGAGACATTGGACTTACTGAAGAGCCCAGGCCCCATTGATTTGTAGACTATTCCACAGTATAGGTTCACCAGATTGTATGGGGAGTTGTAAAATTTACTCTTGACTTCCACTGTAAAGGTGCTTGATTGAGGTTACTGAGTACTTGCTTCTGGAACACGCTCGTGACTCAGCTTTCCAAGGTTACTAGCAGGAATGCCTCTGGGGCTGACTCCACCCCCTGCACCCAGGATTCTCCAGGGATGTTGCATCAGAAACTAGAATGGGATTGAAGAGCTAGCAGCGTTTCCTCTGTGTGTTTCCATGGCTGTATAAACCTGACTTGGGCAAAACCATTGTCTGCTTGCAGACCCTCTGTCCCATCCAGACAGGTGCTGAAGGATGGTTCACCAACCTTCCCACCCCCTTCATGTGTAATAGGAAATTTTCAGCCAATTTTTTATAACAGAAGTTTGCATTACCTTGTCTATGCATGGTGTTCCAGATACATTTGCAGTTATATATTTTAAATTTCTCAATAACTATCAACGCAGACAGGCCAAAATGCAGTTACTCCAGTGTGGGTCACCATCTATATGTCAGCTCCCTAGGCATCTCATTAAGTACTCACAGTTGGTCCCAAGTGCTTTGTTGGTGCTCCTCCTATGTATAAGCTGACTTAGTCCTTGTGGCACCTGTTATGGGTCAGGACAGGTGGCACCCATCTCACAGGTGCTGCCAGAGAGGCGTTGAGCAGTAGGCAGTTTGCACCCAGGAACCCGGGCAGTCTGTTTTTTTCTGTTTGGCCTTCTCTCATACCAGCTTGTTGGATTCAGCTCTTTCTTCCACCTGAAGGCCTTGAACATCTAACACACACAAACACACACACACACACACACACACACACACACACACACACACACACACCCCCTCTAGCTTTGAATTCTCACCATGTTTCTATTCTATCAACTACTTGTAGAATGTTCTGTATTGATATGCAGAGAGCCTGTCAAACTGTTTTTTTCTCCCTCCCCACTGCCTACACCTGACACAGGGACTTCTGCGTCCCTTAGGTTTGTTTTTTTTTTCTTTCTAAATGATTAAAAGCATGAAGCTGCCATGTTCTGCTGTGCTTACCCGGTCTGCTCCCAGGCTTGTAGGAACTTTGTCTTCCTGCTCTTGGTGTCTGGATACACCAGCTCCTTAAAATTCGTCCCCTCCCGCCTGCTACACAATGCCAACATCAAGCCCTGGTCGTGGGTCCCTAGGCTGGAATCAGGCAGGCCTCTCCAGGGTCCCACTCCAGGTACTCCGCTGGAATCTGAGCATCACCCCTGCACAGATACTTGTACAACCTTTCCCTGTTTTCTAAGGCCTGTCCAGCCCCTTCCTCTTTGAAACTTTTCAAAGCAAGAAAAAGTGGCATGGAGCTTGATCCTTCTGTGTGCCCAGAATCTGCCGTGGGGATTCACTCCGCCAGGCTGTGTCTCTACTCGGAGAGCAGGACACAGACAGTCTTTGGGACTCCAGCCAAATGAGCTGGAATAATGGTCTTTCTAGCCAATGTAAAAGCCACATTTTAATTTTTTTAATGTAACTCTTTGAGTTTGCTATTTATAATTGTTCCTTTTTTTTCTGATGCCTGCTATCAAGCAATCCTATAATACCATGTAAGAATTATTACGAAGGAGCCCTCTCGTAACACAGGCTGATCAGAACAAGATTGTGGTCTCCTCATTCTCAAGTATAATGGAGATCTTCCTATCTGTTTAGTCTGCTGACATAATTGACATTGTGAACTGCACCAGCTGGAGGGTTTTAGTACCTACTTTATCGCATTATGCCAGAGCTCCTTTGGTTTGCCCCAAACATCTATTGGTTGGAAATGAGGGCTAGCTAACAATCACTCAGCATTGCAAAGGGAACCCAGAAGAGCATCTTGCAGAGCCCTGGGTTTGTAGAACTTAATAAACCACAATGGCTGTTGTTGGTGGTAACTTTTTGTTAGAGCTGCTTCTTGTGGATTATGATAGAATCAGTCTGTAAACACTGCTCCCCTTTCCTGCGGCTGTTGCGATTGCAACTTGAAAAAAGTATGTGTTTCGTTTTACTGCGTTTTGTTCGAATGTGTTAGAGACGTGGAAAATGGTCCCCCGAGGATGGTATCAGCTGAGTTGTGAGTAGTCCCCTTGTAACATGACTCAGGGAGGGTGCTTCTCCATTTCCTCTGCAAAAATAAAAGGGACCTCCTCTTAAATAAACAAGCTCATGAAACATTCCGCACCTCTGGAATGTTCTCACGACCACAGAGGATAAAAGGAATGAGAACGTTGAGCTGGTTGGGTGGATATGAGGAAAAAGGAGACAAGCTGGTTTCTGTGAAACACATAGATAGTTAGAAAGTCTGGGAATCTCATTCTGCATCACCTTTGTCGCAGGAGGATGAGAAGTCTGAGAAGATGCTGCCGGGGATGAGGTGGAAGGGAGTTTCCCCAGTGGGTCTCTTCTGTGTCGCGGGCTCTTCTGCTCTTCTCAGTGGGTTGAACTTGCCATGGTGGAAGCACATGTCAGTGGGATGTACCCCCAAGAAAGGTCATCCATACGTATAAGGAACAAAGACAGGCGCCTCCAGGGTCAGCAAGGTTACCCAAGTGGTCTAGAAGTCCCTCTGGCTCTTTCCTTCTTCCAGCAGCCTCCTTGCCTGGCAAACACCCATCAGAGCCTCCAGGATGAGAGAGTGACTTTCTCTTTCCCCGAGGAAAGAACATAATCCACAGAGTGTTGACAAATGGTTTTGTTTGGTATTTAAGATTTATTTGTTTTTGTTCTGAGTAGCTGTTTTCTTTTCACCTATCTTTGTACAGATGCATTATAAAATCAGGACTTGTTTTGTTTTTGTTTGTTTTTTTAAAGCACTTTGAGCGCTTCGTAAAGAAACAGAGTTGAAGCCTGCCTATAGGTAGTCCACAAACAGTTCTAATAAATAACTTTAAATAGCCCCAAAATGTGGATTTTAAAAATGGGATTCATAATGTTGCTATACATTATAATTATATGTTGGGATCAGGCAATTATGCACATTTCCAGCAATTATGTGATTAGCTGTAATTACATTAGCTATGTAAATATACAATAGTCAACTAGACATGCCTTAAAACCCCAAAGCACAAATGAACATACCCAAACAATCTTATGCAAAGGTAAAGGTTCAGGAAACAGCCAAGGCAAAGCTTCACAGACAAAAGTGCGGTTCTTTGCAAGGGGTAAAGTTTCATGTTTTGCCTTATCTGTCCCCGGCTTTAAGAGAAACTCAGAGTGGGGGACCCCTCCCCAGGGAACCCCTCACCCCACCTGTTCCTCCACCGACTCTGGGGATGGGGTTCATAGACTGCCCTCCCGTTCTGCAGCTGTGAATCAGGTTCGGTGTTTTATTTCTCTGTTGTTACTCATTTCTCAAGCACAAACATAAGCGTCTCTTTGCACCGGTCAGTTTGGTGATGGGCGGATGTCTTCATACTCACCACTTTTTTCTAATAGCAACATGTTAAGGCCACTTTGCTTTTATTTGGGGGGCCAGGGATGTGTAGTGCAACTGGAGTCTGTGGCTGGGGTTTGGGGGTTCATCACCGTCTTCTAGTTTGGTTCTGCAGCTGCGGTTTTCAGCTCCTGCCCCTACCACAGTGAATCGCGCTGTTTCCCACCGCCTGGTTGGTGGTGCCCTGTCTCCATCGATGATTGAGTTGAAACCTCCCACAGTGTGGCCCGGAGCCCCTGGGCCCAGCTGCCCAGGGCTTTACTCTCAGTGCCTGTCCTCTTGGTCCCGGCACCTTTGGGAAAAGAGCATCTCTAGTTTCAGGCCAAGTCAGTGCCTTGAGGGGAGCAGTGCTTGGGGTGGGCAGGGGGAAGGAGTGCCGCGGGGGGAACAGTGCATCCGTAGTCTCCGTGTTTGGAGGAGGCCCCAGGGTAGCCAGACAGCAGCAGACAGCAGCCCGCACGAATGCGGAGAACCTTCTGCGCGCTTCACACAGCTCAACCTAATTGACAGGTATTTGGGGTGACTGTGAACCAGAACCCCAAGATACATTTTGCTGCCGGCTTCTTGCCCTCTCTCCTTTTCCAGAACGTACAGTGTTAAAGCTGTGAAATGAGACTCCTCTCTGATTGGTTTCTACCACTTGGCTCGCTTGCTACTAAAGCTCAGGCACCTTGGCGTGCGCGCTCGAGGGCGTTCCTCTGTCTCTGTCTCATCTCCATCTACAGAGTGACCTCACGTGCCTTTCTCAGCCCTTCCACATCCAGCAGGAGCCTGGCTGAGCACCCCAGCTGGGCTGTGAAGATGCCGAGAGGGGAGAGCATTCTGGGTGTCCAGCGCTGGGGCACAGTGGGATCCCACACTCCCTGTCCCTCCAGCCTGTTTCTCATCACCTGAGGGTTTTGTTTTCCGTGTTCCGGTTGAAGAGATGTCTGTGCCAGGAGGGTTCCTCCCTTCCCATTTGCAACCTGGGATGGGTGACGCAGATTTATCCGAGACTTGGGAGTGAGGCTGAGAGTCAGTTCTTTCGTATCCTAAGAAAGGCTGACCGTCCCATCAAGGCCCGTGTGCTGAAACTGTCCGTGTGCAGGCTCAGGTGGAGCAGGTCTCTGTCAGGCAGCCATTTGTATTTGGGCGGTGGGTGCTTTGCCTAGCTTAGTGCCTACCATGCCCAGGCTTGCAAATGGGGCTGTTTGGGCTTTGATGTGGGCTCAGGCTCAGAGGGCTGAAGTGGTTGTGGGGAGGGGCTTCTGGGGACTGTGTCCATGTCTCTGTCGTTTTTCCCCATCACACCGTACACTCCCTTGAGGCCAGCCGTCCATCACCATTGAGTCATAGTCGACAGTTTGATTTACAGCCCGGGTGTCAAACAAAATGAAAAGCACGTGATGAATGGAGGGAGCACGTGCTGTGGAGGGAGGGGTGCGCTCCGCTCCGCAGGTCAGGGGCTAAGCGGCCATGCCTTGGCCTGTCTCTACAGGCACATGCATGCCCTGGACTATTTTTGGGGTGCCTTTCTCATCTTGAGGAGTGGCAGGTTTTTTGGACTAAGGACAAAGTGACAGAATTGGACTGAGAAAGGTTCATGGGGGAGGGCTCGCTGAGCCAGCCCTGATTAGGAGCATTGCTCACAAAACCAGAGGAAGGACGGCATCCTGGGACCTTCTGATCGCAGGACAGCCGAGGAGACCTCAAACAGTGGAGTGTGATGGGGCGGGTCACCATGGAGGTGAGGTGGAGACTTTGGGAATCTGCAGGAAAAGCTGCTAAAGAGCAGAAGGGGTGGTGTTCATTGAGCACCTACTGTGCGGAGCGTCTTGTGCCGGGTGCTGTCCAGAGCTGAGCACAGCCTCTTGAGGTTGAGTGTGTTCCATTGCTAGAAATGGGAATCCTGACATGGTCCAAGGTGAGGCCTGTCCTGCATCCCAGCTGGGGTCCCGTTGCACACTTTGGCTCCACCAACACTTTCAAAATGGGCAGTGCAAGAGAATGGGCTTGTTTTTTTTTTTCTTTTGAAACCCCATAATGAGTGGTCTAATTTTCATAATGCAGTTCCCAGGAAGCTTTACAATATAGTTAAGAAATTGAGTCAGAAGCAATGTGCAGGCCTTTGTTTTCACTTACCATGGCTAAATACTGAGAGACATGAGGACTGGGGCTTCTTAGGATGCAGCTAATCTGAAAAAGGCTGGGTTGGTTCAGACACTCGACGTCACTCTCCTGACTTCCTTTGGCGCGTTGCGTGGGTGCCCAAGCCTCCGCGCTCCAGGCCCAGAAATTGGTGAGAGCACTCAGTGTGCAAGCAAGGGTGCACGGTGCACTCAGCCCCTTTGATACCTGAAACGATGTCTGGGCAGTTTTGCTAATTGTTGCTGTGTGCTTGCGTGATTTAGACGAAGGCTGCTTTAAAACCCAGCCAGACTTTGTGTTTGCTATGTAACCAGTGCATTTGGTGTGGCCTCCCACCCTTTGCGTTAGATTAGCCAACTTGGCTACTTTGGGTTGAGGACGTTCGGGGGCAGGGGGTAGGGGGTTGATGAGAGGAAAGACTTTTTTTTTTTTTTTTTTTTTTTTTGAAATGGAGTCTTGCTCTGTTGCCCAGGCTGGAATGCAATGGTTCTGTCTCGGCTCACTGCAACCTGCACCTCCCGGGTTCACGCCATTCTCCTGCCTCAGCCTCCCGAGTAGCTGGGATTACAGGCACCCGCCACCACGCCCGGCTAATTTTTGTATTTTTAGTAGAGACAGGGTTTCGCCATGTTGGCCAGGATGGTCTCCATCTCCTGACATCAGGTGATCCGCCCCACTCAGTCTCCCAAAGTGCTGGGATTACAGGCATGAGCCACGGCACCCGGCCCAAGAAAACTTTTTTAATGGCACAAATTCCACAACACTTAACTTGACAGAAGCAGACAAAAATCCAGCACAGGCTGTCCACATTTAAAAGCAGGAAATGGGTATGCCATAGGCCGATTTTTCTGCCCTGTGTCTGCCAGAAAACCGTGTTACCCGCTAACTTCTGCAGCCTCCCTAGGGAAGCGCTCGCTGTGGGAGACGTAGAGGGCACTGTGGTGGCTCCGTCCTGGGATGCAGCAGGCGCTGAAGAGCCTCCTGAGATGTTATTTCCGCTATCACCTTCAGAGCTGCCCTGGCCCTTTGTGTTGGTGGAGGCAGGATCAGGGAATGGAAGCCCAGGCAGGTGCAGGACCCCCCTGGGGAAGCTGTTCCTTAAGTTCCTTCAGTTGGGAACTTAAGTTGCCTCCTGAGAATGAGCTATTCCCTGAGAAGGCCTTGAGACAAACCTGGCAGCCCACCAAGTGGGCGGGTGACAACACAGTTAAGAGGGACACACCATTGAGCCAAATGGCCCTCATGTTACTGCAACCTTCAGACTCACTGATCCCACCTGTTCTTCTTTTTCTATAAAAGTGAGAATTAGACCCCAGAGTCATGTTTTCTCTCTCATTTCAAGCAGTTTCCTGCATGATTATTCCAATGGGAACATGAAATGCTTGTTGGCAGTTTGTCCAAAGACTGCTCCGTCGGAGGGTACCCACTGATCATCCCCATCCTGGCCTCTCTTCCCAGCTCTTCTGGAACTGTCTGGATCCATCTCTGGAATTGTCTGGATCTCTGTAGGTCTCTGTTGTTAATTGACACCTTGTGTCGCACAGGGACTTCAGAATTGGCTTTGGGTGGACATCGCCTCTCTCCCCGACACAGCTATGTTACACAATCATCTTATTTTTACTTGACATAATTTCTATAGTGAGGGTTTTGGCAGAATTAAAAAATTAAGCCCGTGAGATGTATTACTCTAATGGGTCCCATCTCACTTTTAGTCAACATGAGAATTTTTAAGAAAAGCAGTCCTTTCTAAAAGACTGGAGTGTGGTGTGTGTGTGTGTGTGTGTGTGGTGTTTGTGTAACCAGAGTGTTTGGAAAAGTGAGTCCAGTTACAGGTGTTTTTACCTAGCGCAGGAAAACATCTGTCATAATATTTGTCAAATCTCAGAGCCAAGGCTGTGCGAGTTTGGGTGGTTTCCAAGCAGAACAGGTTGAAAGTTGATAGAAATGGAAGCTGGGCCTCCTGGTTCAATGGGAGGCTGATGCTGCCCCAAAGCGCATCTGCCCACATCTGCCCTGCTCCTGCGATCACCCCTTGGACACCAGCTCAGTAACCTCTCTGAAGAATCATTACTGGTTTCTTAGGCGCTACCGGGTAAACATTCTTCTATAGAGCCCTGTTTACATTTGAGAACTTGCTGAGCTGAAAACCAGATAGCAAAGAAGCTGGTGAGTCAACAGAGCTACCTCACCCTGCTACAAAAAAGACTTGGCATGGGGGATTTTCCCGGAATGCTCCAAGTTTATCCACCCATCTTTGAGGGGTGTGCATGCACCATGAGTGGGGTAGCATAGTACTAACACCACATAAGGTCATGTTGTTCATTACAACAAGGGGAGGAAAGAAATTGGCAAGGTGGCTTAATCCTGAGGCGCTGGCCAGGCGCAGTGGCTCATGCCTGTAATCCCAGCACCTTGGGAGGCTGAGGTGGGTGGATCACCTGAGGTCAGGAGTTTGAGACCAGTCTGGCCAACATGGTGAAGTAGATAGAGTAGAGACATGGTAGGCTCTACTAAAAATATAAAAATTAGCTGGGTGTGGTGGTGCACACCTGTAATCCCAGCTACTTGTGAGGCTGAGGCAGGAGAATTGCTTGAACCCAGGAGGCGGAGACTGCAGTGAGCCGAGATCGCGCCATTGCACTCCAGCCTGAGAAACGAGCAAAACTCGGTCTCAAAAAAAAAAAAAAACTGTGTCTCAAAAAAAAAAAATTTAAAGACTGGTATTTCTCTTTAGAAGATTCTAGTAGAGTGCTAGATTGAGAGAGATGTGAGTGAGGAACAGCACTCGGGTTTAATGCTTGCAGGTATGCATGTTGTCTCATTTTAAAGTGCTTTCAATGTATACAGCCTTTGTAGCTTCCTAATCACCGGCTTTTATTTTTGCTATGAATTCTTTGTCATGGGAATCCTGCAGTTGCAGGGCAGGAACCTACCGTGTTAGTCTGGGATGTTGCTTCTCTGGTACTGTTCCATATGTTTAAGGAAATGTCTTAATACTTCGGGGCACTCCTTTATCTAAATAACTGCTGTTCTTTGCATTATTGCGCCTGAAGTCCTTTGTGGACTCTGAAAGCTTAATCCATGTGAATATGGAAAAGCATCTGCAGGATCTAAGCCTGCTGGAATTAGGCTTTTCATCCTGACATACCTAAAGGAAGATGAGATATTCAGATGCAGCCGCTTCCCAGTTCTGCTTTGCAGTGTAAGGTTTAGTCACCCATCCTCCTGTTCCTGTGACCTCTGTTGCAGTCACTTTAAATCCCAGATTACACACGCCCTTCCCTGGCACTCCCCGGCCCCCCGGCAGCATGAGCCCATCTGTGTTTCACAGTAATAAGGTAAAGAATGCATTTGGGCTTGAGCTCGGAAACCTGTTTGATTCACAACCAAAGAGTCGTCTCAAAGCCAGATCTCAGTATTATCAAAGCATCAGGTTTCAGAGCTGGCCCTTTTTTGGGCTAGGCATCCATGGCCTAGGATCACGTGTGGACCTTTTTCTGTTTATCCATGTTTAATTTGTGTTTAGCTGTGCCATGGATTAACGTTTCATCACGGTGGATTAAGAGTGGACTGACATTGAAGCAGCCTTATTTTGCTTCTGTTACCTCTCAGGAATCAGTGGCAGGGGTGGGAACAGCCCCTTCCAGAGGGGGAGGCAGGGTTCATCCTAAAAGTACCCTGGTGCTTGGAAGAGGGAGTATAAACCTGAGCGTCAGTGTGGAAGTAAATCCCAGTTGCAGCTTGGGAGGGCTGGATAGAGCAAGCCACCGGCTTCATCAGTCTAACGAGATGTCACATGGAACAAAGCTTTAGGGTTTTATTTAGCTCCTAATCCGCATGCTGAGAGAGCCCTGGTCCATGTGAGCACACCAGCCAGGAAGGGGGACCTGGCAGGCTGGGGACAGCCTCCTCTCCGGGACTGAGCTGTAAGGAACAGACCTCTCTGGCTATCGTTGGGGAGTGAGGCAAAGTTACCGTGAGTCTTATGTTTTGTCTGCTAAGGTTTCGGAGGATTAATAATTCAGGCCATGCTTTGAAACAGAAAACCCCCAGTTGGTTGTCCCTGCCGTCTCGGAAGGGTTAGCACACAGCCAGGTCTGTTTTTGATGTATGTAATTGAAGATTTATAAAGAAAAGCTTCTCCTCTGCCTCATCCGCAGTCATTTTTTTTCCAATGCCAGTTCCCAGCAGGCATATAAATATTGGTCGTTCTCAGAGCTGGGATGCTGCTGGGTGGTACGAGGGCCCCTGGGAGAACGCCGAGTCCCTGCGGCCTCTGGGGAGGAGAAGCTCCCTGACGTATGGCACAGCAGAGGGGACTTGGTTTGAGCCAAACCACCGACCACAGGACGCTGCCCTGCCCGTGGCCGCCGAGCCCTACCTGTACCGGGAGGCCGTTTATAACTCAGTGGCTGCAAGAAAGGGGTCTACTCCTGACTTCACCTTCTACGACAGCAGACAGGCAGTGATGTCTGGTCGCAGCCCCCTGCTGCCACGGGAGTACTACAGTGATCCGTCTGGAGCTGCTAGGGTACCCAAAGAGCCTCCCCTCTATCGGGACCCAGGAGTCAGCCGGCCGGTCCCCAGCTACGGAGTGCTTGGCAGCAGAACGTCATGGGATCCAATGCAAGGCCGGTCACCTGCCCTGCAGGACGCCGGTCACCTGTACCGGGATCCTGGAGGTAAAATGATCCCTCAGGGGCGGCAGACACAGAGCAGGGCTGCATCTCCCGGGCGGTATGGACGGGAGCAGCCCGACACCAGGTATGGGGCGGAGGTGCCTGCCTACCCCCTCAGCCAGGTCTTCAGCGACATCAGCGAAAGACCCATTGACCCTGCCCCTGCCAGACAGGTGGCCCCGACGTGCCTGGTTGTGGACCCCAGTTCAGCTGCTGCCCCCGAAGGCAGCACAGGGGTGGCCCCAGGGGCCCTGAATCGTGGCTACGGGCCTGCCCGGGAAAGCATCCCATCCAAGATGGCTTACGAGACTTACGAAGCTGACCTGTCCACCTTCCAGGGTCCTGGTGGCAAGAGGACCGTGCTCCCTGAGTTCCTGGCCTTTCTGCGGGCGGAGGGGCTGGCAGAGGCCACGCTGGGAGCCCTACTGCAGCAGGGCTTTGACTCCCCGGCCGTCCTGGCTACCCTGGAGGACGCGGATATCAAGTCTGTCGCACCCAACCTGGGCCAGGCCCGTGTTCTGAGCCGCCTGGCCAATAGCTGCAGGACCGAAATGCAGCTGCGGAGGCAGGACCGGGGGGGCCCGCTGCCCCGGGCGCGGTCCAGCAGCTTCAGCCACCGAAGCGAACTGCTCCATGGTGACTTGGCTTCTCTGGGCGCTGCGGCTCCTCTGCAGACAGCATCCCCCCGAGCTGGAGACCCGGCTCGCCGTCCCTCCAGCGCACCATCTCAGCACCTCCTGGAGACGGCAGCCACCTATTCTGCCCCTGGCGTGGGCACCCATGCCCCACACTTCCCCTCCAACTCCGGGTACAGCTCTCCCACCCCTTGCGCCCTGACAGCGCGTCTGAGCCCCACGTACCCCCTGCAGGCAGGGGTGGCCTTGACTAACCCGGGCCCCTCAAACCCCCTTCACCCAGGCCCCAGAACAGCCTACTCCACGGCATACACGGTGCCCATGGAGCTGCTAAAGAGGGAGCGCAACGTGGCCGCCTCTCCGCTGCCCAGCCCTCACGGCAGCCCCCAGGTCTTGCGGAAGCCAGGTGCACCCCTGGGGCCATCCACCCTGCCGCCGGCCAGCCAGAGCCTCCACACGCCTCACTCACCGTACCAGAAGGTGGCCCGGCGCACAGGGGCACCCATCATCGTGTCCACCATGCTTGCACCAGAACCAAGTAATACATCCTCCCCGCCTGCCCTGCCTGGGGACCTGGGGGGAGCAGGGGGGTGCGGGGTTGTAGAAGTTTGAACATAGGATGGCAAGTCCTCACTCACCAGGCCACACACACACACACCACCAAACAAGAAGGACGCAGCACTGTGGCCAGTTGACACGGCTTCTCTTAAGTTAATCAGATTTGTGTGTCAGGCCAGATCTGCTGGGGCAGCAGTGCCCTCCTGTTCTTTAGTTGAGGTCGGGTTGATGTGTAGATTTCCCATTACGGTGGTAAAACTCAACTGTGTTTCTTGGAGAAAGTCGCAAGTCACTCAGAACAGACTGCAGCCTTGAGCTCACGAGGGGTGGCCCTTTCTGTAGTTCACACTAGGGAACTTTGGAGAAGGCAGGAACGTTTCATCAAATGCTGGCTGTAAAGTGTGCATCCTCCATTTAGAAGGGCGTGATCGTGTGGAAACGTACCTCTCACGGGTCCGCACGCCGTATCAGAGGCAGTGATTACCCACCGTGGAGATGAAAATGTGTGTGTTTGCATACTTGTGGGTTAAACAAAGCAAGATGTTGAAATCCCTCAGAACTCAGTTTCAAAAACAGATTTAGTCTCTCATATCAGAAAATACAGTTGGGAATTCCGCGTGCTTGAAGGGAAGGATATATTTCCAAGTCCAGGAAAGGGAGAGTGATGGTAGGTGGTTTTCTTCACAACATGTGCCAGGTGTGATTTATGGCGTGTGTTTCCTTGGACATTGTGGATGAAGTCCTAGGTGGGCGTCCTCAGAGCACCATTTACAATTTTTATTTTAACTCTAGAGTCTTGACCACAAATTTAAAATGTAAATCAGTTTTCTTCCTTTCAAACATAATTCTTTCCTCCCCGCCAGCCTCCCCTACGTCATTCAGAAAACAGAATCCTTTTCAAATGATTTTTTTTTTTCCTGAATAGCTTGTGAAAATCAGGATGAAACAATAAGATCTACCTTTTTGAAAATAGCCCTGAAGCAGCTGTAGGCGGGGACCGAGGCGCTGGACCTCACAACCCTGCAGAGACCACCTTAAGTTTCTCTGCCATCGCTGTGTGGCCCGTGTGTGCTATTAATATTACCTCCTAGAGATGACCTCCAGGCATTTTGCATTTTGTTTCCAAGTGGAGACTGAGCAACTGGCCTGATTTTCTGCTTTGTCGTATAGATTCTGATTTTGTCTCATGGATTTTTTTGAAGTCTGATCACATCATTATTTGACTTTCTCAAATACATGTGCGGCAGGAGGGACGTCAGATAATTTTTCCGAGGGCCTGTGCCTGCTCTCTCAGTCAAACATTCTTTCTTTGCAACCAACTGATTTGCATGGCGATGACATTTGTTGCTCCAGTAATTTCATCTGATAATGGCCGGGCTTGCAAAGCGGATCTGAAAACATATTCCTTAATTATGTGTTGCTAAGTGACAGGAGGGTTTGGTCATAATCACAGAAAGATTATCTCCTCACCCAAGTCGTGGAAAGGTTTTGCCGAAGGAGGAACCTGTAAGATTGCCTTTTCTTTTCTTTTCTTTTTCCTGTTTATTTTAGACTTGCCTTTTAACAAAAACATTCGCCATTATTTGGGTATGGAGTGAGGGGTATTATATAAGTTGTTTGCAGTGTGATTGCTAACACGATGTTTTACAGACCGGAGGATATTGATTTTTACTTAATTTGCGTGGCAGCGAGCCAGTGCCAGGGAAGTCTGCAGGCAGAAGCCAGCCAGCAAATCAAATGTCTCTGTTAAATGATCCACCCCATAGCTGCAGTTTCCCTCCTCATTCCTTATCGTATGCTGATTGTGGCATTATCCCCCACACCCTGTCGGGAAGGGGGCAGGGGCTGGCGTCCCTGGTAGCGCTTCAGCTGTGTACATGGCTGTACGTTTTGTACAGTAGGTTCCACAGAATCCGCAGTCACATTTGGATCTGTCGGAGCCAGCAGGGAAAGTAGACGGTGTGTGTGTGGAGGATAATGTTGACATTTCAGGAAAGCACAGGCTGGGCAGTCCCGCCGGCCTCTGGTCCAGGACGCGGCCATCTGGAAATCCAGTGTTGCTTGTTTGGGACGCCGCCAGCCTGAACGCATCTTCGTTCTGGTGCCGCCTAACTCAAGTGCTTCCCTCCCATCGGAGGGACAAGGAACGCCCTTCTGGAAGTTGACTCTCTTCTCCCCTTCGGGATGGGCGGTGTTGCACTGCTTATAGTGGGGTGGTTTGGGGTTTGGGGATTGTTTTCAGTATCTATTTTATTTTCGGATGCTTTGGCTATTTTTAATGTATGTTTGCTTTTTCTCAGTCCACGAACTACCTGCCTTATCTTGGTGGGTTTTGTGCATACACACAATAGGCTCCTATTTCTAGTCCAGTTTGCTGGCCAAGCAGTCCAGAGTGACAACGTGAGGAAGGCGTATGCTGCGGGGACCCCAGTGCGGCCCACCAGCCCCGGTGACACAGACAAATGGGGGCTCCAGGCCCGCGTGAGTGGCAGCACCTGGCAGGTGGTGGGGTCGGCTGTCGCTCTCAGGCTGACCTGGCCGGCTATGGCACAAGTCGCGGAGCCCTCCGGCGGTGGCTGCGAGCCAGCAATCTCCCCGTGTCACGTGCTGTCACCCGAGCCCTGCCTGCACCAGATGCAGCAGGGATCATCAGAAACAACGAACGAATGGGGCTGCGGCCATTTTCATATCTTTGTCTTCACAAAATACAGCCAAGCCTGCAGCCTGCACAGGGCTCAGCTCAGGACACACCCTGGGGGCAAAGTTTCAGATGTGAGAAACGCAGTCCCAGCCCAAAGAGCCACAAAAAGATCTTTCTGAGCTTTTTCCATTTTCTTCCAGCCGTTTTTCTTGATGCAACTGGATTAATGGGGGCACATGTGACCCCTGTCTAGTTGCTTAGGGTCACTGCCTGAGGACTCCAGGATGGAGGGAGGAGCGCGTGGTCTGTGTGGAGGGGCTGTTGAGGAGGCTGATGGTTGTGACAGTTACCTGTCACCAGAGCTGGTCACTCTCATGGCTTCTTTTCGTGTGGCCTCGGTTTCCAGCAACTGGAGGTGTGAACGCTGATCTCCTAGGTAGAAAGCACCTCCATCAATAATTTTAGCCCTATCAGAATCTGTATAGAGGGTCGCCGCCATCGGCCCACACCCCTGCTGCTGAGTCCTCAAGCAGCCTTGCCTCTTGTTTGAGACTCCTCTGCACCTTGAGGTCTGTCCTGGGGCAGAGGACGCACTGCTCTTGAGGGTCTTGACCCTTAAACCTTCGGCAGGCTTCCCCCATCTCAGAGCACAAGGACATTTGGGGGTGAGGTCCAGGGGCTGTGACCCCAGGCTGGCCCTGCAGACCAGCAGAGGGATGAGTCCAGCCCTTCCTGTGTGCTGGCCATGCAGTCCAGCCAGAGAGAGTTGTAAGGGAGCAAGGAAACCTCTTCCGGGCTGCCCCCAGGACCCCTGAGTCCTGGACACAGACCACTGCCCTGGGCAGAGCCCAGCGTGAGCTTAGAGGCTTGTTCACTTCTTCCTTCCTTCCTCATTGACCTGTCCCCTGCTGTTCCTTCCTTCCTTCCTCATTGACCTGTACCCCTGCTGTTCTTCCTTCTTTCCATCCTTCCTCATTGACCTGTCCCCTGCTATGTGCCAGGCCTGTGGCCAGATGTTTGGGGCTCCCAGGTGGGCAAGACCCAAGGCTTGTGTTTAGGTGCTCTCTGGTCTGGGGGCCAGGAAAGGCAATTCATAAAAGGACAGTTAACTGTGACTATGTATAGCAGGCACCAAGATGGGGCCTGTGGAGCACCTGGAGCTCCAGGGCTTCTTGGCCACTCCTATGCTTGGAAGAGCGTCCCTACAGCGCATGTGTGTGCACCGGCAGGGAAGCAGGAGAAGGGCAGAGCTCAGCACCGCAGCCAGACTGGGGCCAGGGGAGAGGCCACCGCCCAGGCCGGCGTGGGGCAGATGGAAGTGTGTGCGTGAGCTGTCGTGTGCAAGGGCAGCTAAGGGCCTGACTGGTGTTTTGAGACTCCCTGTGGCGTCTCTTTTCTTGCAGAGTAATCTATGCCTGCGTAGTAAAAACATTCCAGCATTGTGGAGCCACATAGCCAGGACTCTGCCCCTACCCCAGCCTGGTAGAGCAAGAACCTCGGCATGGCCTCCCTTCCAAATCCAAGAGCAGCTGAACGGTTCCCAGGTGCTGACAGCTCAGCCTTTTCTAGCAAAACATTGAACACACCCGACATCAGTGAGCTCTGCGGGCCTTCCGTTTGGCTTTTGTACTTGATCAGTCATTGGGTTTCATGGCCCGGTGTTCCCTGCATTCAGTGTGCCCCTGGGCAAGTCACCTGCTACTGGCCTCTGTGCCTCTGAGGCCCTGGTTGTGACTGATGCCTGACCTCCTGAGACTCCCAGCCCTTCTTGTGACCTCGCCAGATCACCCTCCGCCTTCATGGCAGAACAGCAGTGATCATCCCTCCTGCCCGTTGCTGCCCTGAAGTATTCGCATCTTGGTTGTGCCCCCTTACCAGACTGAACTCAGCGAGTGCCTGAACCTGGCCTCACCCTTTGTTCATGGAGCTCATTCTGCTAGGCTAGACTGGGTTTCTTGGTCCCCTTTCAGGCTCCTGGACGTGCCGTAGACCCCAGGAATATGATTTCAGCCCAGGAGCATAAAGTAGTTGAATGCATGGCCCGAAGGAGTGCCACCTGCTTTGTGTTTGGGCAAGTATGTTGAGTTCTCTGTGCTTCTATTTCCATGTCTGTCAAAGGGGGTAGGTCTTGAACCTGTTTCCTCTGCTTCTGGGAGAGCAGTGAGCAGAGAAGGAAGAGAGGGCTTGTGTGTTGAGGTTGGAGCTGCCTGGCCTCAGCGGGGAATGGCGCTTTTCTTGTCGTGGTTGACCCTTGGCCTCTTCTCACACTGGACTACTGAGGCCCTCGGGGTCTCAGGGGCCAAACTTGTCCCCCAGCTCTGCCGCCTTCACAGCACTTCCTCTGACCCCGTGGGTGTGGATTTCATTCTGTCCATGGAGGACGTGGGGTGAGCCATGCCGGGACAACTAGACAGCGGCCAAGCTGCTGAAGAAGGCCCTGCTGTGGTCCTCAGTTTTGTGCAAAGACTGCTCTCCTAGGCCTCTGTCTTGTTAAAGCTTAGTGGGCCTTTTTTCAAAAGTGAGTATCTGGGAATTTCTGTAAGCCCACCTTGCATAGAGTGTGTCCCCCTCGACAGCGCAGACCCCCTCCACACTGGTGGGTGGGTGATCTGACCAGGAGTCTGGCCAGAGAGTAACGTGGATGCTTGGTGTCAGCTGGCTGGGGTCGTGAGTCTCAGGCCTTGTGCGTAACAGGCTGGGCTCCTCGCCGCATCTGGAGAGCTCCAAGGGGGAAGAGGTCGACAAATGATTTCTGCCGGGCGTGGTGCAGGACTCAGAGCAGGTGGTGAATGAGGTCGGCGCTTGCTGTTGGTTTAAAGGGATTGACCCGTGTTTTCATGGGAGGCCATGTCAGCCAAGACTGCTGCTGGGACCTTGGCCAGCTCTGCCCGCGTTCCAGTCACCAGACCCTCTTCTGTCTGTCTCCACAAGGCCCGCGTTGACTGACCTCCTCATGTCTACAGGGGCGTTCTGTCTTCCTGGTTTAGAAAGCAGTTCCACATGGAGTAGGGAGGTCTTGGCCAGCGGACCCTCTGCTTTCCAGGAAGCAGGTCATGGGGCCATAGCTTCAGTTTCTAGATAATAGTTTTGTGTGGCTGTGCTGTCCCCATCCCATCCCCCCAACCCCCACCCAGTGCTGTGAGAACCACATCACACCTGGAACTCTGTGCATGGCCAAGCTCAGGGCCTCCTAAACCCCTCCAGGGATTGTTGCTCCTCTGAAATCTTTAAAAGCTGTTGATCTTGGCCAAGGTATGGTTCCTATTTTCCTGGAAGGTTTGCGGAGCCAAGGGCATAAGTACCTGAGCAGATTCCACAGACCAGGTGAGTGGCCCCATGTTCACCTGGCCATAAAAACAACCAATGGGCCCCTACGCTATTTTGCTTTAACTCTACTTTCAAATGTGGCCTTTGCTCTTGAGTGTCCAGTGTCCATCCTGGGGCTCCACAAGTCACATTTCAGCTCTGTCAACCTCAGTGCTTGAGTTGAGGGTCTTCCTGGGTCATGGGGCCCAGGCTTTTTGGTGTCAGGCACACAGTTTGGAAATAGTTCTCCCCCATTCTGTGGTTGTTTTTTCAATTTCTTGATAGTGTCCTTGAAGCATGAAAGTTTTAATTTGGAGTCTTACGTATTTGCTTATGCCGTTGGTGTGACATCTAAGAAACCATTGCTTAATCGAGGGTCATGAAGATATATTCTTATGTTGTCCTCCAGGAATGTTAGTTTTAGCTCTGACATTGAGGTCTTGATCTGCTTTGAGTAAAGTTCTGCATATGGTGTGAGGTAGGGGTCCCATTCAGCCAGTTGTCCCAGTGTTTGCTTTGTGCTTTGCAGAAGCTGAGCTGTGGAGAGCTGGGCTGGGTAGAGCAAAATTAGAGCTTCACGCCAGACTTCTTGCATTTGGAAACTAACATTCTAAGGAAGAAAGACGTGGTTTTTTTTTTTAAGTGAGAAAGCCAACATATATTAACAGGAAAGCTTTTCAGGTGTTTGGCACAAATTTATTTACCCCCAAGAACATACGAAGCCAGAATTCTAAAGCTTTTTCACAGATTCCTTGCTCATACGTGGGAGAGGTTTTTTTGGTAAGTTTATGAAAGAGAAATAGTACTTGTAATCCATAACTAATTAGCCCACGTTAGCGATGTAGAAACGAGTGTGATTAAACGTGCAGTTGTCAGGTGTGTGTTTCCCACTCTGAGGCTGGCTTCAACAAAGGGCTTTCTAGTTGTTTTTTACATAAAGGATAAAAAAACTAGCCTTCGTTCACTTTTCTTGCCCCCTCCAGTGGGAGGGAGGAACTGCTGAAGGAACAGGAAGGTACACTGTAGTTAAATTTAGCCCAACAGCAGCTTTCAGCATGTGAATAAAACAACTTTTGCCAAATTGTTAGGAGAGCAAAAAATCCAACCTAGAAACACCCGTCCCCACTGACAGAGTGGGCGGCCCCCTGGGACATGTTCTCCTGAGAGCCATGGAGAAATTCATCCCAGGAGGGTTTGCAAATGTCAATGGGACATGGGGCAGCCTGTGGCTGAGTTAGCACCCTGGGTGTGCTTCACCAGAAGGGGCAAGAGTAGGAACCCTGATTCCTGGTCCCCCAATGCAGTTGTGTGGGATGCCAGTGGCGTTGGCGGGGAGCGCGTCCTGCAATACCAGCTAGATATGAACACGGTGCCTCCGCAGGGCTGGTGGGGTGCACCTACCCCAGGTGGCCCATGGAATGTGCCTCTTGCCCCTTTGCCAGGGCCGAGGTAGGGGAAACCAGCCTTGAGAGAATCTAGGGCCCTGACTGAGTTCAGTAAATATTAGTAATTGTCACTATTGTGGAGTTTGTTTGTTTGTTTGTTTGTTTGTTTGTTTGTTGGTTGGTTTGGTTTGGTCTGGTGCTTTTTTTGGTTTTTGGTTTTTGGTTTGTTTTTGTTTTTTTGAGACAGAGTCTTGCTCTGTCACCCAGGCTGGAGTGCAGTGGAACAATCTCGGCTCACTGCAACCTCTGCTTCCCAAGAAGCTGAGACCACAGGTGCCCACTACCATACCTGGTTAATTTTTGTATTAGTAGAGATGGGATTTCTCCATGTTGGCCAGGCTGGTCTCAAACTCCTGACCTCAGGTGATCCCCCCGCCTCAGCCTCCCAAAGTGTTGGGATTACAGGCGTGAGCCACTGCACCTGGCCTATTGTGGAGCATTTGACAAGGATGATCCCCCATCTGAAATCCCAGGAAGACTCTGGACATTTTTCCTCTGACAGACTCAGAGAGGTTCACCCCCTACCCTGAGTCCCACAGCAGGGGGTGGCCCATGCCATGATGATCCTCAGGCACGGTGCATTAGCACAGCAAGGGAAAATCAACAATGGTATACACTTGGGGAGGAGACACCAGTCCGAGCTGGAAGCCAAGGTCTGTGTCAGCAAGAGGAAACAGGACAAAGTGGCTGGGCTCTGGAGCAAGAGTCATGACGGGCTCTGGAGCAGCAGTCATCATGATGGGCTCTGAGGCTCGCTTCCCATGGGTAACACTGGGGTGATGGTGCCCACCCTACCTGCCCCCCACGGCTCTGAGAACCGCATCACACCGGAGCTGTGTGCATGGCAAGCTCAGGGTCCCCAGCTGGCTCCACGAGCACCTGCTGGTGTTTGCCTGGCTCCAGCTGCTGCCCTCAAGACCATGCTGCATCTGAGCTGCTCCGACTGCGGGGCCAAACTCCTTGCCCTGGATCATGCTGCTGCCTGGGAGAGTTCAGGGAATTAATTCTCCCAGTGAAGAGCAAATGCCATTCTTTTGTGTGATTAAATGGAATGTAAAATGTTCTTTGGTCATAAGAGGATTTAAGCTGGCTGTTGGGAACAGCTGTAACACACACAAGGGTAAAGTTTTAATAAATGGAAAAGTAAATGTAGGAAAAGGTGAGGGAGGGTGGTAGGGCCGGAACACAGCATCCCGTGCAATCCTGTACACAAGGATAGGTGGGAATTCTGCTCTGAGCTTCCTAGCAACCAAAGAAAGAGGGAAACTGATCACATAGAAGAATCACACTGCATGTAAGATGGGACCGATGAACCCGTTGCTCAGAAGCAGAGGTGAGTTTCTCCTGCCTTTATCGCCTCTCCAAAGAAGCGGCATCAGCGCTGGTTTGCAGTTTGCTTTCTGGCATTACCTCCCTGCTCCTCAGCCTGCACCTTCCTCCGCTACCCGTCGACAGCCTCCTGCGTGTCACCTTCTGATTTCACCAGGGCCTCATCCTGGTTGAAGTTGTTAAGCTCTTCTTGCACTTTGGCTGGATACAGTCAGCTGTTCTTTGGCGCTGACTTCCCCCGGGGTTCCTACCTCCTCTTCTGGCCCTGCCTCATTAAGGGATTGCATTAAGGGATTTTTCGTGGTGGAAGGAAGCTCTGCCTGCGGAACTGAATGTTGGCACCAACTGCCCAGCGCAGGCCAGTCCATTCCCCTTCCATCCACAGTGCTTAGAGCTGACCTCTGGCCTCTCAACCCAACACGTTTCCCCACTGGGGATTTGCCTATTAGATGCTTTTTATATGAAGGAATAAATATGCCTTTGTGATGGGTTCTAGTGTTTTCCTGTAAACTGGGCTCTGAGCCTGGGATGCTGTAGAAGTTACTAGATTTTAAGAAAAAGTTAGAGAAGAAAGAAGAGTGGAGGCGGCATCCAGCCAGCTGTTGTGCTGAGAATGTTCACTTCCTGGCTGTGAGCTGGGCCTGGGCGCAGCGCTCTTGGCCCTTGGCCTGCCGGACAGCAGTCCTCGCGGATCACTTTCCTCTTGGGTTTTAGGACCACTCGAAAAACGAGAGTGTGCTGCAAGCATGAGGCTTCTCCCTCTCCCATCTCAGCCTTGGCTGCCATAGCTAAGGAGGAGGGTGTTATTTTGCTTTTGTGGACATTCACCCTGGGAAATAAGGTGAGAAAATTAAGACTGGGTCTGCCAGGCTACAGGCTACTCAGGGTCCTTTTGCGGGAGGACGTGTTGTTCATTTCTCTGGAACACTGGTGGAATTGGTCCATCTGATTCCAAGGGACAAGCCAGCAGCCAGGGCGGCCATCCAGAGGGCTCCTGGTCCCGGCACTCATGGGCAGCCATCCCCTCGGGCAGTGACTCAGTGGTGGCCCCTGGAACTTGGCAGTGGCACTCGGCTCGCTGCAGGTTCATGGAACATCCAGGGCGTTTGCCCTCCTGGTTGCTGCTACTTCCTGTACCTTGGAGGAAAAGTCCCTTGGGGCACTGGGAAGGGTGGGCGGGGCCTCATGGCCTTCCTCAGCCTGATCGGGACCCACCAAAGGGTCCCAGACCCCAGTCTCACTGCACCCTGACCATCCCCTTCCCCGTCACCCCGGGTGGTGCCAGAGCCTTTTTGTGAGGTGCAGGGATCCGGGTACCCAGCGCACAGTAGGCGTTCTCAAACTTTCACACAGTGAGAAGTCAGACTGAGCCATCCATCTCTGGGTTGCCTGTGGCCTTTTTAGATTCCTGCAGAATCTCACCCAGCCCCGTGTGTGTCCACACTGGACACGCTGCCAGCCCAGCACCCAGCCTCTTGTGCGGCCGGCGAGTGAGTGTGCAGCAGCTGGCCGCTCTGCCAGATTCCTCTGGCAACAATTCGTACTTTTCTCTTCTCTATTTTCCCTTATTTTTCTCAAACATCCCCTTCTGTTGTTGTCAGGGGCACATTTTTAGAACTTGAGAGCTGTTCACCCAACACCTCCACCAGCGGTATCCACACAGCGGGCGGGCGAGGCGCCTTCTTGGAAGTGCTTCGGGGAGCACTGAGGCCAGCCCATCCCTCCTCAGCCTCGAGCCAGAGGGAGTCCTCTAGGGTTTGGGCTGCATGGGCTTCCGGGACGCCCTCCCAACTGCAAGACCGGGAGTGGACGGAGGGAGCCCTGGGAGCCCGGCTGTGGCCCCAGCGAGGCAGGGGAGGATGGCCAGGCCACACCAGGGACCGCACAGCAAAGGCTCTGTTTCAAAAACAGACGTCACGTTTCCTGCTTGTGGCCTGTGGGGTTGTCACTGATTTTTTGCATTGATATGAAAACCAGCAGTGCTTCTTTTCCATCTGGGCCATGGCTCTTCTGGGGACAGTGCAGGACTCGAAGAGAAGCTAATGGCCTTGCTTGGGTGGGGATGACTAGTTTTTTCTTTTGTGTTGGTCACTTGCTGGCAAGCGGGTTTTCCCACCTCACTGGCTGGTTGTCCAGCAGCGTGAATCCGCTGCCTGAGAAGTGAGTCTCCAAACAATCACAGCGGGACTGACCACGCAGGTTTCCCCATTACTGCGCTATGAAGCTCCCTCGGGCTCCGGTCACTCAGACCTAATGTCGAGGAACGTGGAGCACATTTTTTTCCTCTACCCAAGGAAGCAGATGTGTGGTAGCTGGTAAACATCCTCCACACCGCAGAGTATCTTCTAGGAAAACTGCCTGGTACGGGGAGCTTGGGTTGACGAACGCTCACTTTTCTTGGTTTTTATTCGCTTGGAGGTGAGATCTGATGATTGGCCCTTCTCTCTGGTTATTGCTGAAAAGGACAGAAGGGCGTCCCTGCCGGCCAAGGCGGCTGCTGGTGGCTCAACCTGGAGAGCCTGGATTCTGAGCAGCCGTGGTCACTGGTCTTGTCCACCACGGCTCAGAACTGGGTGAAACTCAGCTCCCCAAACTCATTCTTCCCGAGACTTTAGGGGAAGTGCTTCCTTCCAAGTCAGTGCTTTCTGGAGGGCTGGTGTTCCCGTCTCGGCAAGTTCTGCCTGGCCAGAGGCCTACGGGCTCAGGCATCTGAGGCACAGGGCATTTGGGCCATTTGCCAGGAGGCCGCCAAGAGGTTGCTCCCCGTAAGGAAGGTCAACCTCGTGTGCATTGAATCTTGCATTAACCCTCTTAGAGGCCAGTGTTAAGGGCCAAGTTGACATAGATCCATTTCTTGGATCAGGTGTTTGTTTTTTCAGTTAATTTTTTAGAGCCAAGTCTCACTCTGTCACCCAGGCTGAAGTGCAGTGGCACACTCATAGCTCACTGCAGCCTTGAACTCCTGGGCTCAAGGGATCCACCTGCCTCAGCCTCCTAAGTAGCTGGGACTACAGGCACGTGGCACCACGCCCAGTAAATTTTGTAGAGATGGGATTTCACTGTGTCGTCCAGGTTAGGACAAGGTTTCTTATCACCGGGGCCATGAATGCCTGCTGGGCCAATAGGACACCGTGAGGAGGACCGTGTGTCCCTGCATCCAGCTTGGGGAGTGGGGCCAGCACACACGTGTTACTATCCTGTGGCGTCTCGGTCTTGCTTGGATGTGCCCTTCTGTTCTCCGCCGTTCTGATAACAGTTACCATGATGACGTCTCTTTTAGGCTGCAAGATCTAGAGAGACACCCGGGTGGGAAGAGCGCATGCCTCACGTGAGAAGCCTCAGGCCCTTGGTTCTTGATTTTGTGTGCCTGGTTGATAGATCGAACAATCACATTCCTGCAGTAAAAGAGAGAGAACTTTAAGACCTACCTCAGCCTGCCGAGGCAAGATCACCTGTCTGTTTCCTAGGGCCAGGCCTGATGATGTCTGTCTTTCCAGTGTCCAGAGCTTGTTGAGTTGAACCAATCCAGCAGGTGGTTTGCACTGCGGTGGACCCTGGGGTTGCATGCTTGGTCTCTGGTGTCAGAGAGACCTGAGTTTGAGTCCTGACTCCATCACTTACTTGCTGTGTGACCCCGGGCAAGTTCCCCCCGCCTCCGTTACCTGCTGGGGAAACAGCAGCGCCTACGGCACAGGGTTGTGTGGAGGGTGCAAGAGAAGTGGCCGTGACCATCCTTCTAAATGGGACAGGCTGTATTCCATGGTCATGATGCTCAGCATATGGTATAAGGAGCTAACTGTTTACCATCCCTTTGTTACCAGAAACTTGACTCCCTGTGTGTTTGGGTTCTTGGTGCATAGGTGATTTTATTGCTGCAATAAAGTATTGAAAACCAATTAAGTAAAAGAGGCTGACGGCAGCGGTGCCCGCACGAGACTATTTTACAACTTCGGGCGTTTCCAGTCTCAGGTATTTCCCCAGCTTCCAGGCACATCCTGGGAAAGTCTAGTCTGTGTCTAATTACTGTGGCACAGAATGCACCCTGCCCACATGGGATATGTAAAGTAGGGGTATCCCAGGCGGCCCCTTGGCTACAGGCAGCTGGTTTTCATTACAGGTGAGGCTGAGCAGATGGTGGGCATTCTTGGTGGTCTTTCCAACAGGCTCCAGACCACCTCACAACTCGGAGCTTGGGCCTTTGAACTGAGAATCTCATAGTTTAGGAGCTGTGGGCTGGAACCACATGCTGGCAGCTGCCACCCTCGAGACAGAAGGCCCATCGCCATAGTCATAGCATTCTTTGCTGCTGGCTGGCAGCTTGGAGAGGCGAGGTGGGCACCTCCCAAGGAGGAATGAGTTAGGTGGACCAGCCAGTCCTGGTTTTGACGACTGAGTTCACCAGGGTGAACAGATAGTCATATGGGAGCCCCTTTTTGTCCTTGGCAGGTTTGTGCTTCTTTTGGCCGGGCGCGGTGGCTCATGCCTGTAATCCCAGCACTTTGGGAGGCCGAGGCGGGCGGATCACCTGAGTTCAGAAGTTTGAGACCTGCTTGGCCAACTTGGTGAAACCCCATCTGGAAGGCTGAGGCAGGAGAATCACGTGAGCCCAGGAGGCGGAGGTTGCAGTGAGCCGAGATCGCGCCACTGCACTCCAGCCTGGACAACAGCGTGAGACTCCATCTCAAAACAACAACAACAACAATTTTTAGTCTTTGGCGATGCCCTGAGGCTCATCTCTTCCACAGAGGCTTGGAGGATCGGCCACACGAGTGGGGTATGCAGAGGCACAGGCAGGTGGGGGAGTGAGAACCCCAGGGCGCATCTGACCTTGGCGTGCCGGCAGGAAGAGAACAAGCAGTCCTCCTGGAAGATTCCACCAGAACTGTTTATTGGACAGGGGACTCAGACGATGTGTGTCCCCAGCCACAGTGGTGGCTGAGAGTGTCCCTATCCTGTGCATGAGATCCTGACCACCCGTCCCTGCAGGGACCGTCCCCGTGTTGGGAAGCAGGAGGGTATGTCGCAGAGCCTCACCCAGTGGGAGCCACAATCCTTATTCCTTGCTCCTCAGGCTTGGATGTTGCTCCGGCTTCTATCCCCCACATCCTGTCCTCCCTCCCGGAGCCCAGGGACCACCCATGTGAGGCTGGGCCACTGGGGAAATCTCGCACACGTAGCGCGTCTCACCAGAAATAGAAGCAGAGCCTCACGTCCTTGGCTGCTTCGCTGTGGGAATGCCTTCTAAGGCGCCGTTTTTGGTGATGTCCCTTCACGGATCTTTCAGGCCCAGTGAGTCAGCAGTGTCTGCATTCACACAGGCTGGGTGGGGTTGTTGGATCTGCCCCGGGTGGATGGCACCTGCTCCCTCAGGGCAAAAATTCACCCCAGAACATGAGCTGCACCCGGGGTTAGGTGAAGGTGACGGAGCCTGAACACTCAACACCAGAGGCAGCCAACAGGACGGTGTCTGGGCTTCCAAAAAGCCACCAGTGCCTAAAAACACTTTCAAGCACCTAACATCACTCTTGGTTTTGTTTTTATTTTAAACTCCATTACAAACCGGGAAATAGCTGTCACTTTCCTGTGTTCTGGGCCCGCTGTGCTCCTCCGTTCCGCATAGCGCGGACACTGCAGGGTGCGGGCTGCAGCTTCCCCAGGGGCTCTGAGGAACCCGTTGAAGTGACTGCACGTGCTTGTCTTTCTAGGGTTGCAGATGAGCTTCGTTTTCAGGGGGGTTTGTATTTTGTGTTTTTTCTGAACTTGATGGTGTGGGTCTGGACATCTCTTTCCAACCCTGGAAGATACCACACATGCTCTTCGTTATTAACATGATCACCCAGAAAGCTTTTGGGGGCCTGAGAACATGGCCCAGGCTCTGGGGAGCATCAGACTGCACCTGACTGGCTGGATAAAGACAGGGGTACCTGGAGCCTCCTGCCTCGCCAGCTCTGTGTCCAGCTGTCACCTGAGCTACAAGGGAGATTACCTGGGAGCCTCTCATGTGTCACATCGTGACTCATTCAGATACATGTTTTATTTAAGAAGCAAATCTATTTATCAGGGTGTTCCTGTGGCCATTTCTTCACCAAACCTCCAGCTGACTTTGCAGAGAATGCCAAACTCAGAAGCCGAGGAGTAGCTTAAAACTAGGTTCCCCATGGGGCACATCCAGCCTTCTGGGGAGCCCACTTGGTGTGGGGCACCCCAAACAGCACAGCCCCTGGGTGCTCAGAGGCCTTGGTGAAGCTAGATTTCCCAACACTCGATTTTTTCCCTCCTTACAGAAAAGCAGGGGGAACTTGAGGGATAATTCACATGAAACCTTTGCCATAAACCCTTTTAAATTGTTCACAAGTAAGAGCCCAACTTTGGAAGATTAAGATCCTGGCGTTTTTAGTGTGAGGAGTGGGCTGGCTGAATATGCTGCAGATTGTGAGCTTTTTCCTACCTGGTTGTACCTCACTGGAGGAAAAATAAGGATAATCCCTATAGCTGCTAAGGATGTACACGGTGATGGCACAGCCATCACCGCTTTCTAAGTTTAGAAGGTGTGCTTCATGCTTTAAATTCCCCGGCACTCATTTTGTACCACGCTGCTCTCTCATTCTCTCCTCATGCTGTCTTCCAGTGCCTGGTTCAGGCCAGTCCTTGTCCAAGGTTGAGTTAAATCATTTTCAGCTGGGCCAGGTCTTCAACAGCTTGGTGTGTGTGATGCCACTCCAGGGCTGAGGTCCTGGCTTCAGGAAGAATGTGGGGATCGATTAGTGATGTCTGCCATGAATGCAGAAAGAGAGATAAGGGTTGCGCATTTGCATTGCATGGTGGGAGGAGGAGTGTGCACATGAGCCAGGGAATCTGTTGGGCGTGTCAGGTGATACTTAAAACTCAAGGATTGGGTTCTCCATTCTGGGGGAGCACATACTACCTATACATTACTGAGACTGTAAAATGAAATCGCAGCCTCTGGGAAGCTGGGCAAAGAAGTGGACGCAGCATTGGGAGAGCTTCCCAGAAGCAACACAGAGAGAAAGCCCATTTGCCAAATGAAAAAGCAGATAACAACGTAGAAACAAAGCTGAGATTTCCAATAGCAGTTGCTTTTTTTTTTTTTTTTTTTTTTTAACCTTAAAATAGTGCCACTCTTAGCAACACAGATTTTCTTCCAAATTATGCCTTGAAGCTGCTCCCGGAGCCACCCGCTCATCAGCACCCTGCTCCTGTGGTCCTTCTCGTGAAAGGCAGAGGGGAGATGCCTGTTGCCCGCAGTCTTCTCTGCAGCTGCCGTGGGAACAGGCACCTTCCCGGCTGCTGGGGACACAAGGAGGGGGAGTCACCGTGGCTTGCTCACTTTCCAGATCAGCCAACTGCAGAACATTTGTTGTTGTTTAGATCCCACGTCTGACGGTTTAGAACAGCTTTTATAACATGGTTAAACATGTTTACAAAGCAAGGGAGACATCTCTTACCTTGACAACACGAGGCTCCCACAGACCGCCTTCCCCCACTCAGAGCTCCACAGCCCTGTGTGCTGGGCTGGCCTGTAGACCCACTGAGGCAGCTGTGTTTACAAGTCTAACGCCAAGTGTCTGAGAGGCACTTGCGTACGTCCCAGCATCAGAATCTGGCCCCCAGCTTGGCCCTGTCACGATTTTCAGTTTTATGTTGTAGAAACCCAAGCCTCTGAAATAACACTGTTAGCAGGCCTTAGTTCTGATTCTGTGTCTGGCTTTCTAGAAATCAGGTCTGCTGAGCTCAGCCAGTGGGGATCGGGTCATGCTGGATTGCAGAAAGCGGCCACTTAATTGGGGAGCAGGCCGCATTTAAGAGGAAGCTTTTCTGAGGGTGGTGGGATCGGTGGGATATTAAGTGGGGCTTCCTTGGAGGCAGGCGGGGCCTCAGGTTCGGCTGTGTTGGGTCACTCCCTGTCCCGCCCCGGCCTCTGGAGTTTGTGTGGTTTTGTCTCCTCTTTCTTCCTGGATCATTGTGCATGAGGCTGGGAGCCACACCGGCTGCTTAGGCTCCTCCTGCCTCCCAGGCCACCTGCAGGTCACAGGGGCTGATGAAGCCGTGAATCGCTTGGCTCTGTTTGGAATGCTCGTTCCCCGGTGCCATAAAGAAATAGCACTTGAACATAAATTTAATTTACTTAGTAAGGCCATTTTTACTTTCTGCAGAAAGGGTACACTCTCCAGCAGTTTTCCCACGAGAGTTCACCCAACAAAGGACACAGGGTCATTTATAACCTGACACGTCCACCCTACCGCTGTGTCCAGTTTCCGTTGGCTGGAAAGGGACCTCACATTCTCTATTTGTCCCGATTGGCTAGCAACTTAGAACTTTTTTAAAGAGGCAAAGGTAGAGGGGAACAAAGGAAGGAGGAAGTAACTTGTGGAATGTTGAGAAAGGTAAAAACACCTTCAAATAAGGAAGAGGAACAGGCTATGACCTAATGCTTGCTTGGACCAGTATAAGCATGCTAAGGCAAATATTTAGGCTAAATTGCGGGAGCTAAGAACATAACGTACATTGATTTCCTTATTACGGCTAGCAAATATTTAAGAATGTTAGCACAGATCTTTGAATAAATTTTGCCTCTAAGAGAAGTTAGTATTTATTCCTAATTAGACGGGGAGGAAAGTCTTTGAAGAGGAACCTCTGCTTTACTCTGTACAGCTCGGAGCTGCTTGCAGCACTCTGACACCTTCTGTCGGGATCTTTGGAAGACCTGCCTGGATCTCCCGTCTGTGGAAGGATCCAGGTACTTCTTACAACATCTGTGTTAGGGCAGCTGGTGACGGCACCCGGCAAATTCCAGCAACTGCCCTCATTCCACAGAGGCTCCCTCCTGCAAGGCCACTACTGTGACTCTGAGCAGCGGTTCTTCTCATGAATGTGATAGCTCGGTCAGCTCTAAGACTGCAACCTGCAGGGACTTCATGGGGCAACCCTGGGGTATGTGGCCAGTGTCTGTCCTTGGGCAGCCGTAGCCCCTGTCAGGAACAGGGAGTGACTCAGGCACTGGTGTCTTGAGACTGCTACGGTGTCAGGAAACTTCCATAAAATCTAGTGCGTTTTAAAAAAAGAGGCCAGAGCCGGCCAGGCACGGTGGCTTATTGCCTGTAATCCCAGCATTTTGGGAGACCGAGGCAGGTGGATCACCTGAGGTCAGGGGTTCGAAGCCAGCCTGGCCAACATCGCGAAACCCTGTCTCTGCTAAAAATACAAAATTAGCCAGGCATGGTGGCACATGCCTGTAGTCTCAGCTATTTGGGAGGCTAAGGCAGGAGAATCACTTGAACCTGGGAGGTGGAGGTTGCAGTGAGCGGAGATCGTGCCACTGCATTCCAGCCTGGGCAACAAAAGTGAAACTCTGTCTCCAAAAAAAAAAAAGCCAGAGCCAGCCTTTGCCTCCTATGTCAGAAATGATCATTTGCAGCTGCTTTGCTTTGGGGTAGAAGCCTCAAATCCTGAAACCCTTTACCCTGGGGCAGGTTGTCTTGTGCTGTAAGCAACAGAAACCCATTTAGATCATTTTTAAATAATGAGAATTTCTGTTGGAAGGATGTCGGCTTAGCTCACACAGTGTCTAGGAAGACTGGAAAATGGGTCTCAGAAACACTGCAGGCAGCTTTGTGTGGCAGGATCAATCCAGTTCCTTCTTGGTGACTGCTCAGGGGAACATCCCATTTGCCTTGCATGGTACTGAGCCAGAAGGTCAACTCCAGGCCTGTCTGCCTGTATCCGAGAAAGCAGCAGCTCCCCACAATGAAATGTAGCGTTTTCCAGCTCCGGATCCTTCCGCCATCCTCCCTGAGATCTACCTGCCTTAGGATCTGTGAGATCCACGCACTTTGCTTTTCCTGGGTGTCTGGTTACTGTTCACAAAAGTCCAGCAGTTTGGCCTGGTGTTGTCTTTGTTTTTGACTGAGCATCTCTCATTTCACAAGTATTTATTGCAGCTGCAGCTCTAAGCAATACCAGGCCCAGGGATGGGCGTCAGCACTGCCTTGAGCTGGTGCACAGCACATCCCGGACGGAGGGGCAGGGCCGTCCTGGTGCACACGCAAGCCTGAAACCAGATAGTAATTGATACCAGGGGAGCCGGCAGGGCTTTCTGCTCTACACAGTTAATGTGGGCAAGCTGTCAACAGTAAGGCACTGATGTCATTTCCGTGATGTGTCCAGTTGCAGCTGGAATTGTCCTGAAATGGACAAGGCAGGTTTACTGGCGGGAGACGGTAGAAAGGAAAAATAGCGCATAGAGGGCACCAGGGCCCTGTGACCCTCGTCCGCAAGTGTCTCCTCATACCTCGTGGTTGCGCACCGTGGTACGGGGCCACCCTGAGCGCTGACTCCCGGGCTGTGAAGTGGGAAGAACAGCAGCACTGCAGGACTCTTGTCAGCCTTGTGGTCTGTACGCATGGAAAAGGCCGTCAGCTGTGCATAGCAACTGGAAGCCATGGCTTTTTAGCATAAAGCCCAGTTCTTCGGAAGCCCTCATTACGTACTGCGCCTTGGGCTTTCTCCTCGCAAATTCCCAATCCTGCCCCACTGGGCCTGGGGACCCCACGTCCCTGAAAGGGTCGTGTTCCATCTTAATGTATATGAATCTTACTCTGTGTGTCAGTTACATCCTAATAGGTTAAAAACTTGCTCAAATGGTCAGAAGCCTGAAAGAGGCGTCAGGAATCCTGTGTGAGGTAAGATGGGGGATCTGTTTGCACCTTCATCTCTCCATATGAGATCTTCCATATGAGCTCTTCCAGAAACCTCTGCCCCAGGCTCCAGCAAGCCTGTAGGGCAGCGGCTGCTAGGCAAGGGCTTGAATTTCAGTCCAGATTCTCTGGTGTGTGGGTGGACAGTTTCCTTCTGGGACTGAAGGAGCACTTGGAAGATGGTGCTTTCCCTTCTAGAGCAAACCTTGGCATTGTCCCAGCTAAGCTCTCATGCCCAGGGCTTGGGGGTCTCCTGTGGCCTCCATATCCCTGCACCTCATGCAGGGCACGCAAGCATCCCACCCACTCCCAACCCCCCACCTCCAGCCGTCGTGCCCGGCATCTTTTCCCAGCATGAGAACCCGTTGGCTTTTCTCTTTTCCCGCCTTGCCATGAAGGACCTGCTGCCAGGATTCGAGCCTCAGACCTTGGACAGGTCTCGGGCCAGCCTCAGCCACGTTCTGCGTGCCCGGCCATCAGGGAGGGTAGAGGGTGGGTTTCACCAAGGAGAAAGGCAACCCGTGTCGGGGAGGGAGCCGATCGCTAGGCAACCTGGAGTTTGTTACCCTGGTAACGGATCCATGCACTGATGATGCTGCGGATGGACATCTTGTGACAATGGCCTCTCAGGCTCCCCAGACGCATCAGCGGCTCTGGATTCCCACCTTGCGCCCAGCGTGGTTTTCCTGTGTGGCTACCATTTAACGAACAGCTTGGATTTCTTATAATCAGGCACTCTCTCCGATAACCATCCTGCCAGCACCCCTGAAAGTGAAGTTGGGGTGTTCCTCACTGTGTGTGGGCGACCGCCTGGGGCATGAGACCAGGACTTCCAGGCCCCACAGGGTTGTGCGCTCAGACCTCAAGTAGGGGCCAGAAGAGTGTACTGAAACAGAAGGAATCTTGTGGAATTTGGCAGTTGTACCATTTTCTTAGCAGAAAACAGGAGCCCAGGTGGGAGCCATGTGTGTCGGGTTCCTCGTCAGGTGACGGTGCTGTTGCGGATCTCGCGGATGAGCTGAGGGGGTATCCAGCTTTGTGCTGCACGCTTCCTGTCCACTCATACAGGTCGTGGGCTGGTGAGGACACGGGGGTGTTGGCCCTCGTCCCTGCCTTATTTTCCCCCTCCCCTGCCCTGTTTTCCTGGTGCAGAAGGATGTTGGAGTGCGGATCCATGCGGACACCCTGTTTGGGGACCTGGGTGTCGGGGCAGCAGCAGGAGTGACTGGGTGCACGTGTGCCTTTGGTGTCTGAGCGTCAGGTGCAGCTGCCGCTCAGGGCTGAGAGGGGCCATGATTTCTCCCAGCCGGGGGTGGCAGGAGAACTGCACTTAGCTTGGGGGCCATGCGGGGCTGGCTGTGGACCTGGCTACCCCAGCCCATTCTTCTGAGGCTGGGACAAAAGCCTTTTTTGTACTTTGTGCTCAAAGAGACAATTATCCCAAGTCCCACTGGCCGAGCACGGCCTTCCATGCAGGGCTGGTGCAGGTGCTCTGGGCCGTCCCTCCCCAGCACCGTGTATAGTCTTAACAGGATGCAGTCACGGCCCCAGTGGAGGGGGATTTCCTTCCTCGTCTCCGAGCGTGTGGCTAACGGAATATGAGCCTTGGTGGTCCAGCAGGAGCCCCCCCGTGGCTGGGGTCCCAGTCATCGTCCCCACCAAGTGGCCAGCTTGGGGACTACTAAGAGCCCTTGAGGAGGTTAGGGATGGAAGGCGAGGCCACACAGATGAAGTTGGCCTTTGTGGAAGGCTCCTGCTTTTGCCTGTGGGACCCTGAGCCTGCTGCCTTGTGCTCAAAGGCCAGTGATCCCGGGAATGTCACACCTTCCTGGTTGGGTTACCCATGGTGGGTCACCAGGCTGGGCTCAGCCTGGAGCAATGGCCTGGACCGTCCAGCCTCAGAGGGAGGGAGGGGATGGGGATGTAAGGCCGCCGTCAGGGTTGATCTGGATATCTGAAAAGTTGATGAGCCCCAAAGTTTTAATCTGAGGCTAAAGAGTTCTAATTTGACAAGAGACATTGCCCCTTCCTGGCATCTCGGCGGATTGCACCTCTGGAACTCAGGTAGTTGTTCTCTTGTGTCCAGGGTGTGGGTCTTGAAGATGTGAGGTTTGGGCAGATGGTCAGGAGGACCTACGAAATCCAAGGATGGATTTGAAGGGGGCAGTTTTTGTTGGAGAAAATGCTGCTTCTCTGTCTCTGAGGTCTTCGGAGCCTGCTGGGTTTGCTGCACAGAATAAAGAGAGAAAAGAGGCCCTGAGGCTCTCGCTGCATCCTGGGCGGGCCCCGCAGGGTGTCTGCCCTGTATGTGCACGGGGCGCAAGCATGCGCGTCTGTAGTGTGGCAGGTAAGGCCTTCCACCACCCTGCTGAACGTCTAGATGCAGCCGCGCTGGTCCAGATGAAGTTGCTAGAGAATTTGTACTTGGACTTGTGGGAAGGACCACTGGGGCCCTTCCTGGGGTCACCCCTGCCCCTCTGTCCTCACAGCTGTCCCTTCACCTTGTTGGCAGCACCAGGAAATCTGTCAGGATTAATATGATGGCTCTGGCCTGTCTAGAGAGCTGCTTGCTGTGTGGTCCTTTGAGAAGTTTGCTCTCCTGAGCCCCTAGAGGCCTCCTGCCCTCAGGCATACCTTCCCTGCCCCAGACCCGCCATTTCTCCTCACCCAGCGCAGGTGAGAGGGGCTGGAGGAGCCTGCCCAGGCCGCCTGTTTGTGCAGGGCCTGTCCAGGAAGTTCCTTTGGACGCACACGCCTTATCCCCTGTCATAGTGTGTGAGGGGCAGCTGGTGCCGGTGCAGGCAGGGAGGCACGCGGTGCAGGGACCCGTCCTGTGCTGGACTAGCCTGTGCTGGCCTCGGGGCCCCATGGTCCTGAGGCTCTCGGGACTATGGTCTGCTGGCAGGGAAGCAGCCGTGTGCGTCTCCAGCCAGAGCCGCAAGTGGATGGGAAGTGGCTCCTCTTCGTGTCAGTGGCTCCCTGGAAGGTGATGCAGGTGGAGGCGGTGCCCTCGCTGCTCCGCCACCCTCGCTTGCCCAAGCCCTGCCCTGAGTGATGAGTGGGGAGCTGCCCCTCCACGCACCCTGTGGCCCCAGCCACCCACCCACTGTGCTCACCCCTTCCCTCCTGGCAGGTATCCGCCCCCAGATCATGAACGGCCCCCTGCACCCCCGCCCCCTGGTGGCGCTGCTGGACGGCCGCGACTGCACTGTGGAGATGCCCATCCTGAAGGACCTGGCCACTGTGGCCTTCTGTGACGCGCAGTCGACGCAGGAAATCCACGAGAAGGTGGGCCCACCCTGCCCGGCCGGGGCCTGCACTGACCTTGGGCAGTTTCCTCCCCAGCATCCCCCCATTAGATCGCCCCAAGTCACCGGCAGGCCCCAGAACCCCTGTTCCCTGCTTTCCTGCTGAACTCCTCTGCCTCAGGTTCAAGGGTGATAGGGCCAGGGGGCCAGGCCAAGTGGTGCCGGTGGGCTGCACGGGGTGGGGCTCCGACCCTGTGCTCTGTTCCCACGCAGGTTCTAAACGAAGCCGTGGGCGCCATGATGTACCACACCATCACCCTCACCAGGGAGGACCTGGAGAAGTTCAAGGCCCTGAGAGTGATCGTGCGGATAGGCAGTGGCTATGACAACGTGGACATCAAGGCTGCCGGCGAGCTCGGTGAGTGCGAGGCAGCGCTGGCTGCCTGGAGTTGTCCGGAGCTCTGTGGGCCCTGCTCGGGTGGGCTTGGAGAAGCAGCTGGAACTGGGACCACGGAGCAGCCGCTTCTGGCTGTAGCAAGGTGGCTGCCTCCAGGCCGGGCTGTGGAGCACCTTGCGGCCCTGCCTTCACATGACACAGGTAGGATAGTCCCTGCTGGCCCTTGTGTGGGGTCTGCGGGGCTGTGAGGCATCTCTGCCCTCAGAGCAACACCCAGCTGGCACAGGCTCAATTTGGAGACACCCAGTGCCGCCTCCAGAGGGGAGAATGCGACTGGCCACATGTCCTCTAAACCACCCCTGCTGGGTGCGTCCCCTAAATGACCCCTGCCGTGTGTGTCCCCTAAACTGCCCCTGCCGTGTGCACAGCTCTAGGCCCCTGTCCACATGGGAACCTGGGCCTCCCGTTCTGGGAGGGCAGCCTTAGCAGCATGTGGTCCAGGTCAGCACCAAAGCAGGTGGGCCCCTGCCCAACACAGTTGATGACAGAGGCTTCCGAAGAAAAGCAGAGGCAGCAGGCGGGAACCCAGAGTTGGGGGCTTCAAAGCTGCTTATCGGCCCCATGCACTTGCGGCTGGGGGTGCATGTTGAGGGGGGCCTCTGCCCAGCACCCCGTGTGAGCTCGTGAGTGCTGAGTGCAGAGGCACAAGAAGCAGACCGCTGGCATCGAGCGTCCTCGGGAGAGGGCCAGGTGGGCACTGTGCTTGCTCTGTGTTTGGAACACGCCACCCCTGCATTTTGGGGGTGGGGGCTGTACTCTGCCTTACGAGTGCTGAGGTGCCCCAAATTCATGAGGCACCATGAATTCCAAGGCAGCAGCCTGGCCTTGGAACAGCTCTTCCTGTGCTCCAGGAATAGCCCAGGCGCTATTTCCCCACCTCTCTCCCATCGGCTAAGGCCCCAGTGGGCCCCGGTGCTTCCGGGACGGGCTGGGTGTCAGATGGGCTCTGTGTGTGAGCGGAGTGTTACATACATCTGAGAATCCTGCTCTCGGGCACCACCGGCCACGTTTTCAGGGAGGCCACCCCCATGGGCTCCAGCTGTCTCTCCACAGCCTTAGCCTGGGGCATGGAGTGTATGGGTCAGAATCTTAGTTGAATCCTTCACGGCCAGTCGGGGCAGCACCCAGGTACCGGAAGCACTGGGTGGGTCTTGGTGTCAGGAGCAGGGCTGGGGAGCCGGGCGAGCAGGGAGCTGCCCGTACACTCACAGGGGTCAGGACGCAGTGGGGTGGGGCTGCCCCACGGGCAAATCCCAAAGCAAAAGGCCAGGGAAGGAGAGAGAGTCACTCAGATTCCACACCCCTTAGGGTCCTGGAAGCAGCAGCTTCACACATCCACCCCTCACCCTCCCCACACCCCTCACTTGCTACCAGCCACGGCGTCCTTCCGAGCCCCTCTGTTGGAACAAAGACACTCCAGAAGATGTGAGTCTTCAAAGGCGTGTTTAATATAAACTAAAATTTTCCATCTTTCCCTGGCACAAACAAGGATATTTTTGTTTGAAAACAAATGTCCTTTGTGCTCTGGGTAGAGCTGAAATCCCAAGTTTCAACAGCAGAGGAGAATACAGCTTCATGTGCCAGGGGCTCTCAAATCCTTGTCCCCCGCACCTCTTGCTTCTCCAGCACGTCGGCCCCTCACCACACAGCTCCCAGGCCCATACGGGTGCTGACCCTGCCCTTCCTCGGCTGGACCAGACGCTGCTTTCCAGGGAGAGAGGGGAGGTCCTTGCCTGTGGAACTTCCTATTTCTCCATTTCTAGAAGTGCCCCGCACAGGCAGTGGGGCCAGAAAGGCACCAAGGCCTCAATGACAGGGGGCCTGGGAGGGCCGAGATGGGAGGTTGTGTTCCCTGAGTTCTGAGACCCACAGAAGACGACCAGGACCAGGGACTGCGGTTTTGGAAAATGTAGAAGGGCTGTGAGTGGTGGATTTTCATTGATCCTGGTCCCATCTGATAAGGGCGCTTGGAAGACATCTGCGGGGCCCTTTTAAAGGGCACTTTTCGAATGTAGACTCTGGAGGCGGAAAATGAGCCTCTGTCCAGACGTCCTTTGTCTCCGAATGCATATTCCCCACATCATGCGGTCAACGGGCCTTTTGTGCTGAGGGCTGGGAGCGGCAGGTGGCTGCAGGCAGGCCCTCTCCTGATGAAAGAGGGTCCCTCGCAGGCCCAGAAAACAAGGCCCTCCATGTTGCACGAGGCAGCACACTAGGCCTCTGGTGACACCTTCTGGGATCGCAAGGCTCTGAGCTGTCAGCCCTGGAATGACAGGCGAGAGTCAGCGCTTCACGGCAAGAGCAGGGCAAGGCTTGAGGAAGCTGCTCACCTGCACTTCTCCCCACGAGCCGGGAAGACCTCGAGAGGGCCCTACACCCCTCCCCACCCCCGCCGCCTCTAGCAAGCTGGTTTATGTGGTTTCCTTGCCAGCGGCAGTCATGAAGGGATTAAAGCACGATGGCACTGACCGTGAGAGAAAAGCAGCTTGCCTCTTTGGGGCCGTTTTCCAGGCTCCGTGGATGCTGGGAGGCCCAGCCTGCGAGTATCAGAGCCACCCATCGTGTGGCACTTGAAGGATCAGCTTGACTCATCCAGAAGGGAGGCTGCATCCACAGAGCGATAGAGGACAGCTAAGAAGATGCTCCCTCCGAGAGAGCGGTGAGGGTTATGGAGGTTCCTGGCAGTGGCGCCGCCGCGGTCTGGGTGGGAAGGTTCTGCCATCCCAGGCA
Source organism: Homo sapiens (assembly GCF_000001405.40). Lineage (NCBI taxonomy): Eukaryota > Metazoa > Chordata > Mammalia > Primates > Hominidae > Homo > Homo sapiens. The sequence continues at coordinate 125,000,190 of NC_000010.11, read as the reverse complement.
GTGGCTGCAGCTCTTCCTCCTGCACCATCTCCCCGTCCTGGGACTCTGCACTCCGGTGAGCAGTGGAACCACGGAGCTGAATGTCCAAGTTCGGTGAGAAGACTGACCAGATGTCCTGCCTCAACCTGCCTTTTTGTGCCACCCACCCACCCGGGTGCCTTTACACACGTGGCCTTGTGGGGTCTCCCAGCCAGCATCAGCTCATCTCCTAGGAGGAGGTGCTGCTGTTGACGCCAGGCAGCACTGCCGAGCCAGCCCCGGCAGCAGCACGGAGCCAGCGTCCTTGAGGGTGATTCTGCTGCGGGGCCTCCCTGCTGGGCTTTAGCCTGCCCGAGGAATGAAAATTGTCCCAGCCGCCAAAGATTTTCTTGAACCTCTGGCATCAGCCTCAGTCTGTCTGACTTAATAATAACATGGCATGTGATCAAGCCCCAGCTTCTCTGCTGAGCTATTTCAAATGAATGAGGCCAGTTTCCTGCAAGATTCCTGGCATCCAGCTCGTGGGAAAGTTGGTCGGCCTCAGTCACCGTCAACCACACTGGTCCCTTGGCAGGGGTCGGTGGCCCAGAGGAGCCCTCAGTGGCCACGTTGGGTGGGTGGGTGACCTGCTCACAGTGGCTTCACCTTCTCTGAGCTGTGTGTCTTGCTAAGCGGGTCACTCTCAAGGCCCTAGACCTAGGGGTGGCCCTTGTGGGGAGACAGCCACGCAGCCATCTAGAAAGTGGGTTTGTGGCACCCACTGGTCTTGTTTCCTGTCCAGTAGAGCCGAAGAAGCTGCCTTGGTGATTGCCGTCCCCACCCCAATCTGTCCCCACCCCAATCTTCAGGACTTAAGATAGAGGAATCCTGGGCTGCCTTAAAGGTGGCCCTGTCCCAGTGCCTTGGGCACCCCTTGCTGGGAGAGACACTCTCCTAAGGGTCCCAAAGCTGGGATTAGGAGGGAACCATTTCACTTGGGCTGACGTGATGCCCAGATAGCCACACCCCTCCTCAGAGAGCTCAACTGGGAGCCACAGGCTGGCTGCTGAGCCCACCCTCTGGGGCCCCGCCCCTGGCTCGGCCCCTCTGGTCTCTGCTGCAAGCAGGCCTCTGGATCTCCACCTGTCGGGTGTAGGGAGGGGCCGTTCCCAGCCTGGCCCTCTGCCTACTTGCACCCCTGTTGTATCTGGCAGTCATTCATTCTTCCCCAGACACCCTCTGGCTGAGGAGGGTAAATGGCAGGGCCCTTTCTGCCTATGACTTGGGTTAACTCTCCATGCCACAGCTGCTTTGTGCTGGGAGATACTTGACCCTGGTCTCTGCAGCTCGTGTGGGGCCAGAGGGCTCACCCCAAGCCACCCTCGGCCCTGACCTGAAGGCTGCTCCACGGGGCAGGGAGGGCATCCTGTCTGCTCTGAGTTCTTCCCAGCAGAGCAGGGTGCTGAGCACATGACCACAGGGCGATTGTGCACACGCTTCGGCCATCGGTTCCGTTCCCGGGGCCAGCCCTTGCATCCGTGTGGGGGTGGAGGTGTTTTTTTAAAACCAGTATGTTTAAAACGTATGTTTTTTGCATCAAACTGTTAGCATAGCTTAAAACCAAAAGCCATTCTTTGTCACCCTGCCAGCTCCATGAGGGAGACCCTGAGGGGTTTGAGGCTGAGTGGGGTCCACTTGGAGGAGTCTGGTCTGAGGCCCACTGGCTTCCTGCCACTCCGGGTCCTTTCTTGGGACTCAGTGCAAGCCCAGGAGGAAGCCAGTCAGGCCCAAAATCAGCCATAGGAGTTGGGTTGGTCATGAGCCACGTCCTGGAGCAAAAGTCCTCCTTGGGAGGGAGGGGTAGATGTTGGGGCTAGAGCTTCCCATGCATCAGAGCCAGAGGGCCTACCGCCCACGTGCCCAGCCCCGCGTCTGCTAGACGATAAGGTGGGCCTCCCCCGGTGCCAACAACCGAGTCTCAGGAGGGCGGGCTGGGAGCCCTGGGGCTTCCCCACTGATCTTGAGGTTTTCTCATCTCCGGCCTTGGCCTCATCCCTTTCAGGAATTGCCGTGTGCAACATCCCGTCTGCAGCCGTGGAAGAGACAGCGGACTCTACCATCTGCCACATCCTCAACCTGTACCGGAGGAACACGTGGCTGTACCAGGCACTGCGGGAAGGCACGCGGGTTCAGAGCGTGGAGCAGATCCGCGAGGTGGCCTCGGGAGCGGCCCGCATCCGTGGGGAGACGCTGGGCCTCATTGGCTTTGGTACGTGCCACCCTCTGCGCTGACCCCCAACCCCTCCGACACTGGGGCTGGTGTAGTGGGGACCCCTCGGGAAAGGCAACCCCAGCCTGCTCTTGAGGAGCCAGGGCAGGCAGGGCCAGCACCCTCCCCGTGTTGCACGGGGTAGGAGATCGGAGTCAAGACCCATCAGGCAACTCACCCTAGAGGCAGGATCTGGGCTGGTTCTGGAAGAATGCGTGTCCACTGCTGTCTGTAGTGTCTGGCAGGACAGCATTCTTTGCTGTGGGGCAGCGGGCAAGGCGCTGTGCCCAGTAAATTTCCCTGGGCAGGGGTGAAGGGCAGGGGCTGTATGGAGGTGTGTCGTAAAGCAGCAGCCAGGCTTGGGGCTCGTGTAGGGGCTGGCGTAGGGTTCAGTGGAGACGCGGGTTATGGACATGGCCTCACTCCTGAAGGCCTTCAAATGCCAGGTTGGGGTGGCACAGTCAGGCCATCAGCTTGGAAAGCTCTCCTGAGAGAGGGGCAGGAAAAGGAGACGTGAGGAGAGGCCCAGGAGGGTCTTCAGCAGGGTGGTAGGGGCCGGTGCCACGGAGAAGGTGATGGTAAGCAGCCTGATTCCATGGGGGCTCGAGGAGGTCCCCACCCTGCTCACCATCAGGGTCCACACCACACCCAGGAGACCTCGGCCCATTGCCACTGAATCTCAACCCCACCGCTTACCAGCTCTGTGGCCTTGTGGGAATTACCTGAGCTTTTTGCCTCAATTTCCCAATCTGTAAGTAGATATTTGGTGGGATACGTGGTATCTGCCTTTTGGGACTCCAAGAAGGCGCATGTGCACACGGGGCCAGTAATGTTCTGGCCTCCGGGAGACTCCCAGCTGCTGCTCAGCCCTTGCTTGGAGCTCCGCGCCTCCGAGGACGAAGCCCCCGTGCTCCTCTCCCCACAAGCCCCGCTCTGGACCTGGGGTGCCACTTGAACAAGAGAGAAGTTGCTGGACGCTTCCAGGAGTGCACACCTTTCTGTCCCCGCTACAGGCTGTGATCTCCTGGGTCTGGCCTCGCCCGACGCCTGGAGTCTGAGTTGAAGTGTCGGGTGCTGGGGATCTTCTGAAAGGACCCACCGTGTTTTGACTTTGTTGGAAAACAGATGTGGTGTGTGAACACCAGGCTCCCTCTGTCCGGGCCCCACTGGGCCTCATGGCTCGGAGATGCAGCTTCATCTCCATCTCTGAAGCCCCTCCTGGGGCCTCGGTGGTCTCTGGCCAGGCTGCAGAGCCTGGGGGTGGTCATGAGCACCCTGGGTACACGGTGGGGCCTCACTGGGGAGGTGCTTGTTTCAGGGGCTTCTGACTCCAGCCGTCACGGGACTTCTTCCTGGGGTCGTTCCTGTAGCTGTGCCCTTGTCATTCAACTTTAAAAACCCTCTCGGTGTATAGAGGTCAGTGCAGCCCCCTGCCGCCGCCCTGTTTTCTCGAGACTGTACACTAACCCCTGCCGCCACCACCCTGGATCCTCAGCACAGGGACTGTCGTGCTCTCCTTGTTCCCTTTCCAGGTGTCTCTGTAGCCTTCAGGACTGTCGCTGCTGCAGCCATCCTGGGCTAAGAGCTTTTGCTGGCCTCGGGTTCTACTGAGCAAGAGTCCCCCAGGCCCAGCGGGCTCAGTGCAGCAGGCGGGGTGGGACGGTGCCGCCAAGAGAGGGCAGCCTGGGGCTGGGGGCATGGACAGAAACTGAAGGAAAGGCAGCCTGTGGGAGCTGCGCTTTTAAAATAAGCGGCATGGGGGGCCGGGGGGGGCGCTGTGACGGGGGAGCAGGTCTCTTCTGTAGGGACTGGGTTTTGATTAAGTCAGTAGCAGGATTAAGTCATTGGGTCATCAGAAAATCTCATGGATAAAGTTCAAGGGGTTTGTGAACTTTAAAAAAAAAAAAAAAAAAAACAAAGAAATAGCCGTCGGCACGGTTCAAATCTGGGCTTGGTGCTCTGGGCTGCTTTTCCACAGGCCCTCCAGGCCCTGGATCTGCAGAGTGTGAGCCCCACTGATTGAAGCATGTTCGTGCACAGACGCCATGAGGGGGATGGAGGCTGCAGGAACGGGGGAAGGCAGGCGGGGGTCCTGTGAAGTGTGAGCTCCCAGCAGTTGCATGCTGGGGTCCTCAGTTTCATGTTGCCAGTGCGTCAGAGAGCCATCTCTCACTCCGTCCCTGCCACCGTCCAGTCCTGCCTGCTGTAAAGGGTGACACTGAGGAGGAGAGGCGTGATGGTTCGTGCCTTGCTATACTAGTTGTCCTGCAGCTGTCCCTGATCAGACTGGCCTTATTCAACCTTTGTTCTAAACTACGGCAGTTGTCCTAGCCAGGCCATCGGTTAGATGGAGCTGCTGCAGGAGGAGCCATCCAGCATTGAGGTACCCCTGGAACACAGGCTGCCTGCTCGGAAATGCGCATCTTTGTCCTTCTCCTGCCTGCACCTTGGAGCCATGGCTTTAAAGATTCCTTCTGTGATCTCCAAGAGAACCAGTCGAGCATCAACACTAACCATTTTGTTTTCAAAATGCTGAAAACTGCTCTGGGAAGCTGGAGGTGCTATCGAGGGGGACCCCATGGGTTTATGAAATGACAGCCGTTGGGGAGTGGGAGACACCTCCTCATCCTGTGACATAGCTGGCGGGAGGCCCAGGCTGCATAATGCAGATGGGCGCGAGGCCCCACCAGTGGGACAGGTCCAGGTCTGATGGTCATGTGCCCTGCCTCCCGCCCAGAACACAGTAGCATGTGGCCAGTCTGCACTCGGGCCAGCCTGCAGGGAGCCATTGTGCTCATGTCACCCTTTGCAGGAGCGAGCCCAGCAATGAGGAGGCAGGACATTACTCCCTGTGACATTGAGAGCAAGTTTTTCAAACACAAAGCTCATGTTAAGAAGCCTGCAGTGCACACAAGAAGTGGGGAGAGGGGTGGGAACGGAGGACACGGGTGGTGATGGGAGGGGCATGTGGGCTTGTCAGAACACTCTGTGTTTGAAAATGTCAATAACAAGGAAGGGTTTTGTTTTGTTTTTAACAAAAATCCTGCTGTACCCAATATAAGCAGCAAGCACTGCGGTCCTCACCTGTCCTACACCGGCCATGGTGGCCCCTCGCGGGCAGTGCTCGCCTCAGGCCTCACTAAGCTTTGGGCACACGGTTTCTCTGGCAGCAGCTACCAGCGGGGATGCCAAGCCCGGACTCAGCTCAGAAGCAATGGAGGTGGCAGCGCTGGGGCGCGGGCTGTGGACTCACTCACCTGGACGCTCTGTTTCTGTACAGGTCGCACGGGGCAGGCGGTTGCAGTTCGAGCCAAGGCCTTTGGATTCAGCGTCATATTTTATGACCCCTACTTGCAGGATGGGATCGAGCGGTCCCTGGGCGTGCAGAGGGTCTACACCCTGCAGGATTTGCTGTATCAGAGCGACTGCGTCTCCTTGCACTGCAATCTCAACGAACATAACCACCACCTCATCAATGACTTTACCATAAAGCAGGTAATTTGAAAATAGATGCCATGGAAGCTTCTGTCGAAAGGTGGTAGCACTTGCTTGTGGGCACAAGAGGGACACGGAGGGCAACGGAGGTGGTTTCTGGATACACTGTTGAGCAGGGAAGAGGCCCTGCAACAAACCAGTGACAAGCCACGTGAAGCCCCTTCCTCGGGCTGAGCCAGGCTAAGCAGAGAAGGACAGGCGCTAGCCAGGACCCAGCTTCAGAAGCTTCCCAGAACCTTTAAAGAGGCCAGCAGCTCGGCACAGTCCAGCCTTTCCACCGTGTTGCTTCCTCTCAGGATCAGCAGCAACGGCCCTGGCTTCCAGCCGTCACCAACACTTCCCACTCCCTTCCCTCAAACTGCAGCACACACATTAAACCACCAGACCAACAAAACTAGCTTGCAGCTTTCTTCTTTAAACCTTGGTACAAGAGTCTTCCACCATGCCAGTGTGCCTGTAACCGGCTTTTCTTTCCTTCCACAGATGAGGCAGGGAGCATTCCTTGTGAACGCAGCCCGTGGCGGCCTGGTGGACGAGAAAGCCTTAGCACAAGCCCTCAAGGAGGGCAGGATACGAGGGGCAGCCCTCGACGTGCATGAGTCAGAGCCCTTCAGGTGCGTGTTGCCCCAGCCGCCTACCAGGAGCCCACAGGGCCCAGCTCCACACCTGACCCCCACACTTTGAACTCGAGGCCCTTTTCCCAAACAGGTCCCTGGGCAGGAAACTCCAGAGATGACATTTACAGTCTCTGTTCTTCTAAGGATTGTGCTGTATTCTAATTGTAAAAGGGCTGGAAGTTTCCCAGAGGTCATCAGGGAAAGGAGAGGCAGAAAATTGGTGGGGGTGTGGCAGTGGTTCTGGTCTTCAGACAGACAGGCATCATCTCTGCCCTGGATTACAGCAGGACAAGCCTTCAATAGAATTGGGCTTTTTGATCTACCAATTATACGGTTCTTACACAACTTTGATAATTACATTCAAAAATTCCCAGCCTTCATAAAATATCATCACAGATGTTCCTGTATCCATGCTATCTATGTAGCTACTTTTCTACATGGCCAAGAGCTCCCTTGTGCTGAGGAGGGCAGGGAGCGTATGCGACATTTCCCGCTTACTCTGTTTTTTCTACATTTTTCTAGCTTTGCTCAGGGTCCGTTGAAAGATGCCCCGAATCTCATCTGCACTCCTCACACTGCCTGGTACAGTGAGCAGGCGTCACTGGAGATGAGGGAGGCAGCTGCCACCGAGATCCGCCGAGCCATCACAGGTGAGCCCCTCCGTGCCTCTGGCCTGCCAAGGGCAGCCTCAGCTCCACAGTGCAGCCGGCTCCTGTCCTGCTGGCTACAGGCAGCTCTCGACAGGTAGAATTCACTTTTAGCATCAAATTTATATGAGTTGGGCCCTGTTTATTTACGTAAGCCCTGAACTAAACTTCACAGAGGGAACCATTCCCTTTAGTCCCAGACATTATAAACTCGGGGGTCGGGGGGCACACAGAGGCTGAAGGTCAGTGTTGAAGAGCTCAAGCACTTGGGCCTTTGGATGTTCTACATTTTTACAAATGCTTATTTCCCCACATAAGCAGCTACAGGTGTAATGTTGAACTTACTGTGATTTGTAAAAATAATATGATTAATTTTAATCATCTTACCCTAGGTCGCATCCCAGAAAGCTTAAGAAATTGTGTGAACAAGGAATTCTTTGTCACATCAGCGCCTTGGTCAGTAATAGACCAGCAAGCAATTCATCCTGAGCTCAATGGTGCCACATACAGGTGAGAAAAGGAACTGACTTTGTCTCAGCTTGTGAGCACCACGGCCCCGGGGCCAGGGAGAGAAGCCCAAACTTGGCGGAAGCTTAACCTCCCGCAGATGCTAAGTCAGGGTCAGAACAATCAGCCTTCTCAGCAGGAACTGTGTACACCGCCCCCATTTCTTCCAATGCCTAATTTCATGGAACAAACAGAAGCTCCTATTTTAAAAGGGGGTGTGTTCGGTCAGATGTGATTGACCACAGGTGCTAGGAACTGCCTTTCATTCTAAAGCCATCTTAAAACCAGAAGGCTTCCCAGTCACGTGTGGTGGCGCACACCTGCAGTCTCAGCTGCTAGGGAGGCTGAGGTGGGAGAGGTGCTTGAAGCTGGGAGGTGGAGATTGCAGTGAGCCGAGATCACCCACTGCACTCCAGCCTAGGCCACAGAGTGAGACAATGCTGCTACCCCCCGACCCCACCCCACCACCAAAAAAAAAAAAAAAAAAAGGGCTTCTCAAAGAGAAAGGTATACGTAGATAAGATGTTCAAGTGCAAAGGCCTGTGAGCAAGTTCATTTTCCAATTTGAATCTTATGTCCACAGAAGGCATTCTGGTACAGTCAACTCAGGATAGTACAATCAACTCAGGATGATGACCTTGTCCACACACTAAAAATGATACCTGTAGTTTGGGTCAGCTGAGAAACTGGAGCCATGTTTGGGAACGCAGAGTGGGGGAAAGACAGGAGCCCTCACAGGGAGAAGGGGTTCCTTTTGTGGTATTTTCCATGCACGAATCGGTTTTCTCCCACACCCCCCCCCCCATTATTGCTGGCTTCCCAGGAAAATCAGTAGCCCCCTCATGCATAAATGAATGAAGTTGCAGCCTTGAATCTTAAGAAAAATTTTTGCATATTCTAAACCAGGGTTTCTAGCTCTTGGCAATAAGTATATTTGGGGCCAGATCATTCTCTTCATTCTCTCGTAGGAGGCCTGGCCTGTCCTGTGCATTGTAGGACGTTCAGCGGCATCCCTGGCCTCTACCCACGGGATGCCAGTAGCACCTCCCACTCCCACTCATGATGATTGAGAATGTCTCCAGCCACATGTCCCCTGCTGTAGCCACAGTGACGACCAGGGTGCATTCAGTTTGTGTAATGAAGGCTCTGACACTCTTGAAGAAGCTATGCCGGTGCTTGCAGGTCACATGGCTGTCTTCACATTTCATCCAGCCCCGTCCTTTTGGCCCTCAAAAGTATTTTGAGCCTATCACAGCACCAGATTCCCCTGTTGGGTGGAGCTGGGGGCCCACCTCTTCCATGTCTCCATTGTTATTTATCCTTCACGTAAGCTGGGGCTCTTAGGCCCCCTAGAACAGTATGTGTGCACTGAGGAAGGGACCCTAATGACCAGAGTCCTTCTGAAGGTCTTGGTGACAGGATGGCAGGCCAGGAGCTGGGGGTGGGGTGGCTACCATAGTGAGATGCCTCCTCCTCTACCTGGATGGATGATAAGTCTGTGTGAATACACTGAGTCCCACTTTGCCCGAGGACCCTGTGTTCTGTGGTTGGCGAATGCAGTGTGTCCTCACACAGCACTTCGTGCTTGCAATATAAAACCAGCCCGAGCCTGGGCGTTCCGAGGAAGGCGGGCCCCCAGCCAACAGCCAGCAAGCATACCACTTCCCATCTCAGGCCATGGGAGTATATAGCCAACCAGCCTAGAAAGCTTAGTGAGTTCTGGCTGCCATAATTGAGTAGCATAGACTGGGTGGCTTGTAAAGAAATGCCTTGCTCGCAGTTCTGGAGGCTGGAAGTCTGAGATGAGGCTGCCAGCATGGTCAGGTTCTGGTGACGGCCAGGCAGCAGACCGTCAGCTTCTTCCCACATCCTCATATGGCAGAGAGAGGGCCAGAGCACTGACTAGACTCCCTTGTGTAAAGGCACTGATCCCATTCATGACCCAGTCATTTCCTCACCCAGTCACTTCCCAAGGGCTCTACCTCTTAAGGTCATCACCTTTAAGGTGTGGGATTTGAACTGGAATTAGGGGGATGGAGGGAGACAAACATTGAGTCCCTAAGGGTCCATTGTACTCTGTTGGGAAATCATTTTATCAGTCAGAAGTAACTGGTGAACAGTTGGGAGTCCATTTTGTACAAAGTGGGTTTTTTTAAATAGTATAATGTATCCACATTCATAAATAGTATGGGCTAATATCTTCTTATCTAAAAGCTACAAAATTAGTGGCCCCGTGTTTGGATTGGACTAGTTTTGTTTTTATGAATTAGTTGCCAGTGTTTTATATAAAAATTGAGACTTCTCCTTGCTTTGGGGATAGGGAAGATAAACTATCCCATAAAAATCGTTAGCCAGGGCCGGGCATGGTGGCTCACGCCTGTAATCCCAGCACTTTGGGAGGCTGAGGCGGGCGGATCACGAGGTCGGGAGATTGAGACCATCCTGGCCAACGTGGTGAAACCCCGTCTCTACTAAAAATATAAAAATTAGCCGGGTGTGGTAGCGCACACCTGTAGTCCCAGCTACTTGGGAGGCTGAGGCAGGAGAATCACTTTAACCCAGGAGGCAGAGGTTGCAGTGGGCTGAGATTGCTCACGCCACTGCACTCCAGACTGGCGACAGAGTGAGACTCCATCTCAAAAAAAAAAAAAAAAACTATTAGCCAGGCCTGGTGTCTCTCGCCTGTACTCCCAGGACTCTGGGAGGCCTATGATGGGGCATCACTTGAGCTCAAGAGTTTGAGACCAGCCTGGGCAGTCTGGCAAAACCGCATCTCTACAAAAAAATACAAAAACTAGCTAGGCGTGGTGGCTCATGCCTGTGGTCGCCACTACTTGGGTGTCTGAGGTGGGATCACTTGAGCCCAGAAGGTCGGTCAAGGTGAGCCATGTTCATGTCACTGGGCTCCTGTCTCTTATGAAAAGGCCAGAAGTAGAAGAGCCAAGAGCTTGGCAACTCTGCCCTGAACTTACAAGGCCCTATTTCTGTGTGTTCCTTAGATATCCGCCAGGCATCGTGGGTGTGGCTCCAGGAGGACTTCCTGCAGCCATGGAAGGGATCATCCCTGGAGGCATCCCAGTGACTCACAACCTCCCGACAGTGGCACATCCTTCCCAAGCGCCCTCTCCCAACCAGCCCACAAAACACGGGGACAATCGAGAGCACCCCAACGAGCAATAGCAGAGAATGCCAGAAGGTAATCACTCAGATACACTTGGGACCAAGAGACAGTGAAAAATAGATGAACTAAGAGAAAAAGAATCGGATGGTCTTTGTAACTGATTCTGGACATATGCATCATTGATGTTGCAGTGTTGAAACTACAAGAGCTAGAAAACTGAAGATGTCGTCTGCTTACGGAAGCGCTGAAAGACTAGGATGTGATTTATTAACGACCAACTTCTGTTATTGTGTGTTAAGTTTTTCATCTGTGCATCAAATCACAAAAAGAATAAATAGAGCTTTTTCCTTTATCAGTCCCTTGGGCACAGCAGGTCCTGAACACCCTGCTCTACAATGTTGCATCAAGAGTTCAAACAACAAAATAAAAAATATTAAGAGGAAATCCCCATCCTGTGACTTGAGTCCCTTAAGTCTACAGGGGCTGGTGACCTCTTTTTGCTAATAGGAAAATCACATTACTACAAAATGGGGAGAAAACTGTTTGCCTGTGGTAGACACCTGCACGCATAGGATTGAAGACAGTACAGGCTGCTGTACAGAGAAGCGCCTCTCACATCTGAACTGCATACTGAGCGGGCAAGTCGGTTGTAAGTTCAGTAAAACCCTCTGATGATGCAAAAAAAAAAAAAAAAGTATTAAGTTTCACAAGCTGTTTGTACTCAAATATATTTTCTCAGTTTCAGATCCTCTGCTATTTTATTGAGTGGAAAGTCTTGAGCTAAAAGGGTTCAAGAAGAATAATGTTGCATTTCCTTATGTCTCAGGAAACACTTTTTATGGTAACTTGTCAGATTGTCTATGAACAAACCCACTTTTTTAGACATTGATAAAGTCTTCTTTTCTTCACGTGATATTTTATACAAGAACACTTCAGATGTATTAGATGTGACTGATTTTAACAAATCCTATTAGATTTGTATCAACTAGTTACATGTTCTATTCATAGTCTTTTGTGAATCATTGCCTTTTTGTTTAAAAAGATGGCCTATTTTGAGCCTTTGTATAGGTACATTCCTGTTTTTGTGACAAAAGAAAAACTTTAAAATTGTCCCAAACAGAAAAATAATGGCTATCAGAAGTATGTTTTGTTTTAGTGTGAGTTACCGTTACTGTATTTGTTTATTGTAAAGGTGGACATTTAGCGTTCAGTGCAGTTTTCAATAAAAAGTAATTAAAATTTGTTAAGTTCTGAAATTCAAGTACATCTCACTAATGTAAATGTTCTCTACTTGAGATGTTTAAGGCAATTGCATTGTCAATTAGCCAATTTCCAGCTCTTGTTACTACAGGGTTCCATAACCAGACTCAAGACCGCTGACAATTAATTACCTGTGATAACAAAAAGTTTAATTGAAAAATCAAAACCTCACACAAGTCCATCATTATCACGTCATGCCATCCTTAAGATGCAATGGTGGGTTAGTGCTAAATCAATTCAAAAAAAAACAAAGTTGCTCAACTTTTAGAGTTCTGACTTTAATCTACCCCAAAGCAAAATGACCTGGACCTGGTTCAAGGGAGGGAAGTGAACCTTGAAACTGTTTTGCCAATAACCTAACAAACAAAATGATATTTACAAAGAAGTGTTGCAAATAGTCCCATGAGTTAAGAGCTTGATTTAATGGATCTTCTTTTTAAATAGAATTAAACCTTTATACTAAAAGTATTTGCAAGTGTCAATTAAGTCCAACAATTCCAGGTATGAAACTCCCTCTGAGCTCTTCCTTATACTTCCCTTCCCAATTAAAACAAAACAAGAAAATCATGGTGTCTTAAAGCCTTTGGCTTGCCTGGCCTTGTCTGCTCACTCATTTTAAGGTGGTGGCCCCATCCCAACTCTACCATAAAAGTGTCTATTAACACAAGCTCACATGGAGAGAGACGGCGCTCATAGTTACTGACCTATTACCCCAGGGAACAAAAAGGTAGTTTAACGTCTTCGTAACCACTCATCAAAGAGGCAATGAAATATGCGTGAAAAGGAGGCCAAGCGCACACAGAATATCTTACCTTCACGAATATGTGAAGAAGTCTGGGACACGATGAACCTAAGAGTCAAAAACATAAAAAGGCAGGTCTGAATCCATGGTCCACCTGGGTTTTAATTATTAGATCTTGGTCGCCCAAACAAAAATTTATATATATATATATAAATTTGACCCCAAGGAAGAACAAGTCAAAACAAAATGCCACGCTCTGTTTGCTCTAGAAAAAGAACCATCAAGTCCACAGAGTGCAGGTATGACTTACTCTCCAGAGTCAGTCATTAATGTCTGTCACCTAGCCACGTATAATCATCTTTGAAAAAGGACTATATTCTATCTTGGGACAATAATTATGGCTGTTTTAATAGTTCAAGAGCATAATATAGCATTGATTTACCAAAATTTTTGGCCTTTAACAGCCAGTCTATGAAAACCATTTAGAGCCCCATTCCTGTCTGTAGCCTAGGAAATGGAACCATCTTTAATTCTTTCCCACAGGGAAGAATGCTGCACCTATCACACTATGTGGTCAGGGTCACTGATTGATAATAAATAAATAAATAATAGAGCGCTCAGGGGAAACAACACTCACCAGACCACAACACACAGTAGAAGCTAAGTGCTGAGCGTGTACTCTGGACAACGCTGGCTGCAATGCAGACTGCAATGGCTACATGCTTTTCCCTCTAACAATTCTCTTTGGCTTTTTCAATTGGGAGGGCAGATTTTGCTTAACAGGCAACTAGAACAGGATCTCTGCCCACTAAAAAATTATCCCTATACATAGAGAAATTACTACAGATGCTAAGTAGTCAGAATGCTAACATTTTCTACAAACTTGATTACTTATTGGCCAAAATGAAAGCAAACAGCCAATTTTTAACAACACATTCACCACTTGAAACAAACAGCAGCATTTACATTATATCAAAGATTCATTTCTACAGAATCGTACTAAAAAATCATTTTTCCTGCAAGATTTAGCATGCAGCAAAAAATGATCTTTTCATCCTGGGAACACCTTTTTACTGAGTTTTCGGGGGGAAAGAACTAAAGACATGACAGTTTTGTGGGTATTTTTCTATTTTTAGTATTCTGGCAGCAAATTTGAGGTTGTACACATTTCATTATCAACTAAACAAAACAAGAAGCAAGCAAATACTTTAAGGTTTTCACAGCCTTTTTCATCACAGGGAAGGAAAAAACTGTGTGTGTGTGTGTGTGTGTGTGTGTGTGTGCGCGCGCGCGCGTGCGTGTGTCGTCTTTCCAAATTCCTGGCCACATCAATAGTCTAGAAAGTGCTTATCAGGACACCAAATATTTCTGTGTTCCTGAGATAGGTCTGAAATTTTTACCCAGTATTGAATGTATACCTGAAGTGGTCAAATAATACTTCTTATAAAAAAGTTTTTCTACCTAAGATTATAGTTTTAACTTTAAATTAAAGAATGGCCACAATTAACCAACATGCAAAAATTCTCAGACTAAACACTGAGAAATTCTTCATACAATGCATTTGCCACCTTATTGCATTTTTAAAATCTTTATTCTGTAGTGAATTGGTATTCCCAATCTGCCTAAGCAAAGGCATGCCCTTCTAACAAGATTTGCTTAGAGCAGAGGTGATAGAAGGAAGAATCCGAAGACCCTCTGGCATGGCAATCTGGGAGCAGCACATTGTTGATGGAGTCCAAGTGAGCACATTTCACACAATTCATTTAGTGACAAGTGGGCTTGCTCCCTTTTCATCCAGGAAAAAAACTACTCACAGACCACTGCCCAGAATCTGGAATAAGAACCCTCATTTTAAGGTATTCTTCCCAACAAATAAATATCTAAATATTGAAAGGGGGCATATCAGAAAACTTAAAGACACAATAACCAAAACCAAAACCCTCTTCAAAACAAGTAAGCAATGTCTGTATTTAGTTCACTCTAAAACATTCTTAGCTTTTCTTGCAGTTTGTTCCTAAAAGATTTGATTGGGCACAAGAGGAACGAAATTATTAATAAAATAAAAGCTTATTTTTGTTTTGCTGTGGATAATCGGTACAAAACGTTTCCAGATCTGAGACTTAGATGGATCTTTTAAGGTGAAAGTAGAATGCCAGGTTCTACTGAAATAATATCTGAAAGGAACAAAGAGCCATTTGCCATGTGCTTTTTCTAAGTGCCCATGCTGGAAAAAATTTTCTCAATAATATGAAGATGCTGGTACAACTTTTCCTATTAAACAATGTCTTACACAACCACATGCGTTACATTTATAGACAGATTTACAATTTGGAAGGAAAAAAAGTTCTGTCTTAATAAAATTAGTTTTTTTTACAAACTGTAGTCCAACTAAAGTTCTCTGTCTCCTCACGCAGCAGAGGCATTATCTCCATAAGGTGTGTGTGGTCCAGGAAAACACTTCCCCGAGCAGATCCTGCCAGATTTGGTTCATTCCATGATGTCGACTCTGCTTGGAGCACCACACTAACTTTAGGGTCATTACAGATCTGATGCCTTGGTCTTCTGCTGTTTGATTTTTTTTTTCATTCATCTTCATCATCCTCATCTTCCTCTCCATCAGACAGGGATGTACACGGCCGGATCTGTCGGTAGCGGTCAAGCCATTTTTCTACCATCTGAGTGACCAGGGGGTGATTTCGCCGCCGAGAACTCTTCTGCATGGCAACCAGAACTCCCCCCTCCGTCACACAGCAGTCCAGCCACTCCCTGAGCAGTTTTTCTTGCTGTTCCTCATTACCTAGCTTTTGGAGGAATATGAAGACAAAGGGAAAATCATACAACAGATCAGAGACTTGGTAGGAATGTGACATGGAAACCTACAGCTGGTATGCTAACTCATGAAAAGGCCAAAGCAATCAACTTTTCACATGGTTTTGACCTCTTGGAAGTTTTGTGATTAAAGTCCAGTTTGCTCTGGTTAAATTTAAAAAGACATAAATGGGAAATTTCTCAGAAAAAAACTAAAGAGGAGCACACTAGAGGGTAATTTGTTAGATAAAATAAAAAACAAATGTCCTAATAAACTGATCCTGGCAAGCCACAGCTTCAAACACATGACAAGGTAAGTTTACTTAGTCAATTATGTACAAGCTGAAATTATACAAGTTACGGTCTATGAACTTTTTTTCTTCATGTTGTGATTATAAACGTTTTATAATTACTAGTATATTAAATAAAAGACCAATACTTTTATAAGAATACTGGCTTTCTGAAAGAGCGTTGTTTTTGTACCTTCTCACCACCTCCCCTGTCTGGTCTACAGCACCCTTTCACTCCCCTTCATCTACAATACCTGGTGTTCCTGCTCCTGCCATGCACCAGACCCCAAATGTTCCTCTTCTGGGTAAACTGGCCATTGGTTTACCACGTTATCCAGAGTAAAACCCAAAGCTTTAAAAAGCCTTCAATGAACTCCCCCCCATCCCTATCCTCTCTGACCTCTTCTCCCTTCCTCCCTCCCCCTGCCGCCTACCCTCTCTCTTTCCCTGTTGCTTCCCCTCTTAAACCACACTGGCCTTGCAATTCTTGGAACTCTGCTTTCAGATAAAAACTCACTTCTCATTCCCTAAAATGCCATATTTAAATCACAAACCTCATCTTTACTTTTTCTTCTTAAAACCCATCACCACCTTAAGTTCCTTGATGTGTCCCCATACAGCAGTTTTGAAAAGGTAAATTTCAAAGTATAGCTAGTACCTTCAGCAATTACTACCATCACATTCAGAAATTAAGTGATAGTGCAGATAAAACCACACCTGAAAGGCACTTCAGGCTGTTTCTGGTACAAGGTCACTACTAGAAATAGTTCATAGGAGAAACTGCTTACCTCCTGAGCAGAAAGGAAGTGCACATGGAGTAGCTTCCTTTCACTGTCAACCAGAGGCAAAAATGTGATGGTGACATCATCATCGGTATTGAGATTAGCACCAGCACCTCGGTTGCCATAGCCATCATTTTCCATGGCAACCAAAGCAGAGAAGTGGCCCCTCGTATAACCCAGAGCAATCGGACTTTTCCAACAAAAACTCTGTTCCCACAACAAAGGCAGATAAACACCTGGAAAGAGAGGGAAGAAAATCCCAACAGTCACAGGAAGAAAGAGCCACTCCCTCACTGCCCTTGTTCACATTCCCCTGTCCACTGCTCCTTCCTGACATCTGAGCCATTCCGTTCAAAGAAACTTGTAAAACGTTCCTGAATAATGGCTTACCTTGAAACCGAGTATATCCTAAAGTTTCTCCCCGGAAACTCTTGTAATATTTTACTCCATAAACTATAATTGGTCGTCTAAGAATATGTGCCAGTACAAAAATGTGCGTCTGCTCCAAGCTTGCTCCAGGCTGTACGAAACAAAACAAAAACTTAAAACATTTATTACCACTCCTGGAAAACTGATGTGTAAAAAACAATACTACCTCCCCTTCAGTATACTATCGCAGTTGGTTTTTAAGAAAGAAAAGATTGTCAAAGCAGCATTTGATTCCTCAAATAATAAATCCAGTAAAACTGTAAAAGAAATCTATAAAGGCTACATGCAAATATCATTTACCATCCAAACTCACAAATTATACAGATGTGCATACATACTTTGAAATATCCCTCACTACTAACTCTCCAACCTCAGGAACCAGAGATTCAGATAACTAAGGATGCTTTATTATCACATTCTCGTTAAGTTACTGTGAAAGCACTACCTACAACAAAGTCCTCCTGAAATAAATAAGTGAGCCTGTTTCATGCAAATGTAAATGGCAGTATCAACTAACTCGTGAATACTAATATTAAATGGGTCCATCATCGAGCTACAATGCATGGTGTGAGATACATGTCTCATGTAAATCAACCACTATGAATCCTGCCCAAATTGCCCAAAGATCGGGTACCTCCTTCTCTAAGTTCAAATGAACCATGGTGCTTTCTGCAAAAAAAAAGGAGTAGTTGTATATATATTTGTACTTTACAGTTTGGTATACTGAAGTGCTTCACAAAATAAAGCATGAAACCAAGAGTCTAAGGGACAACCCTACACAGTTCTGTGTCACAAGCAGCCTTCATTAATAAAAAGACGTTAGCAAACTTGCAAAACTTCATTCCCACATTAATCAGAAATCATTCCTATTGATGGTAATTAGTTCAGAGTAAGCTAAACTACCCTTTTCCTTTGCCTACATGACACAGGTATTGCCTCACCACAGGGAGCATTATGAAGATTGACAACTGGTTCCTCAGGGCCTGACAGATCAGCAACAGCAATGCAAGTACCTACACCAGTAATCTTAAGTGTCCCCAGAGACAGAACAGAGCTCACCTGGATAGGTACCATAGGCATCAAGCCTATGCTGCAGGAACGGAGAGCAATCCCAAGACTATCTACTGTATGTAACCGTCATAGCACAGCTTTCACTTTTTGATGTTTTTAATCATTCGATATAAAAACACGTTACTCTTCCTGCTCTGCAGTGAGGACTTGCGATGCTAATCTATACTTGCGATGCTCATCTATACTTGCGATGCTATTTATTTGATACACAGCAGTCATCACTAGAACCCAAGTTGACTGATGATACCACGTCAAGCATTCTTTTCTTTGACCACATTGCCCCCAACATGGTTTGCTCAAATAAACCAGTTTAGACTACATGCTTACTTTTCTCATAGAAGCAACAAGACTTGAAGCATCCTCACCTGACTAGCAAGAGAGAGTATAAATGCCCAGTCTTCTTGCCACTGTTCTTCTCTCAAGGAAAAATGTAAACCAAAGCTCTGAGAATACCATGATTCCCAATCTTTCCAGCGTGTGTAAAACCTAAAAAAGCAGGATAGTAAAAAAATAAATAAATAGTCTTCTATAAATAAAACATTTAAAGTTCTGATCATTTTTATTTAATGCAGTCTTTAAGCAGTCTGTGAAACAATTAATAATTTTATTTTGTCTGGTTGGTAATGTATTTTTCTAATGAAAAATGCCTCCCTCTTCCACTAGCAGATACCTTGTAACATCCTTTAACATCTTTAGTCAGAATTTGATTTACCGACAACCAAATTTTCAAACTTCAAACGCTAATGATGAGACTGGTTATTTTCCACTGTCCACAATTAGTTTACAAAAAAAAAAAAAAAAAGTCATCTGAAATGTTGTATACAAAGACACTACATTTCTCTATCAATGTATAGTACACCACCTACTTGATCACTTGTATAAACAACAGGTGGGAAATATTCCGTGTGTTCATAGTATCAAGATCATCTCCCTGAGATTTCTTTCCATAAATAATTTCTCTGATGATCACCTAATAATTCAAAAGCAACCAAAAAGAAACCCACTGCAATGACAGAAAACATTCCTTCTTTATGCTTAACACTGAATTACTGAAAACACATCGATTCTTTGTCTATCAAATATAAAAATTCAGAAATAATTATGCTCAAAATTATGGTTCACTGTCTTATAAAAACAAGCCAACTAAGACCTCTAAAATGCAGACAGACATTTAATCTGTTTATAACATCACATTTATCTTCTATACATCTGAATTCTAGGTAAAAGAAACAAAAGACCAATCTGTTCCTGTTGTTAAAAAGTTTCAGCATATTAAAGTTAAACGTGAACACGTGTGGTAACTCACACCTGTAATTCTAGCACTTTGGGAAGCTGAAGGAGGAGGATTGCCTGAGGTCCAGAATTCAAAACAACCTGGCCAACATAGTGAGACCCCGGCTATATTGCGGGGGGAAAAAAAAAGTTAAATGGGTGGTGTCACAAGTAACTTTACAGTAATTTAATGAAGGGCTCCTTAGAGAGTAAATATATTTCCTAAAGAAATTAAAATATAATGTTCCAGAGGTTTAACTCAGTTTAAAACATTTTTCATACTCCACGTAACTGAGGATGTTTAATCATAATTCCAAATGTTTTAAAATTAAAATATGTATATTCTTTTATAATCGCTAAGATAAATGTGTCTTGAAAATTTTGGCAACAGTGATGAAATACATTGTTTTGAAAAGTTCAAGGAGAAATATCAGAGAAATTGTCAATACTGAAAGTTATATGCAGTTAGAAATTTCTTGGTGCCTAAAATAACTTTATAAATAAGACAGCTAAGCCAGCCAGAAATTCAATGGTGATTGCACTCAAAACTCTTCAAAGACCACTGAAGAAGGGAGGTTCAATGAAATATACTTTAAAACTAAACATGTTAAAATGTTCATCCTCACCACCCCAAGACCTAAACTCTGATACTACCAGAGTCTCCATAAGAACAGACAAGCAAACCAAATCCAGCAATATATGACCAAATGGTACAGGAATACCAGTTTGGTTTAACATTCAAAACTCAATTCCATGTTCATGGATTGGAAGGCTCAATATTGTCAAGCTGGCAATACCACCATCACCCCAATTAAATCTACAGATTCAATGCAATCCCAATCATAATCCCAGCTGTCTTTTTTACAAAAATCGATAAAGCTGTATCCTAAAATGTATATGGAAATCCAAAGGACTCAAAATAGTCAAAACAATGTTGAAAAAGAAATACAAAGTCAAATGACTTACAGTCCAGATTTCAAAATGTATTACAAAGATATGATCATCCAGACAGTCTGGTAATGACATAACGATAGCCCAGTGGAAAAATAAATCAATAGAAAAATATTAAGAGTCCAGAAACAAACCCTTACTTTTATGGTCAACTAATTTTCGACAAAATTGCCAAGGCAATAGAATGTAGAAAGGGTTTTTTTCAATTAAAGGTACCGAAACAACTGGGTATCCACATGCAAAAAGGTGAATTTAGGACATCTCACACTTTAAACAAAAATGACCTCAAAATGTAAAACAAAAATGACCTAAATGTAAAAGTTAAAACTATAAAATTCTTCTATGAAAACACAGGAGTAAATCTTCGTGACCTTGGGCTAGACAAAAATCTCTTCAGATACAACAGCAAAAGCATGAGCAATAACAGAAAAACATTGATAAACTGAACTTGATCAAATTAAAGACTCGTGATTTCAAAAGACACTGCTAATGAAGTGAAAAGACAAGCCACAGAATAGAAAAAAATATCTGCAAAGCAGATATCCAATAAGGGACCTGATACAAACAACATCTGCAAATCAATATTAAGACAATCCATTTAAAAATGAGCAAAAGACGTGGAAAGATATTAAACCAAAGACGCTATAGGAATGAGCAATAAGCACATGAAAAGACACTCAGTATCATCATTAAATAGGGAAATGCAAATCAAAATCACAAGGAGCCCATGTGCCTGCAATCCCAGCTAACTGGGAGGCTGAGGCTAGAAGATCACCTGAGCCCAGGAGTTCAAGACCTAGAACATTTTTCGTTGCTATCAGCAATGTATGAAGATTCCAATTTCTTCAAATTCTCAACAACACTGTTATCATTTGTCTTTTTGGTTATGGCCATTTATGTGCATGTGAAGTAGTATCTCATTGTGTTTTTCTTTGTTTTCAGACAGGGTCTCATTATGTTGCCCAGGCTGGTCTTGAACTCCTGAGCTCAAGCAATCCTCCAGCCTCAGCTTCCCAAGGCGCTGGAATTATTGGCCTGAACCACCAGGCCCGGCCGATAATTCTTCATAACAAAAACAGTCACTTTAGGAGGCCGAGGTGGGAGTCTGAGACCAGCCTGGGCAACATAGCGAAACCCCGTCTCTACAAAAAAATACAAAAAAAAAAAAAAAAAAAAAATTAGCTGGGAATGTTGGCATGTGCCTGTAGTCCCAGCTACTTGGGAGGCTGAGGTGGGAGAATTGCTTGAGCCCACAAGGTATAAGGTTACAGTGAGCCAAGATCGCACCACTGCACTCCAGTCCAGGCAACAGACCAAGACCCTGTCTCCAAAAAGAAAAAAAGGAATAATTCTAAAAGACTTATATTGATTTTTTTCCCCAATTAACATTAAACGCCTCCACCTGCCCCGTGGGAAATTGGGTTGGCATGTCACTGAAAGGCAAGTACAATATATTCAGACTTGAGAACCTGAGTCAGCTAAAATCACGGGTATCCAAGAGAACAGCACAGCTAGCTACAAACACAAATAGCCTATCTTGAAGTGACGGGTGGAGGGGTTCAAATAAAAGAAAATTGCTTTCTCAGTTCTTACTATGTATCTTATATGACTTAAGAAAACATCTCACTCCAGCTGATTTCAATTAAGTGCAAAAGGCACCTCAGCAAAGAGCATCTTTAAAAGGAGACTACACAAGCTACATGCTGGCTCCTCCTCTCCTGGCCTAGAAAACCCACGGCTGCTCACTCTACTCTCTACTGGTCACATGACAGGCCCAGTGGACAAACCTAATGCAACTCAACACAAGAACTATGTATGGGTTATTCCTTAGGGCTAGTATATCTGATCTCCCGAATCCATGGCAACAACACTTACTATCTAACCACTAATTTTCACCCCAACCCACCCCCCAATACTGTAAGGATGTCTGTGTGATCACTGTAATCAATGCAGCTTCCTATGCCTGAACTGTAAACCATCGGGCAAAGCTCCCCGGTGGCAGGGACTGGAGGAGGTGATGCCAAACCATGCTGTTCTGGGACACCTGTCCATATGCCAGCCCTAGGTGCTCACTCCTGAAGCATCCTTTAAGAGTCAGGACTATGGACTAAAAGTTCTGCTGCAACAACTCTTGCCAGTGGCTGTAAACAAACAGCCTAGTTCCTTCTCACCCTAGTAGCCACTCCCTATCTAGCCTATTTACAACATCAGACTGTATTTCTCCACCAAACCATCTTTTTTTTTTTTTTTTTTTTTTTTTCTTAGCAGGGTCTCACTCTGTCACCTAGGCTGGAGTGCAGTGGCATGATCTTGGCTCAGTGCAGCCTCAACCTTCCAGGCTCAAACAATCCTTCCACCTCAGCCTCCCAGGTAGCTGGAACTACAGGCACACACTACCACGCCTGGCTAAATTTTGTATTTTTTGGTGGAGACAGGGTTTCACTATGTTGCCAAGGCTTGTCTTGAACTCCTAGGCTCAAGAGATCTGCCCACAATCTCCCTATCTCTATGCTGGACTTCTGGGACCTCAAATGACTTGCAACCATCTGAGAATTCCAGTCCCGATACAAACATTAGTGACAACTCACTCATAAGATCATCCATAGCCAGCTCTGAGGAACAGGTGGGCATAAACCCCAAAGCAATTCTTACTCACCACAAATGTCTTTTTAAAAAAAGAAAAAAAAAAAAAAAAAGGCCAGGTGCAGTAGTAGCTCATGCCTGTAATCTCAGCACTTTGGGAGGCTAAGGCAGAAGAAACACTCGAGTCCGGGAGTTCAAGACCAGCCTGGGCAATACAGTGAGGACCTCATCTCTACAGAAAAATTTTAAAATTAGCCACGTGTGGTGGCACACTCCTACAGTCCCAGCCACTCATAGGAAGCTGAGGTGGGAGGATCACCTGAGCCCAAGAAAGTGAAGGATGCAGTGAGCCAAGATCGTGCCCCTGCATTTCAGCCTGGGTGACAGAGCAAGACCCTTTCTCAAAAAACAAACACCACCACCAAAAACCCTCATCACTAAAAAAAAGACATCACTTCTAAAATCCACAGTGTACTTTTGGCCTTTCAACAGATCAGGAAATTACCACCAAAGAAAAGGCCAGGCGCGGTGGCTCACGCCTGTAATCCTAGCACTTTGGGAGGTCGAGGTGGGCGGACTGCCTGAGCTCAGGAGTTCGAGACCAGCCTGGGCAACATGGTGAAACCCCATCTCTACTAAAAATACAAAAAATTAGCCAGGTATGGTGGCGCCACCTGTAATCCCAGCTACTTCGAAGGCTGAGGCACGAGAATTGCTTGAACCCGGGAGGCAGAGGTTGCAGTGAGCCGAGATCATGCCACTGCACTCCAGCCTGGGCGACAGAGTA
The DNA here is from genome assembly GCF_000001405.40 of Homo sapiens. NCBI lineage: Eukaryota > Metazoa > Chordata > Mammalia > Primates > Hominidae > Homo > Homo sapiens. Next base: position 124,976,601 of record NC_000010.11, on the reverse strand, counting down.
AGACTCTGCCTCAAAAAAAAAAAAAAAAAAAAAAAAGGAAATTACCACCAAAGAAAAGATTACTGGCTGCCTTTTTAGAGAGAACCTGCAAAGTGGTAGATTTACCACAGTTCAAACCTGGCTTTCCATCTTACAGGGCAGAGTGACATTAACCAAAACTACAAGGCAGACCTGTGAAACCACAATGCCAAGAACCCACTGTCTTAGGAACCAAACCAGGTTCATCCTCTTGACATAGACAGGCCCATAGCAGTGGTCAAGAAAATCAGCAGTAGGAAGCTAAGAAAATCAGCAACAGGAAGCTGCTTGGTGACCACAGGATCTGATCAAGAGGGCCAGACCGGCAGAGCACTGACCAGCATCAGGCTTACCCAGCCCGATGAACCTACTTCATACTACCAGACAGCCATCTCCACTAAGAGGCACAAAAGAGCCCTCTCTCCAGGACAATTACTAATTGACTAAAACTACCGGAGTGACACATTCATTCTTTAGCTTTATTATACATCCAGTCAGGTCATCCAGGAAGTTATTTTATTTCTCTAATGTGCCCACAAATTGTTACTCTATTACGTTATGCTTCCCCCTCCGCTCCCCACAAGACAGTCTCACTCTGTCACCCAGGCTGGAGTGCTGTGGCACGATCTTGGCTCGCTGCAACCTCCTCTTCCTCCTGGATTTAAGCAATTCTCGTGCCTCAGCTTCCTGAATAGCTGGGATTATAGGCATGCACCACCACACCTGGCTAATTTTTGTATTTTTAGTAGAGACAGGGTTTCAACAAGTTGGCCAGGCTGGTCTTGAACTCCTGGCCTCAAATGATCTGCCTGCCTCAGCCTCCCAAAGCAATAGGATTGCAGGCATGAGCCACAAACCCCAGCCATACTGCATTATGCTTTGATCTACAATTTAGCTCTCAAGAAAGTAATTTATAGGCCGGGCACGGTGGCTCATGCCTGTAATAACTAAATGAGATAATGTTCAAAGAACCAAAAAAATACCACATAAGTCAAACAAATGTAAAGACTGAACTATTCATTCACAAAAACAATTATTTTTCCAGTGATTGCATGCTGTTAAAAAATATATATATAAAGAACACTTTGATACAATTGAAGAAATGTGATTATGAACTGTTAGATAACAGAATCAATGTTGAATTACTTAGATGTAGGAATGGGGATGTGGGTGAGTAGGACAATATTCTTATTCTGGAAAGATGTATGTTGATATTTTGAAGGGTAAAGCATCATGATGTCTACAACGAATTGACCCACGAGTCTTTCTGTATGGAGACATGGAGCAGGTGTGGCAAAATGTTAATAACTGCTCAACTGAATGAAGAAAATACCAGGATCTATTGCACTGAATTTTTTTAAAATTATTCCATGGGTTTGAAAATTTGCAAAATAAAAAATGTGATCTTAAGACTCCCTCAGGAAGGAAAAAAACTTGTAACACAATGTCAAGATAACCTCTTATGTGAACACAAATATTCAATAAGGCTGGGTGCGGCAGCTCAGGCCTGTCATCCAAGCACTTTGGGGGCCCCAGGCAGGCGGATCGCTTGAGATCAGGATTATCAAAGCCACCCTGGGAAAGATGGCAAAACTCCATCTCTACCAAAAATACATAAAACAGCCAGGCATGGTGATGAGCACCTGTAGTTCTAGCTACTCAGGAGGCTGAGGTGGATGGATGGCTTGAGCCCAGGAGGTGGAGGATGCAGTGGGCCAAGACTGCACCACTGCACTCCAGCACAGCAATTGAGCCAGACCCTGCTTCCATCGATGGATCAATCAATCAATCAGTCAATCAATCCCTAAAAAGATGAGCAACGGCCTTATCAATATTTAAGGCTACTATATATAACTTGAAATGCTGCATTTGAAATGTTCAAATATACTGCCTGTGTCTTATAGAAACAATAAATGCTTGCATTTTAAAGCTTCAAATGTTTCTATTTTAAAATTTAGCAAAAAAATGTATAAAAACCATTGATTCTTGCTTTTATCTCATTTCTTGGGGGAAAAACAAAAACAGAAACCATGGACGTGTTCAAAGTATTTTAATGTCCAAAATGAACTGTTTTTCCTCCAGTTTCCATAGAAAATATAACTGACATAAAAAGTATCCCACCACTACAAGGAAATAATCCAGCAAATGCACTCCTGGGTTGAAACAGGGCAGAATGCCAGCTCACCAATGTGAACAGTCATGCAGGCTGTCATGCAGGGCTTTCCGAAGCACTGAGTCCTTGTCATAGATGCCCCAGGTAGCTTGTAGAACTGAATCAAGTAGGCAGTCTCCTGCAGTCCGGTTCCAAAGTGCATACAGTCGACTGTCCAAACGTGTAGCCAATTCCAAGGACCAGTTAATAATTGGAGATTCTTCTTCTAATTCTGTACGATGGATTTAAATACATGTTCATTTCCATACCTATGTCATTAGAGAATACTCATGGGGAGAAGAACCTATTTTCTAGCTATAAAATGGTTTATATGTAATTTACCAATAAACACCTAAATAAAATTGACCAATTGAAATATAAACTTTTGAGTACTTGAAACATCTTCTGTCTCTAGAATAATTTAATAAACTTTTAAATTCTTTACAGTTTTATTTTCTAAAAAGTGTTTCATATAGAAATATATACATTCTGGAACAGGAAGCGGAGAACCAAGGTTTTAAAATTTTTGTATCTTTATTTGTTCACTCTGTAACAGTGAACCATACAATATAACACTGAACTTCAGGACTTTACGTCTTTAATTTAAAATAAAAATAAAGCAAGTTGACTACACACCAAACTACACCATGCCTTACTAAACAAAACTTACTTGATCAGATGAAAGGTAAATTATACTCATTAATTCCATGCTTACCTTTTTGAACGTCTCTATCAAGCACCTCATCAAATAATTTTTCTTGGACTGTTGGGGGCAAATCTTCAATATCTACAAAGAAAATGCAAACTTAAAAGATCTTTTGTTTCATAACTTACACTTAACTTATACTTAATTACACTTATTAATTACCTACTAGTAACTTTCTCTAAAATAACTCCCTTTCCATTGAAGGTTATCAGATAGCTTTTTCTTAATATACCAGTGTAACATGTGTGATATAAAATATTTCTTTTCTGGGCCGGGTGCAATGGCTCACGCCTATAATTCCAGCACTTTGGGAGGCTGAGGCCAGCATACTGCTTGAACTCAGGATTCTGAGCCCAGCCTGGGCAACACGGCAAAACCCTGTCTCTATACAAAAAATATACAAAAATTAATCAGACAAGGCAGCAGACACCTGTGTCCCAGCTACTCAGGAGGCTACGGTGAGAGAACTGTTTGAGCCTGGGGAGGCCAAGGCTGCAATGAGCCGTGATCCTGCCACCGCACTCCAGCCTAGGCGATAGAGTAAGACCCTGTCTCAAAAAATAAAAATAAAAAATAAATTTTTAAAAATCTAATCATTCTGGGGTAAGCTTAAATACTCAGAACAAGTGCATTTCAAATGAAACTTCCTCCAGTTTCAGAAAACTTAGTTACTATCTCCTACAATTTGTAAAAATCCGTTTGTCTGAACATAAAAATTAAAAACACTGAGATCTAGCCTGAGTAATACTGCGAGACTCCATCTCTACAAAAAAATTAAAAATTAGCCAGGGGTGGGTGGCATGTGCCTATAGTCCTAGCTACTCAGGAGGTCAAGGCAGGAGATCACTTGAGCCCAGAAGTTGAAGGCGCAGTAAGCTATGATCACGCCCATTGCACTCTAGCCTGGGCAACAGAGCAAGACCCCGTTTCAATCTAAAAAAAAAAAAAACAGCAACAAAACAAACAGATCTCAGAATCTCAGATGAAAGATTTTAGAAACGTTTGGTGTTTGGTGTATTTATTCAATGCCAACTGACAAAACGCATTCTGGAGGATGTTTTCAACTGTCAATGAATTGAAAAATGAAAAGTTCCTTCACAAACATAGTAGAAATAAATGAGTAAAAAAGGAATGACATATTCAAGAGGATGCAGTGTGTTCAATTCAAATAACCTGACTCTACCCATCAAAAGCTCATGTTCTAATCCCATCTCTTAATACCAGGTAACCAATATAGCTATCTAATTTCAAATAACACACAAGCATGAAAAGGGAAAATTTTTCAAAGGAGATTTTTTTAAAGGATATTCTAAAATAAAACCAAAGAGAAAAATAAAAGAGTACAACAGATTTTTAAAAAATAATCTGAGGTCCACAAAGAAATCCGTTACTATCAACTGCTGTCTTCCTCTCAGATAGCAGACGCATTTCCTAACAAGTAATCCTCTGTATGCTCACTTCCAGCATATATAAGACAGTCAAGTAATTTAAGATGCACATACAGTAGCTATGTTATGTGCTTTCTAACAGAAACATTTTTCACCTACATACACAAATGTAACTATAATAAAATAAAAAAGTCTTTTTACGTTAGATTTTGGAGTTACCTGCTGGCAATGTAAATGTTACAAGGTCAGTCAGAAAATAGCAAGCAAAATCCCCCTTTCTCTGATGAAGAGAGGCAGCTATCTCTCTCCGGATTTGTTCTGTCAGTTCAGGACACACCATTGCTGGAATACACTTTGCTGCTTGTTGAGACACCTTAAATACAAAAGAAACCTTCCTCTCATCTCATGTATCATAAGTGGAAGCAGAAAACAACAGTATTTAAAAGAAATCAGCAAAATTTCCCAATAACTCAAGGTTTTCTTTAATCTTAAAATACACTGGTATTATTTCCTTACCAATGAAAGTATATACCAGAATAAGTTTTCAGTAACAGTCACAAAAATGTTTTATCCTCTGATTCAGTAATTCTCTTTAAGAATTTATCACAAGGAAATACTCAAAGATGCACATAAAAATGTATGGAAAAGGGTGTTGTTCATAGACACATCACAGGAAGAGGAGAGAGGACAGAAAACCTCAGTAGACTAACCATCGTGCACACAATAAAAACATTCTTTAGAAGCAGAGAATCACAGCTGATAAAGGGAAACTGCAAATACTCTTCTCCCACACCACAAGTTTCAAGTACCCTAACTTGGACTTAAAAAAAGCACGGTATTTAAAGGGTTAGTTCCCACTGACCTCAAGCCCTTTCTTCCTCTCCATTTGTTACCACTCTTGAGTTTTTAAAAAAGCATTTGGCATCTGCAAGTTTAAACACAGACTGCCAACCTCTGAAGCTCAGCCTGACAGGAGTGAGATGGGAGCACTACTGCACAGGCCTCTAAGCAAGAAAACAACAAACCAAAGAAGGCTAGAACTTTCTTTTGTTATTTTTTTATTCTTTTTAAAATGCTAAATAGCAACAAATGTTGCAAAGATTTAATTTAACCTCACATTTCAGTCATATCTAGTTTGTGGAGCTAAATAAAAATACATACACAGAATTCTAAAATCACAGTTGAGCATCTGCGAGTAACAAACAGAATTCAAGGCCAGGCACAATGGCTCACGCCTGTGATCCCACCAACTCTGGGAGGCCGAGGCGGGTGGATTGCTTCGGCTCAGCAGTTTGAGACCAGCCTGGCCAACATGATGAAACCCTGTCTCTACTAAAAATACTACTACAAAAATTAGCTGTAGTCTCAGCTATTTGGAAGGCTGAGGCATGAGAATCACTTGAACCCGGGAGGAGGAAGTTGAAATGAGCTGAGAACGCGCCACTGCACTCCAGCCAGGGTGACAGAGAGAGACTCTGCCAAAAAAAAAAAAAAAAAAAAAAAACCCCAAAGAGAATACCGTGGGAACCCACAGTGAGCCTGTTCCCTGATGTCACCAACCTGGACGATTATCCCAAAGGTAGCCTTCCAGCCACAGTGGGGTGTGAAGCAACAGGTCTTCCAGCCCCTTCTTCTTCTTCTCAAAGAGTAAGGTTTAATGATAATGTTATCTACATCATATATGCAGACAACTAACTGCTATTGCTATTAAAGAAATAATATTTCAAAAACCCTGCATACCCAGCACAGTTACCTGACTCCCTATTCTGAAACTGCAGCTTGGTGCAGTGGCTCACACCTGTAATCCCAGCACTGTGTGAGGCCAAGGCAGGAGGATCATTTGAGCTCAGGAATTCAAGACCAGCCTGGGCAACATAATGAAACTCTGCCTCTACAAAAAACCCCAAAATATTAGCTAGGCATTAGTGGCATGCACCAGTAGTCCCAGCTACTGGGGAGGCTGAAAGGTGAGAGGATCACTTGAGCCAGGGAGGTCAAGGCTGCAGTGAGCCATGATCACTCCCCTGGGCAACAGAGAGAAAGTCTGTCTCAAAAGAAAAGAAAAAAATAAAAAATTTAAAAACTCCTACGTGGAAATTCAGTTCAACTAGACTTTATTGGCCAAGATTACCATTAACCATGAAAATTCTCACTATATCTTAACTCCATGAGCCCAACCATTAGTCAACACTCAAACATGGAAAACCAAATATTAAATATTTTCAGAATATAATTGACTATTTCTCAAGTAACATAGTTAAAATGGCTCCCCCAAAGTAAATTCAAAAATAGCTTATTCCCATCAGCTAGCTCTCAGGCCCTTTCCAAAAACCTGGAAAGACCTTTCCAAAAACCACCTGGACTGGACCCTGACTACCACAAACATTCTAAAAGAAACTTAGCCCCCAAACAACCCCTTCCACCACCATCCTTAAGCAGGATGTGCCCCTGAAGCCTGCCACTCACCTTCTCACCTCCTTCAACCTTATGGTTCTCAACCATCTCCGTAGGCTGGGAGTTCTTAACTTAGGGTCCATGATCTTGGGAATGGTCCATGTACTTTAATGGGAATTTGGTTTTAATTCAAGTTAAATCAATTATCCCCAACTTTTTACCTATATTAAAATGTATTTTCTTATATATCACAAATTTAGTTTAGTATTTTGGTAGCTATTACTTCAATACAACTGATTTCCTTTGTAATCTCATTTACTTCTTATTTTTTGTATTTAAAAACAGTATTCTGGGAAGGAGTCCATAAGTTTCATGAAACTACCAACATGGTCCATGACACAGAAACCGATGAAAATTCCTGCCCCACATACATATCCCCAACTCTAATGTTCTCCTGTTCTCATTCCAAAAGAACTTGGCTGAGCATTCTCTGCAACACACCCCCTTAGTCTAGACTTAGTCCAGACTCCCCCACTTCCAGTCTCCCTACTGGCCCCTTTAATTCTGTCCTTTGGAGTATTTACTCCATGGAGACTGAATCCATGACCAATTTTGCTCTTTGCCTGGAACAAATCCCCTCCACCTCTCCCACGCTGTTCCAGGGTTGTTCTACACGTCCCACGGAATACAGCAAAAGTAATGGTATGTTGCTTCCTAAATCAATTTATAAAAGACACTGCAGGTTTCAAAGACACTGGATCACTCTCTTGTACTCTGTGCCTCTCTTGGATCACTTGTTGGGGGTAAAACCAGCTGCTGTATCATGAGCATCCCTGTAGACAGGCCTGCATGGCACAGTATTGAAGCCTCCTGCCAAAAGCCACCTGAGTGGGCTTAGGAACAGATACTCTAGCCCCAGTTGAGTCTTTTGACAACTACAGCCCTGGACCACTTGACTGCAACCTCATGACATCATGAGCCAAAACTATTCAGCTAAGCAGCTCCTGGATTCTAACCCTCACAAACTCTGTGAGATAACATACATTTGTTGTCTTAGCTGCTAAGTTTCCAGACAATCTGTGATACTGCAATAAATATACTGATGTTCGATCATCATCCCACTGTTACTCCTCAGACTGTCTCAGGAGCTCAATGACTCACAATGGCCCCTCTAAAACCTTGTAATAATCTTCTACCTACCTTTAGGGGAGCCCCTTAAGACTTTCACCCTAGTTCACAACCACCTTCTTTATCCTGGCTCCTGTCACCACCAGCAACTACAACTCCACATTGACAGCCCTTCCAATATACAATAGACAACACAACTAGGCACCACAACACAAATGCAGCCAGGCCTTCGACACTAGAAAAACTCCAATTCTTCTATCTCATGTTCCAAAACCTGGATCCCTCTATCTGAAAAGTTCCCTTCTCCCTTATACTCAATAAGCCTGCCCTTTTGTTTTCATCATGGCCTTCAGTCTCTCAAGCCCCCCACCCCGGCTTCACTGGAATCTTACCAAACTGGACACAGGGGTTAGCTACTACAATCATGTTTCCATCTAACCTTCAAATTTTTTAATCCCCATACAGTGCCCTGCAGTGGTTCCCAAATATTGGCAAATTTGAATAAACAAATATGCAAAAGTATATATGAAAGATGTATACTGACAAAATTTGAATCCACAATTAATATGACTCTCTGCACTTTTACTCTATTTCTCTTACCATTAAAAAATGTTACCTTGGCCAGACACGGTGGCTCATGCCTATAATCCCAGCACTTTGGGGGGCCGAGGCGGGCAGATCACTTGAGGTCAGGAGTTCAAGACCAGCCTAGCCAACATGGTGAAACCCCACCTTTCTAAAAATACAAAATTAGCCAGGCATGGTGGCATGTGCCTACAATCCCAGTTACTTAGGAGGCTGACAAAGGAGACTCGCTTGAACCCAGGAGGCAGAGGCTGCAGTAAGCCAAGATCGTGCCACTATACTACAGCCTGGGCAACAGAGTGAGACTCCAGCTTAAAAAAAAAAAGAAAGAAAAAAAAAACCTGGATAATGTAGTCACATTCTGAATAATTCATACACAATCTCTATCATTGGTAGCATGTACCTAGTTATGTAAGCCAGAAACTGAAGAATCAACTTACATCCACACTGTATCTTCCCATATCCAATCAGTCTACTTCTTCAGACTGAGGGCCTGTCTCAGTCTCTCCAACCCTCTAACCCTCTTCCCATTTCTAAGGCTACCCTTCTGGGTACCCTTCTATGGCTACCCTTCTGCCCTTCTGGCAGAAGTTCTTGCCAGCACCTCTGCAACTCCCTCCTAACCAGGCTCACCCCTCTCCAGTGTGCAGCAGCCAAAACACAATCTGCTCTGCTCACTCCCCTGCGCCCATACCTAACACCATCCAGTGCCTAGGGATAATCTTCAAATTCCTTGACACAGAAGATCCTTCGTAATCCAGCCTCTGCTTATCTTTCAGACTTCCCTTCTCTCCATTCCCAATCACCATCTCAGCCATGCTTAGTTACCTGCAAGTCCCTAGATTCACCACAAATTCCACCATCTCTGCCCCCTGTAAAAATGCTTTCCTCAACTTCCCTTCTCTCCCTTATCCACTTCATGTGGCTAACTCCTAACTCTTTCTCTTCAAATTGCAGCAAAAACATTACCTGCTATAAGAAAGACGACAAGACACCTCAAAACTCTTCAAGTACTGGCATAACACTTGGCATTTACATCTACCAGGGCACAGGCTGCACAGAATTACCTGTTCATTTCTCTACTTTGCTGGAGATTTAATGAAGAAAGAGCCAGTATCTTTACAATTGTATCCCTTCTCAGCCTAGTGCATGGCACACAGTAAATGCACAATAAATATCTGTTAATTGAATGACTAAAGAATGACAGATACATCCCAGGTTTGTATGAACCAAACATGATGAGTCAAACATTGTTGTGACTATTCAAATATTTGAAAGCATATACCCTTAAAAATTAAGTCTCTTAAGTTTAATGTTATTTTTAAAAGGGGGTAAAAGAATTCAAAACATTTTAAAGCTGCTTAGAGAAACATTATAAAATCAAAAATGAAAACTAAAGAACAGGTTTCTTTAATATAAAAGAACATTTAACCAAAACGCCAAACTTACCTCTGTAAGCAATATTGCTAGCATATCCTGCCTCTGAAAACGTATAGCCAAGTGTACAAGAGTATAGCCAACATCAAAGGCAGAAGGACGATTCAGCAAGCGTACTTCATCTGCGGTGAGCTGACGTGCAATGTCTCCTCCTGATGACTTGTATGCTTCTATGGCAGCTAAATCACCTTCTACAACCCCTAAAACAAGCATCAAGATAGAAAAGCATTTAATTCTCATTTTCTTCAAAAAACACAAACCGTAGCAATCACTCCAAAATCTTTTAAGTGTTTCTCTGTGCTTCCTGGATCCTGATGCATCATTTAAATGTCCTATAAGAGTAAGGAAAATAAGTTTTTTCCTTTCCCTTTAAAAATTTTCCTTCCAGAACTAGAACTGCCTAGACATTTACCTTACCATCAGTGCAGGCTCCAGGCTCTGGTGAGATTTAGAGGAACTATTAGGCTGCATGAATTGGATCGAAGATCAATAATCTAGTATGAGAAACCAGACGTAACAAGAGACACTGAGCCCCTGGTTCCGGTCCTGCGTTCATCCTGACTCTGCAGAAACCAAGGAGACAGGGATGTGCTTCCAGCTGGTGTTGAGCTCCTCCTGCCCTTTACACTGCATTCTTAAAGCAGAATCAAAACAAATGCTGAGCTTTCCATACTGCTCTTTAGCTTTGAAACAACTTAGAGCAACTGAAACCATCTTCAGTGTAAGTAAACGTTGGCAACATTTTGATTTCAGATTCTCATAGCCAAGTCTTCCTTATATCCATTAAGAATTATTAATAACGTAAAAATTGGACCAGATGATTTCATATAAAATACGCTAAAATAAAACATTACAATCCAGTTAGAGTAGGGGGGAAACAGAAATATCACTTCTGCCAAATCTATAAAGAACATTCCATTACCACTGAACCATTTTATTAATCTTAACACAAATTAATGTTAGGTAAACACAGTAATACTGTCTACTAAGCAGTCTGGTAAAGTATGGGTATCAGCCTGGGCAAAGAAACAGTAGATTAGCTTCCAATTTACCACAAAAAGTGTTTAAAACAATTTTTAAAAAATTATTTATGGGACCAAATACTTTTAAGTGTTTCCTAAATTACATCAAGACAAATGTGTTTGCTGGACAGAACACTAATACTAGGTAAAAAAATATTCTTAGTGTACTTTTAAAAGAGTATTTTAATTGCCATCTTGAACTAGGAATTAGATCAGACATATTCCTTAGAATATAACAGATTGATAAAATGCAACAATTTTCTACCATTAGTAAAGATAACAAGGCTTCAAAATAATTCCCACATTTACTGAATCCTCATCATATACAGGAACGCCTTGCCAGGCAATATGAGAAGTACAAAGACAGTGAAAACATGACTCCAATATTCAAAACAGTCCTTTCTGCAAATTTCGATCCTCTCCTCAAAAAAATGACCCCCTGCCCCGAACACAGACATATACATTCTTCAGGTTGAAAACCCATTATATTAAGAATGCCTTCTTACAGGAATTCTTATTTTCACAGCAATGTAGCTTGATAAATTCCTCACCATGCATATACAAGTTCAGCTACAAATGCCCCACCTCCACCCACCTTACACATCCTTCTGAGGAACAGTGTACCCTAGAGAAGTCAAAGCTAAAGCTTAATCAAGGATGGCATGAGATAAAGGCTATAAATCTTCCCAAAGGGGCAAGCCTTTCAAATAGACCAGAAAGTGCTACTTGAACTAAAAACAACTCTATGATCGAAGAGTTTTCTGTTTCCAATTATTATGTTCAAATACAGAAAGAACTCTGAAACTTCTGCTTAAATTATTTAATGAACAATTAAGTATAGTCTGGTAGGGCCCATAACTTTTAAGATAATTCAATGCAGTTTTATTTTATTTAGGACTGACCATGCCCACACCATCTCCTTTCACTTCATAGCATTTCTGTATGAAGGCAACGACCTTTCCCTTCAGACCTATCAAAGCCCTTGACTATTCTCAGGTATACATAGCATCAAGGCACCTTTTATAGTCTTTAGTTCTAATCTAAAAATATTATCTACTTACAAATTTTTTCGTATTACATAAAAAATGTTCCAAACACTTCCAAAAACAACCCAAGAGTCTGATCAATTTAGCTGAAAAAGCAAAGAGGAAGATCTGTACAATTTATGTGTATATACGTGTATGCATGTATGTAGGTGTTTTGTACTATATGTGTTCATGTTTATTTCTTATTTCTCAAAGACAGAGATGAGGTAATCTAAAGCTAAGCACCAAATAACTTCCTTCTTTTGCTTGGAAGAAGGGGAGATCTTCAAATCGCTTTATTGTTTTTAGCTAACTCACCATATAGCTGAAGTCTAGAAGAATCTCATCTTAGAAATTCTTAAGATTTCCTCTCTAATGTCTCTGAGAGATTTCTGTAATTAGAAGTTAATGAGCACTGGGGGGTGGGGTGCAGACTACATAGCACAACAAAATCAGCAGACTGTACTTTGGAACTATAATGTACAATAATATCACCAATTCTGCTTTCATTAAGTGCTTTTTAAAAATATAACCAGAACTTACAATGTTGAAATGCATGGTATGTGAAATTATGTCTCAATAAAGCCGATATACACAAACACAACTAGGATTTCTATTTGACCTAATACAAAATTATCAAAAACACTTAATTAGTCCCTCCTACTCCATGCTCTGCATTAAACTACAAACGGGCATACTGCCCATTCCCCAGCATGGCAGACATACAGAAGATGAGGAGAACAGACTATTCTCAGTTTTTGACAGCACGAAATTCTCCAAACTTCCCAGAGCATGAAAAACACACATCACTTAAATATAGGTAAAAAATAATATCTAAAAGAAAATTATTTTATTATCTAGTGTTTGGGGAATACGTAATTTCATTCTTTTCATTAAGAATTGCACATTTTCAGCTACAAAGATTAGTAAATTACAAATCAAATTTCATGAAAATGTCACTGAACTGTCCCAATTTTTGCTACGTCTTTATTGCACACTGCTCAAAGAGAACTTCTGAAAGTTTAGACATTACTTCATAGACACGTTTTTGTTGTAGACGTGGTTGGTTCAACAGGATTTGGCCCATACGCATATAATTTAAAGTTTTAGCCACCGCATGTTTTCTACTTAAAGTGAAGTGCAGGGAAAAAGCATCATAATACATGCCCAAAAAAAAAAAAAAAAAAAAAAACAAACAAAAAAAAAAAACCTTACAATATCTGAGTTCTTCACATAATTACACTTTGAGCACCTTTTAATGTCAGGGGATAAAAAGAACGTAAGAATAAGGTAGAAGAGTTGGTAGACAGGGAAAGACAAATAAATGCAAGTGTTAAAATCTCACTTTATGGGAGAAAGGCCAGGAAAAAATGAAAAGTTCCAAGAGAAGATAATCAACATATACATGTTTTCTAGGTTACTGACATCTCACAATGCCTCCAAGAGTAACTGAAGCATTTTTTTTTTTTTTTTTTTTTTTTGAGACAGAGTCTTGCTCTGTCACCCAGGCTGGAATGCAGTGACGCGATCTTAGCTCACTGCAACCTCCACCTTCCGAGTTCAAGCAATTCTCCTGTCTCAGCCTCCTGAGCAGCTGGGACTACTGGCGCACACCACCACACCTAGCTAATTTTTGTATTTTTAGTAGAGACGGGGTTTCACCATATTGATCAGGTTGATCTCGAACTCCTGACCTCAGGTGATCCACCCACCTCGGCCTCCCAAAGTGCTGGGATTACAGGCGTGAGCCACCACGCCCAGCCAAAGCATCTTTCTCTTAGTACTTTTTTTGAAAATTTAACAAACGTGTATTATGCCTTCTGTCCCTTTCTCCTTCATGAAGACAAATAAAAGGACAGCTGAAGCCACTCTGGGACGATTAATTTTATAAAACTAATCTGTAGTATCACCATACATTCAAAATTGAATGAAATGCACAATTAGCCTAATAGTGAAACATAATTACAGATAAAGTGTTAATACACTTCTTAAAACATGAAGGCCTAAGAATGAAAGCCACTATATTATATATTACTAGCTAAACCGTTAAAAAAAATAAAAAGCAAACATATATTATTCCGTAAGCTGGGCCAGGAGTACAGTTTACGTATTTTGAAGCCACAGGTCAATGACTCACTGGGGACTTCACAGCTACTATGGAACTCCACTGGTTAGAATTTAGAGCTGGCTCATAGATATTTAGAAAACAGACTTATTTTTTCCCCCATATATGGCACAGTTTTCAAAGTTTTGCCTTATTTTCCTTTATGACATAAAATTATAATGGTTATTAACTTTGAAAAGAATGCCAAATGGTAAAAAAAAAGCCAGGACTTACCTGAGCCCACATGGGCCAGCCCAACACTACCCTGGAGTTCTATGGTAGCTGTGACATCACAGCATGGTTTATGCTGTGGGGTCAGGGTGGACCTGGAGTCGGCTGGCACAATTTCAGGAACCCTTAAAGAGAAAAGTTAGTTTTAAGTGGTAATGTTCAGAATGTCCTTTACCATGGTCAGAGAAAGATGCAGATGTGGTTTTCCTCTAGCCAGAGTTTAACTCATTTAACCGGTTTTCATATTAAAAGGAAACTATACCACCCAGTAATACTTTTTTATATCATAAGCATTTGGCTATAGTTTAATCCTGAACCTGGAGATATTCACAGCAAACTCTTTCAAAACTAATGAGCTGTTTTTTAAATAAAATGACTTCAATATTTTTTAAAGTGTACCTTCAAGTAGGCAAAAGCACAGGAACAATCTCAGAAATAATTTGAGCAGGCCAAAACACCTCCTGGTTGTATTTTCCACATAATAATAGCAACAAGTTAAGATCCACTATTTCTATTCCTAGTAACAGTGCTACAAAACAACAGCCTATTCAAAAAATCAGATGAAAATCAAAATTATAAACAAATTCTTAAATTTAATCTATAACATATCAAGACTAGCTTCTATTCAACAATCTCACTGTCCATTACTAAAACATCCTCTTTAGAAAAATAAAAGATTCAATGAGAGAAGGAAGTCAAATAGTCACTAATTAAAGCTTTCTAAATTATCTGTAAGTTGTGACAAACTATGTCAAATATAGTCTATACTACTGAGCTCTTTTCTCCTTACATCTTTGATCAGAGTGTTAACAACCCACTCTTGTGAAAATATAAGTCCCCAAAGTCATGAAAAAATACCTAACCTAACAGATAACTTCGTAAGAAAGAAGATCCTGCCAAGCAGGAAGAATTGCTGCTGAAAGCAACATGGCAGGACTTAAAGGAAACATGCCACAAAGTTATCTTTGGGACAAGTGATCAGAGATGGGGACAAATGTTAACAGGGCTGAAACAGATGAACATGAGTTCACATCATGAGTCACTTAAAACATTACTGAAAATATTCAACTGAAAGGAAATTACGGTTCTTAAAAATCTTAGGTTCCAGCTGGGCTCAGTGGCTCACGCCTGTAATCCTAGCACTTTGGGAGGCCGAGGTGGGTGGAACACCTGAGGTCAGGAGTTCAAGACCAGTCTGGCCAACATGGTGAAACCCTGTCTCTACTCAAAATACAAAAAAAAATTAGCCGGGCGTGGGGGCGTGCGCCTGTCATCTCAGCTACTCGGGAGGCTGAGGCAGGAGAATCGCTTGAACCCAGGTGGCGGAGGTTGCAGTGAGCCGAGATTGCGCCACTGCACTCCAGCCTGGACAACAAAGAGCGAAACTCTGTCTAAAAAAAAAAAACAAAAAACAAAACAAAAACTCTTAGGTTCCAAAAGTAGATTTTGAAACTCATAAAATAGTGTATGCCAAAACCACATTCACCACTGAAATCACATCCAAAGGTTTTTCTGACTTCAAAATAAAAATTTCAATTGCCACACTGCCAAGTTACCCTGGCTGAATTTGAAACTAAATTTTAGATTTTTATAATTACACTATATCTCAGGTAGGCCGAGAGAAACTGAATAGTCTAGCCCACCTTTTTTTTACTAGAGGGTAAATGAACATTTTAAAAGTGGAAATGGGAGGCTGGGTGCAGTGGTTCACACCTATAATCTCAGCACTTTGGGAGGCCAAGGCAGGAGAATCGCTTAGAGCCCAGGATTTCAAGACCAGCCTGGGCAAGATGGTAAGATCTCATCTTTACAAAAATTTTTTAAAATTAGTCAGGCATAGTGACGCATGCCTGTAGTCCCAGCTACTTGTGAGGATCACCTGAGCCCAGGAATTCGAGGCTGCAATGAGCTATGATCACGCCATTGCACTCCAACCTGGGTAACAGAGTGAGACCCTGTCTCTGTTTAAAAAACGAAGCAGGGGCAAGGAAGAAAGGATAAAAGGAAAAACTTTCATAATTTATTATAACTTTATACTGTTCATATTATATACATTTAATTCTTCTAGACAAAAGTAGACAGAATTAAGACAGAAAATCATCAAATTGGAAGAAATGTTCAAAAGTAACCCAGTCAATCTTACTAAGGTCTCCAATTAGAAACACTAAACAAGAAAGCTCCTATAATTTGCCACTGAAAAAGAAAGTTCATGGCTTCTGTAGACACTCACAGCCCCACAAGCATCCATCCCCAAAAGTTTCAGACCCCATGTATCCAATAATCCATCAGGCATCCTCACCACAAAACCTCTTAAAAAACCTAAACTTTCCCTCTCCTATGTCCAGGAAAAATGATACTGTTAGCCAACCCAGATGTCCAAACCAAAAATCTGGCTTTCTAAACTCCTCCTCATCTCAGCCCAGTATCAATTCTTCCAAGTTTTGCCAATTCTACTTCAGTCTTTTTCAAATAAATCTCCCTTTCCCCATCTCCACTGACTCTACCCCAGCTATACCTGGCTATACCTAAGTTGCTATCATTTACTCTACTGGTCTGCCATCTCAAGTGTTGCTCCCTCTACACTAGGGTGAGTGTGGTCTTCTTAAACTACAAATTTAATTACGGCATTCCCTTTTCAAAAGTTGACCACTAGGCTGGGCGCAGTGGCTCACACCTGTAATCTGAGCACTTTGGAAGCCCAAGGAGGGCAGACTGCTTGAGCTCAGCAGTTCAAGACCAGCCTGGGAGAAACCCAATCTCCACAAAAAATTTAAAGAATAAGCCAGGCGTGCTGGCATGCACCTGTAGTCCCAGCTACTTGGGAGACTGAGGTGAGAGGATCCCTTGAGCCCAAGAAGGTTGAGGCTGCAGTGAGCCGTGATCATGTCACTGCACTCCACCCAGCCTGGGTGACAAAGTGAGATCTCATCTCAGGGGGAAAAAAAAAAAAAGTTTACCACTGCCCTCAGGTTAACAGCTAAATTCCTTAACCAGGTTAAGGAATTAACCTATTTAACCAGGTTAAATAGTCCCAATATTCCCTACAGGTTCTCTCTCACAGTCCTCATTCTACACTCCAACCAACTGACTTCTCTCGGGTTATTTGACATGCCTTGGTCTCTCCACCCTGGATTTTTAACACATAAAATTCTCACTAATAGAAACACTATTCCTTCTTCTCTTTCAAGTTTCAGCTTAGATGTCACCAAAAGTCCTCTCCAAATCTCCTAATGAGATTAGGTTCTATGCTCCTTCTAGGACCCTGTACTTCCTCTGCTGAGCTATCCTGGCTTGCTAAATTCTATTTGCCCTATAAACTCTTTGAGAGACATGACTTCTTTCAAAGTGCTTGGGAGC
The DNA here is from genome assembly GCF_000001405.40 of Homo sapiens. Lineage (NCBI taxonomy): Eukaryota > Metazoa > Chordata > Mammalia > Primates > Hominidae > Homo > Homo sapiens. The sequence continues at coordinate 124,959,054 of NC_000010.11, read as the reverse complement.
ACACTCAGGGAGTACCTGAATGCATGAATGAATGAACAAAGAAAAGGTAAAAGCTAAGACAATTTTTCAAAGTAACTGAGGCCAGGTGCCAAGGCTCGCCGCTGTAATCCCAGCAATTTGGGGAGGCCGAGGCCAAAAATGATTTTATGTTGCCCAGACTGGGACTGGAGATGTGTATTTTTCATATAGATTTCATGTAACTTGATAAAATCACCAAAGAAAGTGAACGAAAGTGAACAAAAGACATGAATCAACAACTCACAGAAAAAAATACAAATGATTAATAAAATGAGACAGCATGCCATTCTTAACAACAAACATCAGCAAAGACAGCTCCACAGGGACTCCCAAACTGTTGCTAATAAAGAACAGGTTAATTTAAGGTGCAGCAATTCAATGTCATATTACACATTCATTTTTAAAAGGTAACATGTTGATTCAAAATATAAAGTTCAATGAAAAAGGATATACAATATAATCTCAACTATGTAAAAGTAAATAAATGCAAAAAAAAAGACTGAAAATACACAAAAAATCTGACAGACTTCCTCTAGGCAGTGAGATTACAAACTATTTTTATTTTTTCATAGCTTTTCTTATCTCTGAAATAGTCTACAATGCATATAGTCTGCTTTTCTTTGAGATGGAGCCTTGCTCTGTCGCTTAGACTAGAATGCAATGACTGATCATAGCTCCCTGCAGCATCAAACTCTTGCCTCAAGCAATCCTCCCACCTCAGCCTCACATACCTGGGACTACAGGCACCCTGCCACCACACCCAGCTAAGTTTTTTATTTTTAATAGAGAAGAGGTCCCGCTACGTTGCACATGCTAGTCGCAAGTTGTCTGCCTTTATTATTCAAAAATGAACTAAACTATCAAAGATCGTTACAAGAAGTCAGTACAAATGTCTAAATTTGGTGAAAAAGAAATAATATATTTTCATCAACTGAGGAAAGGATAAACAAAATGTGGTATACACATACAATGAAATATTATTCAGTCTCAAAAAGGAAGGAAATTCTGGCTAGGCGCAGTGGCTCACGCCTGTAATCCCAACACTTTGGGAGGCCGAGGCAGGTGGATCACTTGAGGCCAGGAGTTCGAGACCAGCCTGGCCAACATGGTGAAACCCCCGACTCTATTAAAAATACAAAAATTAGACACACATGGTGGCACACACGCCTATAGTCCCAGCTACTTGGGAGGCTGAAGCAGGAGAATCCCTTGAACCTGGGAGGCAGAGGGTGCAGCAAGCGCAGATTGCACCACAGCACTCCAGCCTGGGCAACAGAGCGAAACTTCCTCTCGAAAAAAAAAAAAGGAAGGAAATTCTGACCCAGATCACAACACAGATGAACCTTAAAGACATTATACTAAGTGAAATAAGCAAAAGGACAGATACTGTATGATTCCATTCATGAGGTTATTACGACAGTCAAATTGATTGACAGGAAGTAGAATGACAGTTGTCAGGGGCTGGAGGAAGGGGGAATGGAGCTATTTAATGGATACAGAGTTTCAGTTTTCCAAGATGTAAAAAAGCTCTAGAGAGAATGGTAGAAATGGTTACACAACAATAAGAATGTACCCAATGCTAATAATATACACTTAATGAGTAAAATGGTATAAATTTTATCTTACGTATATTTTACCTCAAAATAAATTGCAAAAAAAAGGAACAATGATACAAGGACATTATTCAGAGGTATCGGAGGTGCTGCCTCAAATAATATCACCTATATAGTATTCCTCCCTCCTCTAAAAAAGATAAATGTTTAAACTGAATCTAATCATAAGGAAATCCACAAATCTAAATTGAAGATCATTCTGCAAAAGTGGAATCTTCAAAAATGTCAATCATGAAATAAAAAAAAAAAAACAGGTGCTGTTCTAGATTAGAGAAGACTGAAGAGACAAAACTACACACAATGTATAATCCTTAACTGAACAAGGTGGGGCAACAGCAATTACTGAAACTATTGGTGAAACTAAATATAGACTTTCAGTATTAAATTTCTTGGATAATTATACTGTGTGGTTGTGTAGGAAAAAATGTCCTTGTTCTTAGGAAACACATGCTGAAATATTTAGGGGTAAAGTGTCATGATGTCTTCAGCTAACTCTCAAACAGTTCAGAGAATACACACGAGAAAGACATACAGAGACACCAAATACAGCAAAGAACTGGAAAATCTAGGTCAAAGGCATGTGGTGTTCAATATATTACACTTGTAACCTTTATACAGGTTTTGAAATTTCTCATTATAAAATAATGACAGGGGCCAGGCATGGTGGTTCATGCCTGTAATCCAAGCACTTTGGGATGCCAAGGCAGGTGGATCACTTGAGGTCAGGAGTTCGAGACCAGCCTAGCCAACATGGTGAAACCCCGCCATTACTAAAAAACACAAATATGAGCTGGGCGTGGTGGCGAGCTTGCCTATAGTCCCAGCTACTTGGGAGGCTGAGGCACAAGAATCGCTGGAGCCTGGGAGGCAGAGATTGCAGTGAGCCCAGATAGCACCACTGCACTCCAGCCTGGGCGACAGAGCAAGACTCCGTCTCAAAAAAATAAAAATAAATAAAAGTAAAATAAAAGAATGACAGGGAAAATAGTGGTTGTCTATGCACAGCAGGACTGGAGGTAGAGAGAAGAAGAAACTATTGCATTTCTTTATATTTGCATTTCTGTGCTGCCTGGGTTTTTTTAAACCGTGTGCCTAGTTTAACGCAACTTTTTAAAGTTAGTTTAGATCCCAACAATTCTCTAGAGTCAAAACACATCCTTTTATACTTGATATTTAAAGGATACATCTGGATTTCATATTTCAATGTGTTCGTTTAATATAGTACTTTCTTTTTTAAATGAAAGCCGTTACTGAATCAATGCTGCATATTCAAATGTCAGTTATCACATAATCAAGAATCACGCGACATAGTCCCTTTCTCAGCATAAAAAGGCACATTACTAGTTGGCAACCCTGTGTAATCAATCATTTCTGAAAGCCGAGAACTACGTCTCAGACATACTAAAGGCAACCAAGAAGAATACTGGCGCTTTATTTCTGCCATCACCGCCCATTTGCCTTAATAGAAACATTCATTCCTGGAAGCTTTCTTTTTATCACAGGTGTCAGGAAGTACTTTCAAATCCCGGACCAAACGGGCCAGCATCATTTAATAGTAGAAAGGGAAGAGGTGAAAAGTGTGAGTGTGCACACAGGCATGTGTGTTCCCTACAGATGAGAATATTTTATGTTGCTGGAAATTCTCACAATTCACTTAAAAATCATGACATAAAATGTTATTTTATATCCAGTGTTCCAAGATCAAAACAGGAAATCCTTAAAAACTTGAAAAACAAAAACTACCTGAAGATAATACTTATTTCATGTTGCTAAAAATAACTCTATTACCTATATGAACTACCTTGGACAGGAAGTAAACCCACAATCACAAACGTTTGTGGAGTGAAATGATCACAGTCTTCATAGCTACACACGCATCACACTTAAGAGTATCACGCAAAGTTAGCCAAGGACTACAAAGCATTGCCAGTACTCTAGCACTCACTTTCCTTTTACGGATGCAGGCCAAAAGACGCTACAGAAGTCTGTGTACATTTTGGATCCTATTAAAAGCTTTTAATGTGTCCAGGCATGGTAGCTCATGCCTGTAATCACAGCTACTAGGGAAGCTGAGGCAGGAGGATCACTTGAACCCAGGAGGTGGAGGTTGCAGTGAGCCGAGATTATACCACTGCACTCTAGCCTGCGCAACACAGTAAGACCCTGTTTCAAAAACAAACAAAAAAAAAACAAAAAAAAACCTTTTAATGTAACATTTTTAACTCGAACCATTTTTGTTTTGTCTTTAATAAAAGGACAATTAGGTGGGTTTTGGTTGTTCGTTTTTGTTTGTTTTTTTGAGACAGAGTCTCCGTGGCCCAGGCTGGAGTGCAGTGGCGCAATCTCGGCTCACTGCAAGCTCCACCTCCCGGGTTCACGCCATTCTCCTGCCTCGGCCTCCAGAGTAGCTGGGACTACGGGCGCCTGCCACCACGCCCGGCTAATTTTTTGTATTTTTAGTAGAGATGGGGTTTCACCATGTTAGCCAGGATGGTCTCGATCTCCTGACCTCGTGATCTGCCCACCTCGGCCTCCCAAAGTGCTGGGATTACAGGCGTGAGAAACCGTGCCCGGCCAATTAGACGGTTTTAAAGTTCAAAACTATTAATAAGATGCAAGACCTGTTTACTGGTTCTGCCTCCATTCATATGTAAAACAATGTATTAAGTAAAAAGGGGCCAGGTACTGTGACTCACGCCTGTAATCCCAGCACTCTGGGAGGCCAAGGTGGGCTGATTACCTGAGGTCAGGAGTTCGAGACCAGCCTGGCCAACATGGTGAAACCCCATCTCTACTAAAAATACAAAAATTAGACGGGCATGGTGGCACACACCTGTAATCCCAGCTACTAGGGAAGCTGAGGCAGGAGGATTGTGTGAACCCAGAAGGTAGAGGTTGCAGTGAGCTGAGGTTACACCACTACACTCCAGCCTGGACAACAGAGCAAGACCCTGTTTCCAAAAAAAAAAAAAAAAAACTTTTAATGTACCATTTTTAACTCAAACCATTTTTGTGTTGTTGTCTTTAATAAAAGGGCAATTAGATGGTTTTAAATGTTCAAAACTATTAATATGATGCAAGACCTGTTTACTGGTTCTGCCTCCATTCATACGTAAAACAATGTATTAAGAAAAAAGGGGCCAGGCACCGTGGCTCACGCCTGTAATCCCAGAGCTTTGGGAGGCTGAATCGGGCTGATCACTTGACCCCATGAGTTTGAGACCAGCCTGGGCAACATGGTGAAACCCCGCCTCTACAAAAAAAAAAAAAAAAAAAAAAAAAACAGGAATTAGCTGGGGATGGTGGTGCACTATTCTGGAACCAGCTACTCAGGAGGCTGAAAGTGGGAGAATCACTTGAGCCTGGGCATTCGAGGCTGCAGTGAGCTGTGATCAACGCCACTGCACTCCAGCCTGGGCAACAGAGCAAAATCCTGTCTCCAGAAAAAAAAGAAAAGAAAGAGAAAAGAAAAAAAAAAAGGACACTAAATCAGAAGAGTATCTTTCAGTAGAACACTAGTTTGGCATCAGCATACAATCAGAGTTCATAACCCAGCACTTAAAAAGTAGCCATAACTGTGAACAACTTCACGAGTTTCCTCTCTAAACTCACAGATGTTGATCTCAAAAAATGACATATTAGAACACAGATCTGCAACTGAGCTATCAACACAGAAGTAATGATGACTGCAAAGCAATCCACAGAACAGGAAAAGTTCTAAACACTGAAGGACTGTCCAAACACCTTTGGTATACCAAGCCAAAAACAGGCCAACATGAGCAGAGCAAACAGAACACACACTACAGAAACACCGCACACAAAACGTCAAGTCCAAATAATGTAACCTAACCATGGAATGCTGTAAAATATTAGCAAGTAGCAGATTACCCTGGGCCACAGCAATCAGCTTCATACAGGCATATTTATTTCGCTGACCTGAAAAAAGGCAGGGCTGAAAACATTAATATTCCCAGGCATCAAACATAATTCAAAAGCTCCAGTAATAACCCCCAAACATATCCAGCAGAAAGAAACCCGTTACCATTTGTGTCTTGGAAAGGACAGCTACTTCCCATACTAGTCAGTCCCTCTGTACCTCAACTTCTTTCATTATTAACAATGGCTCTGACCTCCTCTAGGAACTGGTGAAAATTAAGTAAAATTTTTCTGAAATTGTCAAATTAAGGTATTATTTGTTGGCTGGACACAGTGGCTCACGCCTGTAATCCCAGCACTTTGGGAGGCCAAGGCAGGAGGCAAGGTCAGGAATTTGAGACCAGCCTGGCCAATATGGTGAAACCCTGTCTCTACTTAAAAAAAAAAAAAAAAAAATTAGCCAGGCACAGTGGTGTGCACCTGTAATCCCAGCTACTTGGGAGGCTGAGGCAGGAGAATTACTTGAACCTGGGAGGCAGAGGTTGCAGTCAGCCGAGATCACGCCACTGCACTCCAGGCTGGGTGACAGAGCAAGACTCCATCTCAAAATAAAATTTAAAAAAATACTATTTGTTTAGGGCTGGGCGTGGTGGCTCACGCCTGTAATCCCAGCACTTTGGGAAGCCAAGGTGGACAGATCACCTGAGGTTAGGAGTTCGAGACTAGCCTGGCCAACATGGTGAAACCCGTCTCTACTAAAAATACAAAAATTAGCTGGGAATGTTGGCGGGCGCCTATAATTCCAGCTACTTGAGAGGTTGAGGCAGGAGAATCACTTGAACTCAGGAGGCAGAGGATGCAGTGAGCCAAGACCACGCCATTACACTCCAGCCTAGGCAACAAGAGCGAAAACTCCATCTCCAAAAAAAAAAAGATATTATTTGTTTTTAAAAAAGCTATTTGTATTAATTTCTTATTGCTGCTCAAACAATGATTACAACCTTAGTGACTTAAAACAACACAAACTTTCTGTCTTAGAATTCAGGAGGTCAGAAGTTCAGCAAGGCTCTCACTGAGCTAAAATCAAGGTGTTGGGAAGGCTGTGCTCCTTCATGAGGCTCTAGAAAAGCCTTGCCTTTTCTCCTAGAGGCTGCTGGCATTCCTTGCCTCAGGGCCCTGCAACTCTCTCAAGCCTCCGCTTCTCTTCTCATGGTCCCATCTATAATCTTCACTCTCCTGTCTCCCGCTGTGATTTACAAGGACGCTTGTGATTACACCACCCACCCAGATAACCCTGCCATTTAAGCAACCTTTAATCACTTCTGTAAAATCTCTTTTGCCACGTAAGGTGGCATACTCACAAATCCTGGGGACTGGGACGCACGCATGGGGAGGTGGGGTGTGGACATTATCTTGCCTGCCACTCTATTTATATTGGTCATGCAAATCACCCAAAAAGCCCAAAGAGGGGGTAGAGGGAGATGAACCTATAAGGAAGTCAATGGGCAAGTTAAAAATGTAAATTTGGACATTATAACTTATTTCATCAATACTGTTTTTATTTTTTTGTTTTTATTTATTTATTTATTTTGAGACAGAGTTTCACTTTGTTGCCCGGGCTGGAGTGCGGTGGCATGATCTCAGCTCACTGCAACCTCCGCCTCCCAGGTCCAAGAGATTCTTCTGCCTCAGCCTCCCAAGTAGCTGGGATTACAGATGCCCGCCACCACACCCAGCTAATTTTTGTATTTTCAGTAGAGACGAGGTTTCACCATGTTGGCCAGGCTGGTCTTGAACTCCTGACCTCAAGTGATCCGACCGCCCCGCTCTCCCAAAGTGCTGGGATTACAGGCATGAGCCACCGCGACCAGCAGATGGTGTGTTTTTAAAAACACCAAATGTTTTGTGCCTTCAGGTAAGTCATCAATAAAATATCCTTGTGAAAGAAATAATTTTTAAAGCTAAGGAGTAATGAACTAGAGAATAGAAGCCTCTTCTATTTTTTTCTTCACAATCGTTTGTATGCCCTGAGTTTTCTCTCAAGTTAAAAAGTCACCCCAAAGATGTCTTAAATGGGCAAAATCACCAGTGTCCAATGCAAGGATTTCCTTTTCCGTTTTGACATGGTAATTTTCTTGGTAATATAAATCACTTTAAAATCATTCCAGTTCAAAGGAATATAATCTCTCAAAAACTAAATGACTTTTCCTTCACAGAAGTTAATTTAATTTTGTTTGGATTATTGTACAACCTCCCTTTCATTACACCAGGCACATATTTCAACAGTAGAAACTTTTTTTAAAAAAATCATTATAGAAGATTACATTTTGCAACGGTTTTGTTTCTCCAGAGAAAAAAGTAATACTAATTTAATAATTTACTTGAGAAAAACCTCTGACAAATTGTAAATGTCCATCTATATACGTAATTCTTAATATCAATACCAAAACAAATTGAAAAGAATATTTTAAAATGTAATACGCCTACACTTTGCTATTTTTTTTTTTAAACAAGGTGTGTAAGTAAAACCAAATGGACAAATACCTTCTGACATATTTAATACCATGCAAGTTTTAAGACATGGTCTTGCTCTGTCACCCAGGCTGCAATGCAGTGACACAATCATGGCCCGCTGCAGCCTGGGCGCAAGTGTTCCTCCCATCCCAGCCTCCTGCATAGGTGGGGACCACATGGGAACACCACCATGTCCTGCTAATTTTTTTTATTTTTTATAGAGACGAGGTCTCGCCAAGTTGCCCAGGTTGGTTTTAGAGTCCTAGGCTGAAACGATCCTCCCCTCTTCTCAACCTCCCACAGTGCTGGGATTACAGGACTGAGCCACCATATCCAGACCCATCCAGAAACTGTGGAAATATTTAGATATTTCTAGAGTTACACTTGGCACTCTAGAGTGGACAGACACCATATGACACGTTATACGGATTTCTGGCAAGAGGCCCAAATACAATTAGAATCCAAATGGATTTGCCTCAAACATTGATTCTCAACACAATTAAGTTATGAGAAAAGGGAAAATAATAGATTAAATATAACAATATTTTTGCAGACAACTAATATAAGAAAACGTTACCAATACATGTTCTATGTTTTAAAAATCATGTAAGACCAGGCACAGTGGCTCACACCTGTAATCCCAGCACTTTGGGAGACCGAGGCGGGCGGGCTGCTTGAACCCAGGAGTTTGAGACCAGCCTGGGCAACAAGGGGAAACCTCATCTCTACAAAAAATGCAAAATTAGCCAGGCGTGGTGGTGCACGTCTGTAGTCCCATCTACCTGGGTGGCTGAGGTAGGAGAATTGCTTGAGCCCAGGAGGCAGAGATTGAAGTGAGCCAAGATCACACACCACTGCACTCTAGCCTGGGAGACAGTGAGACCACCTTGCCTCAAAAAAGTTAATTAGTTAATTAATTAAAAAATAAAACAATAAAAATCATCTAAGTCTTTACAGACATGTCAAAATTCTGAAAGTGGGACAAATTTTGCTCAGAAACCATCAGAATTATAATCCTCATGATGCCACTTCATCCTGCTACTTGATAAAGAAGAGATTCTGGTTCAGTCCGTAAGTCATTGATTTTCAACAGGGAACACCACTGCATGTGCACTTCACGTCACCCCAAAACTTCAGAGCACCGGGAGGCATTACTGATTCACATATTCCCTATAGTGAAAGCTGTTCATACCACTGCTATTGGGCAACTGAGTATTTCAGCATAAAAATTCCAGTTTCAGGCCAGGTGGTGGCTCACAACTGCAGTCCCAGTACTTGAGTCCAGGAGTCTGAAACCAGCCTGGGCAACACAGAGAGACCCCATCTCTACAAATCATTTTTAAAATTGGCGGGGCATGGTGGTATACACCTGTACGCCCAGCTACTAGGGAAGCTGAGGTGGGAGGACTGCTTAAGCCCAGGAGGTCAAGGCTGCAGTGAGCTGTGATCGCACCACTGCACTCCAGCATGGGCAACAGAGCAAGATCCTGTCTCAAAAAAAAAAAAAAAATGTGTGTGTGTGTGTGTGTGTGTGTGTATACGTGAATATATATACATATATGTGTGTGTAAACATATATATATACATATGTGTGTAAACATATATATATACATATATATGTGTATACATAGTTTCAATGTGAACTTGTTACTTAAGTTTGATTTTTTTCCCCCTATACCTTCAACAGCCCCAACCAAATCTCAGCTCCTAAACTTAAGAAAGATGCAGCTATTGTTTAGGAAGTAAGATAAACGCCAACTAGGAAGCAGCAGGTCCAATGACAACTGAATAAAATATTTCAAGTAAAAATCTCATTTGATAGTTATAGCAAACACATAGAATGATTTTTTTGAAAAAACAAATATTGCCATGAGTGAAAGTAGGGAGGTAGAGAAATTAAACATAAACCTGACTTTAGACTTTTCATGTCCATAGACTGCCTGGTGATAAACTGAAGCCTCTATACCCTTTCCTGTAAGACCCTTTCATACCCACTACTTACCTCAGTCTTCCTGACAACCAGTGAGAAGTAAAACTGGCTCTCCTGGGTTGAGCCCCAACTATTGAAAAACATAGAGAGCTAGGAAGCAGGCAAAGAATCTAGAAATTCATAGGAGGAGTAGGATAAAGGTTTGCCCAGACCCTAGTTCCCAAAAATATTCATTCGTTCATTGATATAAAAATACCTGAGTGCCTAGTATGTATGTAGCAGGCACTGTTGTACATACTAAGATACAGCTTTGAACAAAACATAAAATTACTGGCCCTCAGGAAGCTTAAATTCTAGAGTAGAGAGAGACAAATAATAAACAAGATGATGAAGCATATTAGAAGTGTTATGAAGAAAATTAATGCTGTGGGGAGGGATAATGGACAGGGATGAAATTTTAGATACGGCAGTCATGGAGGACCTCATTGAGAAGGCAATACATGAGAAAAGAAGCGAAGGTGGAGAGCAATCCAGGCAGAGCAAACAGCAAGTAAAAGGCTTGAGGCTTATTTATAGGAAAAAAAAAAAAGGTGGCAAGAGTGGCTGGAATGAAATGGAAAAGGTGGAAAACAGATTAGTTCAGAGATAAACTATATTTGGCCCTTGAACAACATGGAGATTAGGGGGACCAATCTCCCACACAGTAGAAAATCCATGTATAACTTTTAACTCCCCCCAAAATACTGATAGCCTACTGTTGACCGGAAGCCTTACTAATAGCATAAACAGTCGAACACATATTTGTATATGTATTATACACTGTATTCTTGTAATACATTAGAGAAAAGAAAATGTTATTAAGAAAATCATAAGGAAGAGAAAATACATTTACCAACTCATTAAGTCAAAGTGGCTCATCATAAAGGTCTTCATCATCATCATCTTCACCTTGAGTAGGCTGAGGAGGGGGAGGAGGAAGAAGAGGCATTATTCTTGCTGTCTCAGGGGTGGCAGAGCTGGTAGAAAACTCACGTATAAGTGGACGCGCACAGTTCAGACCTGTGTTATTCAAGGGTCAAAAGTATATGGAGGGAAGCTGAAGTGTGCAATACAGAGCATGTAGATGGCCTTGTAGAGTTTTTGAGGGACTCTGGCTTTTAATCCAAGTAAAACAGGTGATCACTAGAGGGTTCTGAGAAGAATTAGCTCCTCTGATGACAGCAGATTGTACGGAGGGCAAAGGCAAGGGTAGATCATGGTTTGGACAAGAATAGTGAGAAGTGGTCAGAGTACAGATATATTTTGAAGGTAGAGCCAAAGAATCTTCTCAGAAATAGAAGTGGGGCATAAGAGAAAGAAGAATCAAGGAGGGCCAAGGCTTTTGGCACAAGCAATGGAATGAGAAATTTGCCATCAACCAAGATGAGAGCCTGGGAAAAAATAGATTTGAAGGAGAGATCAGTTCTGTTTTAGCATTACTGAGCTTGAAATGAGCTTGAGTTTTTAAACACTCCAGGAAAGATGCTGAATAGGCAGCTGGATATATGAGTCTAGGATTCAGGAATACACATTACAGCACAGATTTAATATGGTGTTCTTATCTAACCCTGTGTCTTTTTAAGGACGTATCTATGTACACAAATTGAAGTGCAATTTCATAAGGCAACTGATTCAATACAATAGCAGAACAAAAGCAGGGCATTAGGTAGTGCTGCTCTATTCTCTAGATACATTATTGTCTACCCAGTGAGAAAAGCAGTCTATGGTGAGTGCTCACATGACCGCCCTAAAAACCTGATGTACCTAAAAACATCTAGTACCAACTGCAGACATTCCAGAGACAACTGTACATTTACATTCACACCTCTACCTTTACCACCCTGGTTCTCAACCTCAGGCTCTACTACTGATATCAGGTTTTGGCACAGCTGTCCCCAACATCCTCTCACCACATAAGATAATATGACTTATGTGAAACTTAACACCCAACAGCTATGTCAATATGTTTGCTCGATACTGCTGATGTGTTAGTTGACATCTGCCCTCTCAACAACTGAATCTTCCTCATTCCTAGTTTATCAGCTACAAAGCTGACCTGAGGTTGCAATTTTTTTCCAACTTTAAATGGAAAAGTCTCACATTTTATACTCAGTGTATATACTACTTTAGAGATGTATTTTTTAAAAAACACTTAACATCAATAACCCAAAATACACTGTATCTAATGAAATCTGGGGAACATAAGGCAGGCAGAAAAGGGACGTAAAGATTAATTTTGAGTACATGTGAACTTCTGTTAGTCTTACTGCTCAAGCCTTTTTTTAAATTAACCCAACACAATGTAAACAAGTTTAAAAAAAGTATTTAACATATTTCAGTTATGTTTACACATCAGAATATGGCTATCCCATAGAAACAGGCCTATAATTATAACCTTACGTATAACAGTTCAGAATGACATTGTAGAGTTAATAGTAAAAATTATTTGCCAATAGGAAAGACATAGTCCACATTACCAAGAACCAAATACAATCAACCCTTGCCCCTAAGAATCTAGAAACTTTGCAGGTAGAAACAGCAACTTAATGACAAATCATTTTATAAATAAAACAACGTCAAATCCAATACTGGTCCTATTGGTAGAAGTTTTTGTTCCACTTTTCTTTTCTTTTTTTTTTTTTTTTTGAGACAGGGTTTTGCTCTTGTTGCCCAGGCTGCAGTGCAATGGTGCAGTCTTGGCTCACTGCAACCTCCACCTCCCAGGTTCAAGCGATTCTCCTGCCTCAGCCTCCCAGGTAGCTGGGACTACAGGCATGTGCCACCATGCCCGGCTAATTTTGTATTTTTAGTAGAGACGGGGTTTCTTCATGTTGGTCAGGCTGGTCTCGAACTCCCGACCTCAGGTGACCCGCCCAACTCAATCTCCCAAAGTGCTGGGATTAACAGACCTGAGCCACTGTGCCTGGCCTTGTTCCACTTTTAAATTGAACTCAGTGATTAAAATGCAAAGAGATGGGCCGGACCCAGTGGCTTACCCCTGTAATCCTGGCACTCTGGGAGGCTGAGGTGGGTGGATCACTTGAGCACAGGAATAAGATGCCAGCCTGGGTAACAAGGTAAAACCCCGTCTCTCCAAAAAAAATACAAAAATTTGCCAGGCGTGGTGGTATGCGCCTGTAGTCCCAGCTACCCAGGAGGCTGAGGTGGGCGGATGGCTTGAGCTTAGGAAGTCAAGGCTGCAGTGAGCCATGATTGCAGCACTGCACTCCAGCCTCGCGACCCTGTCTCAAAAAAATAAATAAAATGCAAAGAGGTACAAGGATGGCTAGTCGTCTAGTCAAAAGTAGTAAGGATATGTAGAAAAAGGCAGGACCAAGAAGAAATAATGTCATAAAGACAAACATGTTGATTCATCTAACTTGTGTGTTTCAAGGAAAGAAAATATTTCAAATCAGGTGTTCTTATCCTGAGATCCACTGACTTGAAGCAACCGGGGGTTGAAATGAAGCCCTGATTCCTAAAGGATTCTATGACCTTTAGTGAGGTTTAGTGACCTTCACTGTGAGGTTAAGAACCGTCACAATGAAGTCTAGTTCATTTTCATCTATAAACCTACATGTACTATAACACCACCTTGTAGTCCAAGTATTCATAGTACACTACTCCCTGAAAAAAAAAAAAAAAAAAAAAAAAATGATTTTAAGACTGTTCCAAAGGCATACAAGCAATTAAAAGACAATCACACCCAACATAAAAGCTCACAGATATGTAAAGATTCCATTTATATGAATATCCAGAATAGGTAAATCCACAGACACCAAAAGCAGACTGGCAGTTATCAAGGGTTAGCGGGTAGGGGTAGGGGGCAGTAACTGCTTAATGGGTACATAGTTTCCTTTTGGGATGATGAAAATGTTCTGGAACAACACAGAGGTAGTGGTTACACAATGTGAATGCACTAAATGCCAAATGAGTTGTTCACTTGCAAAACGGTGAATTTTTATGTTAAATCAATTTGATCTCTAAGGAAACTAATAACAAAACCCTTTTGTATCTCCTGTTTAAATTTTTTTAACTGACAATCATACTGTATGTTGCCCCTCAATTTGGAGCAGAAAAATCAGAGGAATAAAATGGGACAACACAGACAGAAGATAGCCCGGTATGTTTTCATCCCCTCATCCTCAGGATGGGAGGAAACTAGAACTAAGACTTGCTAAGTGCCTACTAAGTCTGGAGGTCAGAAGGATTCATCTGCTGGGATATTCTTTTTTGCCAGAACAAAGCTAAAATTGAAAACTCAGGATTTCAGCTGGGCACAGCAAATTATGCCTATAATCCCAACACTTTAGGAGGCTGAGGTGGGAGAATCGCTTGAGCCCAGGAGTTCAAGACCATCCTGGGCAACATAGGTAGACCCCCATCTTTACAAATAATAATTTAAAACAATAGCAGGGCATAGTGGTACATGCTAATGGGGAGTCCCAGCTACTGGGGAGGCTGAGATGGCAGGTCACTTGAACCCAGGAGGTTGAGGCTGCAGTGAGCCATGATTGCATCACTGCCCTCTAGCCTGGGTGACAGAGTGAGATCCCATCTTGGGGCGGGGGGGGGGGGGGAATGATATATATAATTTAATTTTAAAACTCACGATTTCTTGGAAATCAATTCCTAGGACTCACAGGTTCATACACCTAAACTTTCCATATTCTTGGGCTGTACCCAGAGGGATAAATAAAAGAAATTGGTACTGAGGGAAAACATACAGCTAAGGTATAGTTAAAGCTTAGCTATTGTTCCACACAAAGTTTAAACTTAGTAATCATTCAAAATTTCCCTCATAAGACCAAATGTCAAAGCAAGCAGCCCATCCAAATAATTTAATAAAAATCAAACATCTAATCTACTCAAAAAAAAAATACTGAAGACTCAAGTCACTGCTTTTGTGAATTACATCACAATTAACTCACAAGGTCAAGAACTGAAGAAAAACTCTGCTCTCCTATGTCTCTGTCCTTTAACAGCATTTCCTGAGGAAAATGTCACAATACATATGAACCATAACTTGAAGTATGGAATCAGCTGGCTACATGTAATCAGTTCCATAAAGTTTGCAAACATTTACTACATGACATTCATGTTAAATTAACACCAGTATTTTCAAGGTCAATATGTTTGTTCAACTTCTTGGAGTCACACATTTTTGTGGTATTTTTAACATCTGACTAAAGCTTCTATCATCACAAGATGCTCACACTGTTTACAAATACTTGGAAACAGCAGCTGGTGTTCCTCAGTTACATCTTGTTACAATAAACAGAGTAGCAGTTTTAAAGTCCAGGTATATATTTTACTGCTGATGTGTAAAAACTTTGCTTTAACTTAAACGTTTCCACTGCCCCCAGTAATGGAGAGACATGAACACAATTAATTGTGGGCAATTTAGTACAAAGTTACGACAAGATCACAAATACACAAATTTTTATGTATGCATACTTGAAAGTACAGCTATCGTGCTGAATGAATCAAATGCTAGTGACTTTGCGCATATATATATACACACACACACACACACTCACATTTTTGCATGTGCGTGGAGACACAGTCTCACTATGTTACCCAAGCTGGAGTGCAAGTGCTATTCACAGACCGATCATGGCATACTACAGCCTCAAACTCCTGGTTTCAAGCAAGTGGCTAAGACCACAAACGTGTGTCAGCGCACCCAGCTCTTTTCATATCATTTTTACTACCTTTTCCCATCCCACGCAAAAAATGCAGAATACAGAAACTTACCCACACAAGCATTGAGGAAGAGCCAATCAGTCTTTTTCATCCTGTTTTTAATTTGCTTTAGTTTTTTAAAGTCTACTTCAAGTTCCTCCTTGCTTCCCACAGCACCAGCCAATTCAATCCTCTGAAAATCCATTTTCACTTCAGAGTCCCGCTTCGTAGCAGGAGGTGATCTCCTTTGGCTATTACCACTACTGCAACTTCCCCTCCATCGAGCTCTGTCTTGCTCATTTATTATTGAAGAAGCCTCTTCAGTCTCTGCCAATTCTATTGCTTCAATGTTATTAGGTCTGGGATGATCACAAACAACACATCTTTTAGCCTTGGCCCAGTTTTCATATGTGCAAACAGAGCAAGTCCAGTGCTGTGTCCTAGTGTTCAGTTTATTTCTATCATTGTATTCCTCACAAGGATCAACAGAAAAAGCAACTGGTCTTGAGCCAGATCCTGAGGACTGAGGAGATTCTGTAGGACTCCTGGTCCTACGTTGGGATAAGCACTGGGTACATCTGATTGCTCTTGGCCAGTTCAAATATGTACACATGTGGCATGACCACTTATTTGCATTTTCCATGCTATACGAAGATTTCACCCTTGGTCTTGCACTAGAGTCTGGACATATCAAAGGACTACTTCCTCCTTCGGTGCTGGAAGGATCCCAATCTCTACCAACATCACTTGAACCACTTTTAAATGGATCTTCTGTAATAATTGTTCCACTAGGTCTTTGGGCACGACACATAGTACACTTGATTGCAGATGGCCAGTTTTCATACGTACAATATTCACAAGCCCACTTAATTCCACGTTCTGACATTGTGCACTTCTTGAAGTGAGCTGTGTCAGGCAGGAAGCTATAAATAATTAGGACATGGTTATTAAAATAACTACATTCCACCTCCAAAAATACGCTGCCCAAAAAGCAAGTCCTTCAACCTACAAAATATAAATTTCTCAAAAGATGCATGCAACATTTCGACATTGAATTATCCTAATTTTCTTTTTTAATTTCCATAGAAACACTGGAGATAAATTCTCAAAGAAAAAATCTTAGACCCTGGGATTTAATAAAACTGAACTTTGGAATGCAAAAGAGATAGGCAGGAGATATAACGAGGTTTGATCTAAGAAGGATGAGATTAACGGGAAGCCACTAATAGAAATGTTTAATTTCAGGGAGGCCATCACATCAATTTAGAAAAGTAACCAATAGTTTAAAGAGACAAAGGTAGAGGAAACAACACAAACTAAAAAATAGCTTAAACACATAACCATTCTCAAATTATGAACACAGATTATGATTCATGAATTCAGAAGATCAAGCAACGTCTATTTTATCATTCTCGCTAAGGGAGAAAAGCAACTTAAAATGCTAATTATCCACTGTTCTTAATTAGCACAGGTAGTAAAGAAACATGTTGAGAAGTAATGGCTACAATTAACAAAGTAACATTATGAAATAGGTAGTTCCTTGATAATCTGTAGCCTCAAAATCTAGTTCTATCTGGAGTAAAAAAAAGAAGACTGTACTGGGGAAAATTAAATCTGTGGAAGGTCACTGAAATAACCAGTAGCATAATCATTCCAATATAATTGTGAATGTTCATAATTAAAATATTTTAAATTTTGAATATTTAAAATATACTCAAAATCTAATTCATGGCCGGGGGCAGTAGCTCAAGCCTATAATCCCAGCATTTTGGGAGGCTGAGGCGGGTAGATCACAAGGTCAGGAGTTCAAGACCAGCCTGGCCAAGATGGTAAAGCCCCGTCTCTATAAAAATACAAAAATTAGCCGTGCATGGTGGTAGGTGCCTGTAATCCCAGCTACTCAGGAGGCTGAGGCAGAGAACTGCTTGAACCCGGCAGGCAGAGGTTGCAGTGAGCTAAGATCGCACCACTGCACTCTAGCCTGGGTGACAGAGTGAGACTCCATCCCCTGCCCCCCAAAAAATCCAATTCATATTTAAAAGATATTCACACTACTTAAAAGATTTCTAGGATTCAACAATGGGCTAACACTACACTATAATGAAGAAAGACTTCATAATTTAATGGCAACTAATTCATAAATGAAGCAACTTACATAACAAATTTAATTTTTTTTTTTTTAATGGCTTGAATTTAGACACTGGCCACTTTTCCTAAATACTTTTATCAACTCAGTATCATCCCAACACCTATTTTTCACCCGGAAAGAGAAAGAAATCCTAGGCAGAGTATAGAAGCTTTGCTCTCTCTTTCTCAGGGATTTTTCCTGAACCTAGAGGGTTAAATCTTTTGTTTGTTTGTTTTTTTGTTGTTGTTGTTTTCATTTTTGTTTTTTTGAGATGGAGTCTTGCTATGTTTTGCCCAGGCTGGAATGCAGTGGAGTGGTGCAATCTAAGCTCACTGCAACCTCCACCTCCCAGGTTCAAGCGATTCTCCTGCCTCAGCCTCCCAAGTAGCCGAGATTACAGGTGCATGCCACCATGCCCGGCTAATTTTTGTATTTTTAGTAGAGATAGGGTTTCAGCATCTTGGCCGGGCTTCTCTTGATGAACTCCTGACCTCGTGATCCACCCACCTCGACCTCCCAAAGTGCTAGGATTACAGGCATGAACCACCACGCCTGGCCTAAATCTTTCACTTTTGAAGTATACTGTATTATGTTCCTGCCTGCCAAGTCCATACACCATTTATAGTGTGAACTCTGCTAAGAAGAAAAAAAAATCACTATAAGAAAGTATACTACTTAATAGCTAAAATAAAAACCACACTTACTAAGATTTTAGTTCCCACGCTATAACCTCCACCTTGCACATGATTAGAATAAAAGTACGGTTTGCAAATCAGATCAAAGACAAGATTCCGTCTTCATGCTGGCTCAGAATTCTGACTTCCTCAGGAGATACTGCAAAACGTGATAAGTGGTTCTGTCTGACTGAATAGCTATTCCTGTAAAGGAGACCAAAACTGAATTTCACTTGAAGCCTGCTACTTTAGCTAAAAGATTTTTAAGGCTTTATTTTTATCAATTCTCTATTTTAACCCTACTCACTTATTTTAACAATGGACAACTATATTTAGAATTTTAATTTAACAAAACAATAAAATTGGCTAATCAACTGGGCTGGTCAGCCAAATTAAACATGGATGAGACATTTTTCTATATAACCTTAACCCTGTGCTGTGTACACAGTTCTAATATTACTATTAATTTGGCAGTGCTAAGTTAATTCCTACCTGTATTACTCTATTACTAAAAGGGAAAAGATGATAAAATCCAAAAAAGTAGAAAAAGCAAAATAATTGCTTATATTTAGCTATGAAACCACCTTCAGCAACTGCATTTTTTTCCCTGATCCAAGTAATATAAAATTATCTTGTTTAAATTTTTAAATTTAGTTTGTATAATGATTACTTACAAACTGATAGCAGCCCAAAAATGTGTGGAAGAGCAGAGAACTATAATGATATAACCATCCAGAAAGTAGACAATACAGATTTAATGGCAATTTTCATACTCTTTAGGCAGATTCTTTTAGTTTCTCGGGAATGAAATATAAGTTACTTGCTCATGCTACTGGAAATTAAAATGAGCATGTAGAAACTTATTAACAAGATAAATGCCATAATGAACATATATCCAGGGCTACTCTAAGTAATTTCAATATATCTTTTAAAATATTCACATTCAAAATCCATACTTGTTTTGATAAGTCTTACTATGTTTGTAGGTGCAACTAAACAGCCCGTAACCTTATGTTATCTTAGCTAATCTTCATGTAACTAATATGCTGGCACAATATATTTAAATGTCCAGGCTGATTTAAAAAACAAACAAAAAACTGTCATAAAAAATAATCACTGTCATAAATGCCTGGTAAAATAATGGACAGACAGCTGCCTAATTAGCCCACCAACCTCTGAAAATCCAGGTAACTAAGCAATACCAAAACCAAGCTCAAGAGTTTTGAGATGTGCCTTATATTAGATAATAAGCACAGTGGCTCAAGTCTTTAATCCCAGCACTTTGGGAGAATGAGGTGGGAGGATCACTTGAGTCCAGGATTCAAGACCAACCTGGGCAACACAGCAAGACTCCATCACTACAAAAAAGGAAAAAAAAAAAAAAACACGATTTTTGTTGTTGTTGAGACAGTCTCACTTTGTCACCCAAGCTGGAGTGCAGTGGCACAATCTTGGCTCACTGCAGCCTTCACTCCCAGGTTCAAGTGAATCTCCTGCCTCAGCCTCCAGAGTAGCTGGGACCACAGGCGCATCCCACCATGCCCAGCCAATTTTTTTATTTTTAGTAGAGACGGAGTTTCACTGTGTTGGCCAGGCTGGTCTCAAACTCCTGGCCTCAAGTGATCCACCTGCCTCAGCGTCCCAAAGAGCTGGCATTACAGGCGCGAGCCACTATGCCCGACCAAAAAAAAAACTTTTTTTTAATTAGCCAGGTGCAGTCGCCTGTGCCTATAGTCCCAGCTACTCAGGAGGCCAAGGAAGGAGTATCATTTGAGTACAGGAGTTCAAGACTACAGTGAGTTATGATTGTGCTACTGTGCTTCAGCCTGGGATGACAGAGCAAGGCTGTCTCAAGGAAAAAAAAAAAAAAACGTAATGATGTACAGTGTTCACTCTGAGAGAACTTGAAACATTGCAGGAATGTTGTTTAGTAACTGCAAGGTAAAATTCATTGAAGAGTGGCTAGGTGCTCACGCCTGTAATCCCAGCACAGGAGGCCTAGGTAGGTGGATTGCTTGAATCCAAGAGTTCGAGACCAGCCTGGGCAACATGGCAAAACCACATCTCTTCAAAAAATACAAAAATTAGCCCAGGGTGGTGGCACATGCCTGTAGTCCCAGCTACTCAGGAGGCTGAGGCAGGAGGATCGCTTCAGCCCAGGGGACTTGAGGCTGCAGTGAGCCATGATCACACCATTGCACTCAGAGTGAGACTTTGTCTCAAAAAAAAAAAAGAAAAGAAAAAATTCATTGAAGATTATCTGAGACAGCCATTTCTACCTGTGGTAATTAGTAAACAGCACTGAACAGTAAGGATAACATCAACTGAACTATGTGTTTTTTTGCAGTATTACAAAGAAATTAACAGAGTACACTTTTTCCAGATGTCAAAACATTCCAAAAAGTACATAAAATTATTTCCAAAGTAGCCAGCTCTAAAAGTTAATACTCTACCTTGAAATAAAACTTACCAAATATCACTTTAAGTATTAAATATATTCATACGCCCAAGTAAATTTAGTTTACAAGTTTAATTTTGCATGCAAAGCAGATTTGCAAATTCTATCCAAGGACTCAAACTTCAATTAATTGGTAAAATAAAACCACAATAAAATCAACATAATCTAGGCCTTCTTTAAGGAGAACGGGACAAAACTGCTACTCTTAAGACAAATATTCCTTGGTTCAAATGCAATACCAACAGTTCCCATCCTGTGGACCAAGGAGACCAGGAATCCATTTGTGCATCAAGCTCTGCCTGTAGAATGAATAATGTCTCTAAATATATCAACCATTTACTACTACTAAATTGACAAGTACTAAATTCGTAACTGTTTTTAATTATATACTTTCCAATTCAGATAATAAAAGTGCAGAAATATGGTATATGTACTAATAGCAGGCGGGGGAAAGGGACTTACATAATGGAACATTTTTTATACTGTCATGTTTAATATTTGTGAAGCATTACTAAACACTGTACAAGAATTATATTTATATTGAAGTCAATTCCTCAAAATTGTAGCTACACTACAAATTTCCCCAACCACCTACTAAACAATCATAGAGAACTGAAGAAATGAAATAATTCTCGGTGGGGCGCAATGGCTGATGCCTATAATCCCAGCACTTTGGGAGGCCGAGGCGGGTGGATCACTTGAGGTCAGGAGTTCAAGACCAGCCTGGTCAACATGGCGAAACCCCGTCTCTACCAAAAACACAAAACTTGCTGGGCGTGGTGGCAGGTGCCTATAATCCCAGCTACTCGGGAGGCTGAGGCAAGATAATCACTTGAACCCAGGAGGTGGAGGTTGCAGCGAGCCGAGACTGCAGCACTGCACTCCAGTCTGGGCAACAAGAGCGAAACTCCATCTCAAAAAAAAAAAAAAAAAAAATACACACAAATAATTCTCTTCAAGTGCAAACTCAGGAAACAAACTGAGATAAGCTCAATTGCCAGTAGTTTCAAATGATGAGAAGTTATACTACTCAGCTACTCAGGAGGCTGAGGCAGGAGAATTGCTTGAACCTGGGAGGTGTAGGTTGTAGTGAGCAGAGATTGCGCCACTGCACTCCAGCCCGGGCGGCCCGGCGAGACTCTGTCTCAAACAACAACAACAACAAAAAGCAGCCTTAAAGATTTTTATTAGCTTTATTAATACAAATTTATACTTACTAATATAAATAATTATTAGCTTATTAATATAAATCTGCGGAGATTTACAAATGCTCAGAGAACATCTTAGGGATATAAAGACGAAAGCTAAAACTAAAACGGATTTTCCAAGCATGCTAAATTTTCAGGCTCTTAAAATATTACAAAGCAATTTTGAACTATAAAATTTCTGTAAATAAAAAACTTCAAACTACTTAACTCTTAAGCCAAAGTATCGCACATACTCATCTCTTTTCTCATCAGTATATTCTTTCATCACTGTCTTCTTCGCAATAGTCAACAGGAAAAACAACCGGTCTAGACCAGGATCGTGAAGATCGATGATATGGTAAAACCCTTTATCTACAAATCTAACCTCATTTCAGGGCTTCACCAGGTTATCAAATCCTCCATTAAACCCCTTATTTTCTTCTCACAACAAACTCCTATCTTGACTTCTCCAGTTTCCATTAATGACACTATTAATACCTCTGCACCCAGCAGAGAACTCAGAATCACCTTAAATTCTGCCTTCTCCCCACAGATTCTTTCTAGTGGTTTCTATCTAATTACTGTCTTCTCATTCCCACTGCCATCAATCCTTTTCCAGTTCAGGTCAGAACTACCATAAAAGCCTTCTAAGCATCTTCCCTTTCTAAATCCATCCAGCTGACTGTTCCACAATTCTCTTTCTGAGGCTCTTCTGCAACAGTATAAACTCTCAACTCCTTCCTGTCACAAACACACACACCACTCACTCCCAAACATGCCACACACGCCCGACTCATGCATGTGTCACCACCACCCAACATACACATGAAGGTACTGCCTTAGATACAGAAGCACAATAGACACCCTCATTTATAATGAACTCTACCCATCCTTTAAGGCTCAGTTCAAGTCTCATCTTCATGAAGTTTTCAACTCACTCCAAGTACACTCCAAGCAACCATACTTTTATTGACATTTGGCACTTTATATTTCCTCTTGGGGCTAGTTTTTGGAACGCTAATTCATATATGTTTTTCCTATGTCACTCACATCCTTCTATTTCCATCCCTCCCTTCGATTTCCAGTCAAACAGCCAGGCTTTCAAAAACCTTTGTTCAGAGATTCCAGTGGCACGGAAGGTAGACCAGCACCTTGTGTTTAGTAAAACCCAAGAAGAGGCCATGTTGAATGACTTGATGAAAGAAAGGAGTAGACCTTGTGAGCAATCTCAGAAGAAATTCTAGAGAGGATGGAATCAACTCCATGGCAGCAACTGAACAGGCAGCAAGACCTCAGTAAAAAGTGTCTGCTAGATATAAACTAGGTGTCAAGCCACAGGCACTAGGGCCCACAGTTGGTGGCAGAGCCACAGAACCTGATGGAACCTTGTGGAAGGCAATGGAAGACAGTATCATAACCAATGCAGGCAAAATCTGAACCATATGACACCAGGCCTTCCAATAACATGAGGAGAGGGGACCCCAAGGATGACTGAGGTTGAATTTCTTGCCAAAGAAGTAGAAGTCAAATCAAGTTAATTTAAAGAAAGCAAATGTGGTACCTTCTTTCTATCTGAGTTTTTGGACTAAGATTCATGTTTGATACACTTGTTATGTCTTCCTATATCCTTGACCAGATTATAAACTGAGCAAAACCTATTACATGTTTTTCTCTCATTTCATAACACACCAGTTAGGTCCATACTTAAGTATACAACTACATCAACAAATAGCTAGAATATTACACAGCAAGCCATGACTTCAGCACCTTCACATTCTAGCCCCATTAAAAAATTTGTAACATGTAATTGAATCCACGAAATTATTAAACACTTTTGCCTCTGCAACTTCGGCATTTGAAATAAAAAGAACTCTTAGGCAAAATACAACAATCACTAAATTATTTGTTAAATGGCTTAGTCTGAAGCTCTCTGGTTCTATAATCCACAATTAAACATACTGTTCTCACATGGCTTCCAAGACATTCTCCTGGTTTTCCTCCAATCTCAGTAGCTTTTCTTCCTCAAACTTCTTTGTTGGCTTCCTTATCTTTCTGAATTAAAGAGCCAAGTGCCCCAAGCTTTGGTCCTCTTCTCTCTAACCTCTAACTACTTTGGGGATCTTAGACAATCCCTGGGCTTTAAATATCATCTACTTCATGATAATTTAAAAATTTGTATCTCCAAGTTGGATCTCTCCCCTAACTCAAGATTTGTAAAACCAGTTGCCCACCTGACATCTCAATTTGAAGGTTTAACAAGTTTCTCACACTTAACATGTCCAAAACTCAATTCGTAATCAGAATTTCCTATTTCTGAGCCTCAGTTTTCCCATCTACAAATTAAAGGGATTAGACTACTAAAAGCCGCAAAATTGTTCAATAAATGTTTGTTCCTTTCGTCACTGCTCTGAAAGTCTACCATCCAGAGCACTGTGGCAACCCATAAGCTGGTTAACTATTCAAATCTTGCTATGACAATGACACAAGTACAAAACTTTTGCAATCATTAAGTATCTTCTAAAAGTCCTAAATTAGTGTGAAATTGTATGTAAATAATCAATAATTAGATCTCAAAAATGAGCTGGCATTCCTATAAAAAGAGGTCACTATTATCTATGGCATCTGTATCAAATGAGTAGATCTGAACTAAACACACTGTACTCTTCCCAGGAATTTGTGGATAAGTTGGACAAGGTAAAATTAAATAACACCTGCCAGGGTGACCTTGGCCTTATCAGCACTATGCCTTAATTAACTGAGGTGATTACCCTCTACAACTACAACTAACTTCATTCCAACCAAACCTAAATCTTCAAAATGTAACGAATTTAAATGTTACATTTTAATCTGTCAAGGATACATTAGAAAAAACTGTAATAAAAGTTACAACTCTAATGGTCTTGTTTTCTTTTAAACCACTAGACAATTAGCAATCCACTGACTAGAATGAAAGAAGATCTTAAAGACAAAAAGTTAACTTACATTGTGTCAAATCTAGCATGAAACAATATTAATGCTCTTTCTGTTCATCTTGTCATCTCAGGAGGATTTCTAGCTCTTTACATACTTACTCTATCTGAACACTTCAGTTCCTCAATCGTAACAAGAAAGTGAGCGGGTGTAATACAGGTATGTCTTGAGCTTCAGCAGAACCTATCTTAGAGCATAGTTCCTTTACACAGTTTGAGACATCCCAGGTCAATCACGTACCTTAAATCACAATCCCAAACAAAACTAATGTAACAACCTATGACAACATTTACCAAAGGTTTACCATGCACTCAGAAATATGGAGAGATATAACTAGACAAAACACTGTCCCTGTGCTCAGAGAACCTGCAATCTAACTGGATGAAAGACCACAGTTTTCTTAAACATGTATGGAAATGGAACAATTAACTCCAAAAATACACAGCAATCCAGCATTTAAATAATAATAAAACAACTTTTGCAAGAACTATGAACATGCTACTTCATTCAGAATTTAATTTCTGTCAGCCAGGCACAGTGGCTCACGCCTGTAAACCCAGCACTTTGGGAGGCTGAGGCAGGTGGATCACGAGGTCAGGAGTTTGAGACCAGCCTGACCAACATGGTGAAACCCTGTCTCTATTAAAAATACGAAAAAATTAGCTGGGCATGGTGGCGCGCACCTGTAACCCCAGCTACTCAGGAGGCTGAGGCAGGAGAATCGCTTGAACCTGGGAGGTGGACGTTGCAGTGAGCCGAGATCGCGCCATTGCTCTCCAGCCTGGGCAACAAGAGCAAAATTCCATCTCAAAAAAAAAAAAAAAGAAAGAAAAGAAAGTAAACTGATTAAGCTGGACTTCACTGATTATTTAAAACTTCTGCTCTGTGAAAGACACTGTCAAGAGAATAAGAATACCAAAAACCAGAAAAAAAATTTGCAAAAGATAAGTGACTATTATCCAAAATACACGAAGAACTCTTAAAACTCAGTAAGAAAACCACTTAACTGAAAAATGGGCAAAAGATCTGAACAGACACCTCACCGAAGAATATATATAGGTGGTAAATAAGCATATGAAAAGATGTTGAACATCTTTTCAAATGCAGGGGGGTGGCTCGCGCCTATAATCCCAGCACTTTGGGAGGCCAAGGTGGGCTGATCACCTGAGGTCAGGAGTTCAAGACCAGCCTGGCCAACATGGTGAAACCCTGTCTCTACTAAAAATACAAAAATACACCATACATCATTAGGTAATTACAAATTAAAACAATTAGATACCACCACATACTTACTAGAATGGCTAAAATCCAAAACACTGACACTAACAAATGCTATCAAGAATGTGGAGCAACAGGAACTCTCATTCATTGCTGGTGGGAATTCAAAATCATACCTGTAATCCCAGCACTCTGGGAGGCCGAGGTGGGTGGATTACTTGAGGTCAGGAGTTCAAGACCAGCCTGGCCAACATGGTAAAACCCCATCTCTACTAAAATTATAAAAAACTAGCCAGGTGCGGTGGCGGGTACCTGTAGTTCCAGCTACTTGGGAGGCTGAAGCACAAGAATCACTTGAACCCAGGAGGCAGAGGTTGCAGTGAGCCAAGAACGCACCACTACACTCCAGCCTGGGCAACAGAGTGAGACTCCATCTCAAAAAAAAAAAAAAAAAAAAAAAAAATCTTTACACCCGTATAGTGTGGGAATTTTTTTCTAATTGCAAAAAGTTGGAAAGAACCAAGATGTCCTTCAGTGGGTGAATGGATAAACTGTGGTACATCCAGACAATGGAATATTATACAGCTCTAAAAACAAATGGGCTATAAAGCTACAGAAAGACATGGATGAACCTTAAATGCATACTACTAAGTGACAGACAACCTGAAACAGTTACATAATGTATGATTCCAACTATATGACATTCTAGAAAAGGCAAAACATGAAGACAGTAAAAAGATCAGGGGATTGCAAGAGTTAGAGGGAAGGGATGAATAGGAAGAGCACAGAGGAGTTTTAGAGCAGTGAAATCACTGTGTGCTATTATGATAGATACTTTTCATTATAAATTTGTCAAAGCCCATAGAATCTACAGAGTGAATCCTACTGTAAATTATGTACTTTGGGTGATTATGTGTCAATGTTGGTTCATTAATTGTTAACAAATATACCACTCTGTGGAAGGATGTAGACAGTGGGGGAAACATGGGGGCAGCAGGTGTATGGGAACTCTCTGTATTTTCTGCTCAATTTTGTTGTGAACTTAACACTGCTCTAAAAAATAAAGTATTTTTAGGCCAGGCGCAGTGGCTCACGCCTGTAATCCCAGCATTTTGGGAGGCTGAGGTGGGCAGATCACCAGAGATCAGGAGCTCAAGACCAGCCTGGTCAACATGGTGAAACCTTGTCTCTACCAAAAATACAAAAATTAGCCGGGAGTCGTGGTGGGCACCTGTAATCCCAGCTACTGGGGAGGCTGAGGCAGGAGAATCACTTGAACCTAGGAGGCAAAGGCTGCAGTGAGCCGAGACCACACTACTGCACTCCAGCCTGGGCAACAGAGCAAGACTCTGTCTCAAAAAATAATAATAACGGAGAGTATTTAAAATGACACAGGGCTGGAGCAGTAGGAACCACTGCTGTAATCCTAGCACCTTGGGAGGCCTAGGAGTTCAAGATCAGCCTGGGCAACATAGTGAGACTCCATCTCTACAAAAAATCGTTATAAAGTTAGCCCGGTATGGTGGCACACGCCTGTAGTCCCAGCTAGGCTGAGGTGAGAGGATCACTTGAGCCCGGAAGGTCAATGCTGCAGTGAGCTATGATCACACCACTGCACTACAGCCAAGAGAAAAAGCAAAATCTTGTCTCCAAAAAATACATTTATATCCTTAAGAGGGCATAAAAAGCCCTTCATGACTAACTGATTTTTGGTTTTTAACAGAGAGGGTCTTACTCTGTGGCCTAAGCTAGAGCAGCATGATCATGGCTCACTGCAACCTCGACCTCCCAGACTCAAGTGATCCTCCCACCTCAGCCTCCAGAGTAGCTGGGCCTACAGGCGCACACCATTACACCGAGCTATTTTTTAAATTTTTATTAGAGACAAGGTCTCATACATTGTCCAGGCTAATCTCGAACTCCAGGCCTCAATCTTCTCGACTCAGCCTTCCAAAGTGCTGGGTTTACAGGCATGAGCCACTGCACATAGCCATGATTAATCTTTTAAGTATCTTCTCAGCTACTCTTCCAAATATATACGTCAAGAATATCCTATAATATTTCCCTTTAATAATTTATTATCTTTCACTAAAGCATAGAAATGTACTTTACTATGGAAAAACCACTTTCATCTCTTGATATTTATACCTAGTTCTCTCACATATATGAAAATGTACCAGGTCAGGTACCGTGGCTCATGCCTGTAATCCCAGCACTTTGGGAGGCCAAGGCAGGCGGATCACCTAAGGTCAGGAGTTTGAGACCAGCCTGGCCAACATGGTGAAACCCTGTCTCTACTAAAAATACAAAAATTAGCTGGATATGGTGGTGGGTACCTATAATCCCAGCTACTCAGGAGGCTGAGGCAGGAGAATTGCTTGAACCCAGGAGGAGGAGGCTGCAGTGAGCCAAGGTTGCACCACTGCACTCCAGCCTGGGCGACAGAGTGAGAATCCATGAAAGAAAGAAAGACAGAAGGAAAGGAAGGAAGGAAATGTACTGCACTTTCAAAATGTGAGTTTGAGTCCCTCTCCCTCTCTTACATCTGAAATACTAGCCAAAGCCTTAGAACCCAAGCCTCACATCTGAAAAAATGGGGACCATAATGGCTTACCTATCTTTAAGTGGAGGGCTAAAACTGATCACTTCAAAACCCATTAACATCACGAACACTCGCCAGCTTGATGTAACATCAACTTAAGTTTTGTACGGAGCTTTAGGTAAAGAACAGTAACTTCATTGAATCCTCAGGTACCTTCCCTCTTAAAGTACCCCATATCTTTTTTTTTTTTTTTTTTTTGAGACAGAGTCTCGCTCTGTTGCCCAGGCTGGAGTGCGATGGCAGATCTCACCTCACTGCAACCTCTGCCTCCCAGGTTCAAGTGATTCTCCTGCCTCAGCCTCCTAAGTAGCTGGGACTACAGGCGTGTGCCACCAAACCCAGCTACTTTTTGTATTTTTGATAGAGACAGGGTTTCACTATGTTGGCCAGGCTGGTCTCGAACTCCTGACCTCATGATCCACCCGCCTCGGCCTCCCACAGTGCTGGGATTACAGGCATGAGCCACGGCGCCCAGCCTCCATTTTTATGAATAAGAATCTGTGTTGGCCAGGCGCGGTGGCTCACACTTGTAATCCCAGCACTTTGGGAGGCAGAGGTGGGCAGATCACGAGGTCAGGAGATCGAGACCAACCTGACCAACATGGTGAAACCCCGTCTCTACTAAAAAGACAAAAAAAAATTAGCCAGGTGTGGTGGTGCGCACCTGTAATCCCAGCTACTCAGGAGGCTGAGGCAGGAGAATTGCTTGAATACTGTAGACGGACGTTGCAGTGAGCCGAGATCTCGCCACTGCACTCCAGCCTGGGCAACAGAGACTCCGTTACAAAAAAAAAAAAAAGAATCTGTGCCTTCAGGAGAGGTGAAACATCTCGTCCAGGGTCACAAGGCTAGGAAGTGAACCCCAGTTCTGACTCCAGTACCCTCTTGCTAATGCACCACAACCTTCCATGATTATAAACACATTGTCCAAGATTATCAGGCTACAAAACAGATTAGCTAGCTACCACTGATACTACCTCCTAAACAAGTCCCCAAAAGTTTGCTTCATTCCAGACTCCCCTGCTATACCCCTATTCCAAGCCACCATTATTTGTCACTTGGATTACTGCAGAGACTAAGTGATCTAGCACTTCCACTCTATCCACCATCCTTACACAGAATAAAATTAAAACTCCCCAGCCTTACTTACAAATTTTTACATAAAGTGACTTTCTGTTCCTTTTACAAGTCAAGATGATTCTCCCTTTAGGTGCTTTGTATTAGAAATCTCCTCTGCCTAGAATGTTATTTCCCCAGATTTTCCACATCATTCTTGTCATTGAGATATCAGTTTAAATGTCACCTCTTCAGAAAGATTTTCTCTGACCACTCAGGCATTCTCCATCACATCACCCTACTTTAATTTTCTGCACAGCACTTATCACTATCTGACATTTCTTTCTTCATTTGTCTCTCCACACTAGAGCGTAAATAGAACACAATTAGCAAAGACTTTGTCTTGTTCACAGATGTATCCCAACATTTCGTATACGTTTAACAATGAACAGATTATGTTTTGTATGCAATCATCTTTTCAACAGTATTTTATGTAATCTTTTAGAAAATCCTAAGCAACTTCAAATCACATAGGAGGTGCCCAATAATAAAAAAGAATTTACTAAAATAATTTCTATAAAAACAATGCCTTCAACACTTCTAATATATACCACAAATATCCCTGACATATCTTCCCAATACACACTCACAGTTGCACAGTTGGGGAGGGGTGGGTAATGGCTCTTCACATCTGTAAAGATGATCCACACTTAAGGAGATCACTCCTCCCTTCTAATTCCCAGCCCCAGGGGAAGGTGAGGATCAAGTGCTAAGAGTGCCTTTCCAACCTCATCCGCATGCTTCGGCGACACCGTAGCCTCTGCTAGTCCCTAAAGATGACATGTAATTTTCATGTCTCCATGCCTTCACTCGTAACAGGATGCTTGCCTACTCCTATTCCCCTTCTTACCCCGTTTTATATACCTAGAAATCTGGTACTGCTCCTTCAAGGACCAGCTTAAATGTTCCCACCTCGGTAAAGCCCATCCTGACCAACCCCAATCTCATGTTACTGAATAAACTTAGTTCTTTTATTTATTTTTTCTTTTTTTCAGACAGTCTTGCTCTATCACCCAGGCTGTAGTGCAGTGATGCGATCTCAGCTCACTGCAACCTCCATCTCCCAGGTTCAAGCAATTCTTATGCCTCAGCCTCCCAAGAAGCTGGGATTATGGGCATGTGCCACCACGCCCAGCTAATTTTTGTGTTTTTGGTAGAGATGGGGTTTCGCCATGTTGGCCAGGCTGGTCTCCAACTCCTGGCCTCAAGTGATCTGCCCGCCTCAGCCTCCCAAAGTGCTGGGATTACAGGAATGACCCACCGCGCCAGGCCTTTAATCCCTTCTTTACCACTTCAAAACAAACTTCTAAAATAGTTCTTAGTTTACTGAATTATGATTTGTTTCTAACACTGAACTGTGAAAAACTCATTATGTCCCTAAACAGTATCTCCATGTAAACATTGCTTATTAATCATTTAGTTAATAAAAAGAAACTTAATATTCTGCTGGTATCAAAAGATAGTATTCCACAAAAAGTTTAGTTAGTTCGGAAAACTGAACTAGTTCCCGTTTAAAAATAAACTTTAGCTCCATTAAATACCAAAAAGTGAAGTTAATTACCCACCACAAACAAAAGAGGAAAGGATTTAGAAGTGGTTTAAAAATCACAGAAGTGATGTCTTCAGAATTCCACTCACAAGTGTATTGTTTCAACTTTTACTGTGCAACACTAAGAGAGATCCTTTCCTTCTGCTGCAGAATAGGGATAATTTCTTCATATATCCAGGGAATCCTGCCTTGCAATAAATCAACTTACAGTTGAGAATTACAGGGCCGGGCGCGGTGGCTCACGCCTGTAATCCCAGCACTTTGGGAGGCCGAGGCGGGCGGATCACGAGATCAGGAGATCGAGACCATTCTGGCTAACACGGTGAAACCCCATCTCCACTAAAAATACAAAAAATTAGCCGGGCGAGGTGGCGGGCGCCTGTAGTCCCAGCTACTCAGGAGGCTGAGGCAAGAGGATGGCGTGAACCCCAGGGGGCGGAGCCTGCAGTGAGCCGAGATCGCGCCACTGCACTCCAGCCTGGGCGACAGCGAGACTCCATCTCAAAAAAAGAAAAAAAGAGAATTACAGTGATAGCCTGCATAACCATGTGTCAATCGAAGACAGACTGTATATGTGACAGTAGTCCCCATAAGATTATATAACAAAGCTGAAAAATTTGCCTTGTGACGTCAAAGCCACCATAATGTCATGGCACAATACATTCATTACTCACGTTTGTAGTGATGCTGGTGTAAACAAACCTACTGCGCTGGCAGTCTAGCTATGTGTAGCATGTAAAATTATATACAGTACGTAATATCTGATCATGATAATAAGTATGTTACCAGTTTGTTTACTATACTTTTTATTGTCATTTTACAATGTTACTCCTACTTCCTTTAAAAAAAAAAGTCTACTGTAAAGAAGCCCTAGGCAGGTCCTTCAGGAGGTATTCTAGAAGGCATTGTTATCACAGATGATAGCTCTACGCATGTTATTGCCCCCGAAGACCTTCCAGTGGGACAAGATGTACAGGTGGAAGACAGTGATACTGATGATCCTGGCCCTGTGTAGGCCTAAGCTAACGTGTGTCCTAGTTTTTGGCAAAAAAAGCTTATAAGGTAAGGATCTAAAGAACCAAAATATTTTTGTGCAGCTACACAATGTGTTTGTGTTTTAAGTGTTACTACAAAAGTCTAAAGTTTTTTTAAAAATTAAAAATTTATAAAGTTAAAAAGTTACAATAAGCTAAGATTAATTTATTTTTGAAGAAAATTTTTTAAATAAACTTAGTGTAGCCAAAGTGTTCACTGTCTATGAAGTCTACAGTGGTGTATAGTAATGTCCTTGACATTCATTCATCACTCACTCACTGACTTACCCAGAGCAACTTCCAGTTTTGCAAGCTCCATTCCCCTATACAGGTGTACCATTTTTTATCTTTTACACCATATTTCTACTGTGCTTTTTCTATGTTTATGTTTACACTCATGAATACTTATCTTTGTGTTAGAAAAACACCACAGTATTCAATACAGTAACATGCTATACAGCGTTTATGGCCTAGGAACAACAGGCTATAACCCATGGCCTACTGTGCAGTAGGCTATACTATCTAGGTTTTGTCTAAGTAGACTCTATGATGTTCGCACAACGACAAAATCACCTAAAAATGCATTGCTCAGAACATTTAAGCAACGCGTGACTGTGCACTGCTAAAACTAAGTGTGTTTCAACAAATGATGCAGGGATAACCAGACAGCCACATGCAAAAAAACTCAGTTGGACCTCTGCCTCAAATTATACACAAAGCTCAACT
Organism: Homo sapiens; assembly: GCF_000001405.40. Lineage (NCBI taxonomy): Eukaryota > Metazoa > Chordata > Mammalia > Primates > Hominidae > Homo > Homo sapiens. The sequence goes on along the minus strand of NC_000010.11, from coordinate 124,925,717 downwards.
CAAAATGATCAGAGACCTAAATTTGAGAGCTAAAACTAAGAAACTCTTAGAAGAAAACATAAATTGTCATGACCCTGGGTTAGGCAAAAGCACAAGTGACAAAAGAAAACATAGGTAACTTAATCAAATTAAAAACTTTTGTGCTTCAAAGAACACCATAAAGAAGGTGAAAACACAACCCACAGACAGAAGAAAGTATTTGCAAATACAGGAAGGGAATTGTATCCAGAATACATAAAGAACTCTTGCAAAAAATCACCAACAAAAAGACAAATAACCCAAATGAAAAATGGGCAAAACACTGAAATAAACACCACTCTAAACAAGATATGCAAATGGCCAAGAAGCACATGAAAAGATGCTCATCATTAGTCATTAGGGAAATGCAAATAAAAACTAGGAGATGCCATTCCACTAGAATGACAATTTAAAAAAAAAACAGACAATAACAAGTGTTGATTAGGATGTAGAGAAACGGAACATATATTGCTGGCAGAAATGTAAAATGGGCAGGGAGCAGTGGCTCACGCCTGTAATCCCAGCATTTTGGGAGGCCGAGGCGGGTGGATCACTTGAGGTCAGGAGTTCGAGACCAGCCTGGTCAACATAATGAAACCTCATCTCTACTAAAAAAATACAAAAATTAGCCAGGCATGGTGGTGCGTGCCTGTAGTCCCAGCTACTCAGGAAGCTGAGACATGAGAATCGCCTGAACCCGGGAGGCGGAGGTTGCAGTGAGCCGAGATCACGCCACTGCACTCCAGCCTGGGCAGACAAACTGAGACGCTGTCTCAAAAAAAAAAAAAACAGCAAAATGATGCAACCACTTTGGAAAACAGGCAGAAAGTTCCTCAAAGGTTAAACATAATTAGCACATGACCCAGCAATTCCATCTGTAGGTATATACCCAAGAGAAGTAAAAACTTACATCTGAACAAAAACTTGTACACAAATGTTCACAGCAGTATAATAGCCAAAAAGTGGAAAAAATCCAAATGCCCATCAATCAATGAATGGATAAACAAAATGCTGTTTATACAATGGAGTATCAGCCAGCCACAAAAAGGAATGAAGTACTGACACATGCCACAACATAAACCTTGGAAGTATTATAAGAGAAAAAAGCCACATAAACGGTCATATATTGTACAATTCCATTTACGACATATCCAGAATAGGCAAATCTAGAGAGACAAAGTAGATTAGTGGTTGCCAGGAGCTGAGGCAAGGCGGAAATGACTCCTTAATGAGTACAGAGTTTCTTTTTGGGGTCATGAAAATGTTCCAGGATTATATAGTGGTTGGTAATGGCTGTACAACTCTGTTAAGTATACTAAAAACTACTGAATTGTATACTTTAAAGGGGTGAATTTTATGGTATATGAAATACACCTCAATGAAGCTGCTTTTTTTTTTTTTTAGAAAAAACTGGAAAGATTTGCAACTGATTCCAATTAATATCACGCATTCAAATATTTTTTATTTATATGAATTAAAACCACCCACATTATGGCCAGGTGCGGAGGCTCATCAAGCCTGCAGTCCCAGCACTTTGGGAGGCCAAGGCGGGCAGATCACTTGAACTCAGGAGTTTGACACCAGCCTGAGTAACGTACCAAGACCCCATCTCAAAAAAAAAAGAAAGAGACCACCCACATTAAAAATTGACTTGACAAAGGATGAAAAACCAAAACTGCGGTGTGTGAGTTCAGGAGTGAGAGGGACAGTTTGCCCTCAATATATGAACAATAAAAATAACAAAAATTCTTTTTTTTTGGTAAGAGATAGGGTCTTGCTACTTTGCCCAGTTATATGGTTTGGCTCTGTGTCCCCACCCAAATCTCATTGCCAACTGTAATCCCCATGTGTCAAGGGAGGGACCCGGTGGGAAGTGACCGGATCATGGGGGCGGTTTCCCCTATGCTGTTCTTGAGATACTGAGTGAGTTCTCAGGAGATCTGATAGTTTAAAAGCGTGGCACTTCCCCTGCTCACTCTCTCTCTCCTGCCTTGTGAAGGTGCTTTTTTTCTCTTCACCTTCTACCATAAGTTTCATGAAGCCTCCCCAGTCATGAGAAACTGTTAGTCAGTTAAACCCCTTTTCTTTATAAATTACCAATCTCAGGTAGTTCTTTTTCTTTTCTTCCGAGGCAGGCTGAAGCGCAGTGGCACAATCTCGGCTCACTGCAACCTCCACCTCCTGGGTTCAAGATTCTCCTGCCTTGGCCTCCCAAAGTGCTGGGATTACAGGTGCGCACCACCACGCCCAGCTAATTTTTTTGAATTTTTAGTAGAGACACGGTTTCACCATGTTGGTCAGGTTGGTCTCGAACTCCTGATCTCGTGATCCACCTGCCTTGGCCTCCCAAAGTGCTGGGATTACAGGTATGAGCCACAGCACCTGGCATCAGCTAGTTTGTTTTTTTTGTTTGTTTGTTTTTGAGACAGAGTCTTGCTCTGTCGCCCAGGCTGGAGTGTAGCTCGGCTCTCTGCAACCTCTGCCTCCTGGGTTCAAGCAATTCTCCTGCCTCAGCCTCCCGAGTAACTGAGACTACAGGTGTGCACCACCATGCCCAGCCAATTTTTGTGTTTTTAGTAGAGACGAGGTTTCACCATGTTGGCCAGGATGGTCTTGAACTCCTGACCTTGTGATCTACCCGCCTAGGCCTCCTAATGTGCTGGGATCACAGGAGTGAGCCACTGCGCCCGGCTGATAGTTCTTTATAGCAATGTGAAAACAAACTAATACACCCAGACTGGACTCGAATTCCTGGGATCAAGCGATCCTCCCACCTGAGCCTCCCATGTAGCTGGGACTACAGCCACATGACACCACGCCTGGGTAGTAGTTTATTTTTTTCATTACTAAAAAATTTAGGGCCAGGCGCAGTGGCTTACCACGGCTGAATACAAAAATTAGCCAGGCAAGGCTGGGCACAGTGGCTCACGCCTGTAATCCCAGCACTTTGGGAGGCAGAGGCGGGCAGATCACGAGGTCAGTTCGAGACCAGCCGGGCCAACACGGTGACACCCCATCTCTACTAAAAGATACAAAAAAATGAGCTGGGCATGGTGGCACGTGCCTGTAATCCCAGCTACTCAGAAGGCTGAGGCAGGAGAATCACTTCAAGCCGGGTGGTGGAGGTTGCAGTGAGCTGAGATCGTGCCATTGTACTCCAGCCTGGGTAACAGGGAGAGACTCCATCTTAAAAAAAAAAAAAAAAAATTAGCCAGGTGTGGTGGCACGCATCTGTAGTCTCAGCTACTGGGGAGGCTGAAGTGAGAGGATAGCTTGAGCCTGGGAAGTCAAGGCTGCAGTGAGTTGTGATCATGCCATACACTCCAGCCTGGGCAACACAGTGAGACCCTATTAAAAAAAAAATATATATATACATATATTTTACATATATATATATATTTTACATATATATATATATTTTACATATATATATATATATTTTACATATATATATAATTTGGGCTCAGGGGTTCATGCCAATAATCCCAGCACTTTGGGAGGCCAAGGCAAGAGGATTGGTTGAGCCCAGGAATTCAAGACCAGCCTGGGGGCAATATAGAGAGATCTTGTCTCTACAAAAAATTTTTTTAAAAAGCCAGGCACAATGGTACACACCTATAGTTCCAGCTACTTGGGAGGCTAAAGTGGGAGGACAGTTTGTTGAGTCATGATCAGCACTGCACTCTGGCCTGGGAGACACAGCAAGACCCTGTGTCAAAAAAAATTTTTTTTAATTTAATTCACTAGGCAGCAGAAAAAATATTAATTTTATATTCAATTTACCTGGCCAACCCCCATTTTAAAATTCAAACTTATGGCTCCTGTCAAAAACTTCATGGAATTAACCAAAATACCACCCTTCCAAAAAGCAAAGAATGCTTACGGATCCAGATTTTTCAGGTGGTGAAATCACTGGTATAATTCTATGAAAATACCTTTTACAAATCTAGTAGCCTAAAATGCCTACTATTTCTGAAAAGTTTATGGACAGTCATTTTAACTTCAATGATGCTAAAAGGTTTCTGACACTTGAAAAAAAATACTTTTTATATACTTTCTAAAAATGAATTTCAAGGGGAAAAATATTTTATTGAACTGGAGAAAGAGGACAGGTTTCCACATAGATGTAGTAGGTAAGTCAAGATGGTTTAGTGCCAAGAGACTGTGTACCCATAAAATACCATACCTCCTACTCATCCAATACAAGAGAAACACACACACCTATTTTCCAAATGCATCAGCATTCACCTATGTACTACATAATTACATGTGTTATCCTTGGTATACAAAAATTCTGTGGACCAGCTTATTTTTCATTCAAGACGGTTGACAGGTAGCAGTAGTGAATCACATATTCTCCTGTCTCATCTGCCTTATCATCAGTGACACAGGCTGCCAACATCTGAGGTTAAGAATACAAACTGAGGCTACAGATTATTTTCTCCTTCCCATGATGCTAAATGTTACCTCCATACAATATGGAATGACCAAACTTAGCATCCAAGACCCAAGTAACTGCCCCAGACACAAATCTGAAGTAAACCAGAGAAACATAATATTTAATTTTTATTTTAATAATATGACACAAACACTATCAAAATGCTGAACATCCTCTACAGGGCAAAGAAGTATGCTGATAATACATATAAACATACCAACCAAATTTTTAAAGAGACAGCCATAGTTTCAAGTATTTGTCTCATAAACCATAAAGTCCCAGAAACACCAATACTTACTACAGTACAAACTGCATATCCTAGAATACCTCTATAACCAAAAATACTTTGTCAGACCATGTATTCATATTTTCAGTGCTGAATATATGGTCTCCATAGATAGATACAGGGTATAGAGATATACCCATTTGGCAGAAGTCTTAAAAAACTAGTTGGGAAGCAAAATAGAAACATAAAAAGATAACTGAAATCAAGGCTAGCATATTCTAAGAAAAGAAAGTCTCACGCAAGAGAAGACTGAATAGATCCCTTGGGTTAAAGTAGTCAAAAAAGGCTTCTCTAGAGACAGGACCTCTCTTGGCCCAGAACATTGTCTCCATGAATACAAGCAGAAGAGGATTTCAAACAGAAAGAATGGCATAAAGCAAGGCCAAGAGGAGGGACTTCATAGGAACAACAAGCAAGTTAGTGTGGCTAGAGTTAGGGATTCACAAATAAATTAGAGTTAGGACTGAAGAATGGATCAGTTCCAGACTACAGAGAAACTTGAACACCACACCAAGAAGCTTGAACTTTATTTTGCCTGTATAAAGGAGTTTTCTCTAAGTCTTTATGTTGTGATGTGAGGAGGTAAGAGTGTTCAAATGTGCAAGGCATAAGGCATAAGTGGAGCACAAATATTCCAAATCGAATACCAAATCAATGAGAGGATAAGTATTCAAAGCCCAGACACAAGAGATTATTATTGGAAAGGAAGAGGCAAGCAGCAATGCCCATATAATAAAACTGAACCAAATCCGGCCGAGTGCGGTGGCTCACGCCTGTAATCCCAGCCTCTGGGAGGCCGAGGCAGGCAGATGATCATCTGAGGTCAGGAGTTCGAGACCAGCCTAGCCAACATGGTGAAACCCTGTCTCTACTAAAAATACAAAAATTAGCCAGGCGTGGTGGCACGCGCCTGTAATCCCAGCAGCTACTCGAGAGACTGAGGCAGAAGAATCGCTTGAACCCGGGAGGCGGAGGTTGTAGTGAACCGAGATCATGCCACGGCACTCCAGCCTGGGCAACACAGTGATGAGACAAGGTCTCAAAAAAAAAAAAAGGGGGGGGGGGGGCCGGGCGCGGTGGCTCACGCCTGTAATCCCAGCAGTCTGGGAGGCCGAGGCGGGTGGATCACAAGGTCAGGAGATCGAGACCATCCTGGCTAACACGGTGAAACTCCGTCTCCACTAAAAATACAAAAAATTAGCCGGGCGTGGTGGCAGGTGCCTGTAGTCCCAGCTACTCGGGAGGATGAGGCAGGAGAATGGCGTGAACACGGAAGGCGGAGGTTGCAGTGAGCGGAAATCGCGCCACTGCAATTCAGCCTGGGTGACAGAGAGAGACTACATCTCAAAAAAAAAAAAAAAAGGAGGAGGAGGAGGAAAAAAAAAAAAACCTGAACCAAATTAATAGTGGTCTACTTTTGTTTTGTTTTGAAATGGAGTCCTGCTCCGTTGCCCAGGCTGGAGTGCAGTGGCTGGATCTCGGCTCGCAGCAACCTCCGCCTCCGGCGTTCAAGAGATTCTCTTGCCTCAGCCTCCCGAGTAGCTGGGATTACAGGCACACGCCACCATACCCGGCAAATTTTCTTGTATTTTTAGTAGAGACGGGGTTTCACCATGTTGGCCAGGCTGGTCTCGAACTACTGACCTCAGGCGATCCGCCCGCCTCAACCTCCCAAAGTGCTGGGATTATAGGCATGAGCCACGGGCCCGGCCAGTGGACTACTTTTGTAATTCACATTTAAAGTTTACATTTATTATAAAGCACATGGACAAGCTCTCACTGTATCAATTACACATATGAAGCAATTTGCCTCATATATTGTACAACTAGATCATGAGTTCCAAAACTATGTTAATCCTCAGACTTTAAATGTGACATCCATAACCCCTATCAGTGTACAGACATGGATCAAGGCCATGAGCTTAAAATATATTACCATGAATGAGTTCATCACACCCAAGCACATTTCAAGAGTAAATAAATGGGTGTCCCAATGCTCTGAGGCATTAATAAAAGGTATCGAAACAGCAACAGAAATAAAATCCCTCATGACACTCAGATAACATCCTCCTCAAAAGAGCAAAATGTCATTACTGTCCTACTATCTCGTAAACCCCCAACAGCCCAATAAAAACAATGTTATGAAATTTTAGTATAAAGAGACTGCCTATCTTTAGAGCCAAAAGTCAATAGGATTCTAAATTTTTTTAGAATTCCCTCATTTAATTCAAAATAATAACAAGGAGACAAGATCCAGCTTTATTTCTCCCATAGTTCAGATGACTTTCCCAAGAGCCTTGGCACAAGCCAAGATCAAAATTCCTTATGGTTTCCCCTGGCTTATGGTTTGTACACTGAGTCATCCATGTTTGACCAAAACAGGGGTACTGCTGGATGCTGCACAAGTGATAAAAGAAGTTAACTAAAACACACAGGTAAAGAAATAACTCATTATATAATAGGTCCCAGAGTTAAAGATTTCTCTCAGGCCAAGCGCGGTGGCACATGCCTATAATCCAGGACTTTGGAAGGCCGAGGCGGGCAGATCACCTGAGGTCAGAGGTGCGAGACCAGCCTGACCAACATGGAGAAACCCCATCTCTACTAAAAATACAAAATTAGCCGGGCGTGGTGGCGCATGCCTGTAGTCCCAACTACTCGGGAGGCAGAAGCAGGAGAATCGCTTGAACCTGGGAGGCGGAGGTTGCGGTGAGCCGAGATAGCGCCACTGCACTCCAGCCTGGGTAACAAGGGGGAAACTCCGTCTCAAATACAAAAAAAAATTATCTCCAATTGTGTTCCTAAAACGGTATTTTTGCACATTAGATTTATTAACATCATCATAAACACGGTGAAACCAAAATACTGGTAAGATGGGGCGGCGCTTAAATCGATAGTCTACGGAGTTACAGAAAAGGGTAATCAACTGACTGAAATACAATATCCTCAGCAAGAGAGTTTCAAAACACCAGTGTATCTCAAAGATAATGGGCCGGTTCAAACTTCCAGGCTTAACCTAAACTGCCTGTCCCTTGCGCTTAATGCCAGCATTCACTACAGTTCTTTTGTCTGTGAAATGACCCGCACCAAACCATAGCAGAGAAAAAACAGATCCTTGCACTGAACACTCGTTACTGCGAGCAGGAGGGGTAGACGAATCTTTCCACTAGCTCCAGCTCCTCCTCCCCACCCGCCTCGTCGTCCCCCACCTTTATTTTCCTACAAATGGCAACTGGAGGCCACCGCAGGAGGTGGAAAGCAAGCGGCCGAGGGACTGAAATACAAGTTTGGAGACACCAGAACCAACTTGTGGCGATGGACCCAAGTGTTTACGGCCTATTGCGGAGTGGGAGCGAAACCCCACTCGCCGATCCGTCTCCGGCAGGAAAAGAAGTTGTGGGGAAATCTGGCGGAAGAGCGGCGGTGGGACCGGCACCGCGTCCAGCCACGGGCGGCCGGCGGTCGGTAAACAAGCTGGGCGGACCCGCCCTCCCACAGCCCCCGGGCCGTCCCCGCAACCGGAGCGCCCAAGATGGAAGCGCCGACAGCGGCGGCCCGGGCCCCTGCCCTCCCCGCGCCTGCGACGCGGTCGCCCCTGGGGCGCCGGGCGGGCGGACAGCCCGTGAGGCCCGGCAACCTGGGCGCCGCCTGGGAGCGAGGGGCCCGGCAGGCCGCGGTGGGGCGCCCCCCGGGGCCCGGTTACCTGGCGGCGGCGGCTCCTCCTCCAGCTCCTGCTCCTCCTCCCCGTCCGACGGGCGCTTGGCGGCGGCGGCGGCGGCGGCGGCGGCGGCGGCAGCGGCGACTCCCCGCGCAGCCCGCGGCTACGAGTCGAGCCCGGCCCCTCTCCGCCTCCCTTCGCGCCGCCGCCCGCCCCGCTGCTGCCGCCTCCGCCCTCTCCCCTCAGTCAGGACATGGTCTCCGAGGGTCCGCGCGCGGCTCCCGGCTGCCGGAGGCCGGGGGAGAGGAGCAGAGAGGAGGCGCGGAGACTGGGGAGCCCCGGGGGGCGGGGGCACTGAGGTGTGGGAGGCGGCCGCGGGCGCTGCGGACCCTAATGGCGGCGGCCGAGGGACCCGGAGCCAAATAAACCCCGCGGCGAGCGGCACAACGTCAAGGCCAGACCCCGCCGCTCGCCGCCCTGTCATTGGCCCCGAGGCCGCCGCCGGCGCAGCCAATGAGCGACCGCCTCTTTCCGGGCTCAGGGGGCTGGTCGACACAGGGTGACGTCAGCCGGCGCGCGGCCCTGATTGTGAGTCGGCGGCGCGCGTCGGCCCAGTTCCCGTTCCTTTCCGCGGCCGACTGCGGTCTTGAGGGTGCTGGACTGCCGCGGGGTGCGTGGCGCTCGGGGGCGCCGGCTGACGGCGGCCTGGAGGGCGTCCTCGGCGGTGTCTGGACGCGCGCTTTGCCTCTTCTCTGCGACAGATGCGCCAGAGTTTTAAGTTAACCCCCAGGTCTCACGTATCCTAAGTGATCTACCTATAACCTAGATGCTGCTTTACTTTTTCTAAGGGACTTTGAAGCTCTTCGTAAAACACCAGGGAAGATAAAGCTCTAGGTGCTTTGTGATGGTTTGATTTTTTAAATTTATGTTTTGCAGTGTCCGATTTTTACCCCTGCCTTTGCTGGGGCTATCCATGTATATGGATGTATGTGTATATTTCTCTTTGCTTTCTGCATGGTACATGTGTGCGTACGTAGATGGACACGCGATGAAAAGTCATGGAGAGCTTGCCTCTTGCTCTCCTCCAGGACTCCCTGGCTCTAGTCTTGGGAAAATCCGACCTTCTTATGGCTGCCTTATCTGTAAATTAGAAATAAGCCTTTCCTAATAAGACTTATTTCTGTAAATAAGCCTTACCTATCTTCAGGCCCAGGATAAATTACAGCTATGGAAAAAAATACTGCTTAGGAGAATCACCTGGAACCAAGTTCTAAACAGAATATGTGTATTTCTTTCTTTTTGTACTATAAAAGTAACCAAATAGCCAGAATAAGCCAGCCATTTGTTAAAACCCCATGAGTATGGGAAATTTTTCTAGCTAGAGAGCTTTGTTTTTTCCCAGTGGGACTTTACCTTGTAGTTTTCATGCTTAAAATTTTGTGAGGAGAAGAAAGAATTTGAAAGATCATAAAAGACAGCAACTCTTTAAAAGCTGTAAATTTAAAAGTTATCTATTAGAGAAAACCTATCACTACTGCCAAAGGGCGTTTAGCAGTTGGATACCTCAGGTTCAACAGGAGGACCATTATTCAGAGTTTAATCAGATTTTTAAAATTTGAATGGGACTTCATTTAGTAAAACTATTCATGGTGTTCTGGCTTTCTCTTTGCATAAATGTGGTCAAGAATGTGTGTTTAGCTTCACTATGGCCAGCAAACAATGATGCTGTATCTTATAGATTCCCCTCTCCAACAACATATTTCGCTGGCATATTTTATTCTCATAGCCATTCCTATAGTGTAGAGATTTTCGACAATCCTTGTCTGCCCAGAGCAACATTACTTATTCAATAAATTGAGTTTAAATTGCAAGTCTTTTGCCTGCAAAACTTAACATACATTCTCATATATATTTATATATATGAGCTATATATATAATTAACGTATAATGAACACAATTGTAGATCAGATCAAACACCATGTTACCATGTTAAGAACAATAGTTAGGCCAACATTTCAACTTTGAAAATATTTTCTTTAAGAGCTCCTGAATTCCTCCAGCTTCCCCTTCCTGAATTCAGACTGCAGAGCCTCTCAGTTACAAACTAACAGGAATCACAGAATTAGGTGTTTTTGTTTCGCTTGAGTTGTAGTTTATTTTGGGAAGGAAATGGGATATCACTGGGATAAAGTTTATTATCTCCTTCCTCAGTTGAGTAAATAGTGAATATCACGTACCAATGAATAAGAAGCCTACAAAGGTAAGACACATCTTAGTGAGGAAACTACAGCATAGAGAAAAGAGTAAGACAGAAATAACCGTAATTATGGCCAGGCACGGTGGCTCACCCTTGTAATCCCAGCAGTTTGGAAGGCCGAGGTGGGTGGATCACCTGAAGTCAGGAGTTTGAGACCAGCCTGACCAACATGGTGAAACCCCATCTCTACTAAATACAAAAAATTAGCCGGTCGTCGTGGTGCATGCCTGTAGTCCCAACTAGTTGGGAGACTGAGGCAGGAGAACCTCTTGAACTCCGGAGGCGGAGGTTGCAGTGAGCTGAGATTGTGTCATTGCACTCCAGCCTGAGCAACAAGAGCAAAACTCCGTCTCAAAAAAAAAAAAAAAAGAAAGAAAGAAAGACCTGTAATTATAGGTCGGGCACGGTGGCTCACGCCTATTATCCCAACAGTTTGGGAGGCCGAGGCAGGCAGATCACCTGAGGTCGTCGGGAGTTTGAGACCAGCCTGGCCGACATGGTGAAACCTTGTCTCTACTAAAAATACAAAAATTAGCCGGACATGGTGGCACGTGCCTTTAACCCCAGCTACGTGGGAGGCTGAGGCACGAGAATCATTTGAACCCAGGAGGCAGAGGTTGCAGTGAGCCGAGACCGTGTCATTGCACTCCAGCCTAGGCAACAGAGTGAGACTCTGTCTAAAAAAACAAACAAACAAACAAATAAAAAAATAGAAAGAGAGAGAGAGAGACAGATGTCCTATCGAAACAATCCCTAAGAGGGGGGCCTGGGCATGGATATGTTTTGTTTGATTTATTTTTTATTTTTATTTATTTATTTTTTTTTTTTTTTTTGAGACAGAGTCTCACTCCGTCACCCAGGCTGGAGTGCAGTAGCACGAACCTGGCTCACTGCAAGCTCTACCTCCCGGGTTCACGCCATTCTCCTGCCTCAGCCTCCTGAGTAGCTGGGACTACAGGCGCCCGCCACCATGCCCGGCTAATTTTTTTTTGTATTTTTTAGTAGAGACGGGGTTTCACCATATTAGCCAGGATGGTCTTGATCTCCTGACCTCATGATCCACCTGCCTTGGCCTCCCAAAGTGCTGGGATTACAGGCATGAGCCACCGCGCCCGGCCTGTGGATGTGTTTTAAACCCACTCCCCAGGTACCTGAAACGTGCAGCCAGTATTGAGAACTACCGACAAAACAGTCCTCAAACCCCAAAAGATTGCAGATATGGAAATTAATGCCTAAAGATGTTAAGTGACTTAACAAGAGCTAGACCAATTAACTCTGCAATTCGAACAGGAACACATAACTCTTTATTTCTTTTATTTTTTTATTTTTGTGAAAACAAGATCTCACTCTGTTACCCAGGCTGGAGTGCAGTGGTGCAATCATAGCACACTGCAGCCTCAAACTCCTGGGCTCAAGTGATCCTCCCACCTTGGCTTTCCCAGTAGCTAGGACTACAGGCATGCACCACCATACCTGGCTAATTTTTAAATTTTTAGTAGAGACAAAGTCTTTGTTGCCCAGGCTTATCTTGAACTGCTGGATTCAAACGATCCTCCTGCCTCTGCCTCCCAAAATGCTAGGATTACAGGCACATACCACCATGCCCAGCAGAACACAGAACTCTTGATTCCATGGTCAAATGTTCCACTATATTTGAATTAAAAAGATATCATCAATAAATACAGCAGAGGGCATTGTCACAGTTACAGAACGGTGGCTGTTTGGCACACCTACCGAATTGACATTCTACTTATGTTTATCTGGACTCTGAGAAATATTTCATTTGGAAAAAGTATCCACTGTCTTTTTGGGGTTTTTAATTTCCTTTTCTTAGAAACCTTATATTAGGCTGGGTGCAGTGGCTCATGCCTCTAATCCTAGTACTTTGGGAGGCCAAGGCAGGAGAATTGCTTGAGCCTGCGAGGTCCAGGCTGCAGTGAGCCATGATGGCACTACTGCACTACACCCTGGACAACAGAGCAGGACCCTATCTCAAAAAAAAAAAAAACCTTTGTAGTAAAGGGTAGAGACAGTATAGTTTTGTTGATAGTTTGTTCTGGCTTTCATTTCAGTTTTTCCCAAACTAACTGTAGAGTTCATAAATCCATATTGCATTTTTGTGAAAGTTTTGCATGCAAAATTGTGGATCTGTAGTTCCATTAACAGTAGAAAGCCATAAAGAGGTTTTGAGCAGGAAGGTGCCAGTATTGGAGCTGCCCACCTTTACCTGGAATGTCTGTGAGACAAATGAGGGCAGAAGTAGAAACAGGGGCAGAGAAGAGACAAGGACCTAAAACCAAAGTAGCTGTGGGAATGGAAAGGAGGGCCAAGAGTGAAATGGGAGACAGTGCAATGTTCAGAATTTGCCAGTGACTAACTCTGAGGCAGAAGAAAGAATCAAAAGTCAGAGAGTGGGCCAGGAGCAGTGGCTCATGCCTGTAATTCTAGCACTTGGGAAGGCCAAGGTGGAAGATCGCTTGAGGCCAGGAATTCAAGACCAAACTGGGCAACATAATGAGACCCCATTGCTACAAAAAATAATTTTTAACCTGCCAGGCTCAGTGGCTCACACCTGTTGTCCTGGCTACTCAGGAGACTGAGGAGGGAGAATTGCTTGAGCCCAGGAGTTCAAGGCTGCAGTGAGCTATAATCATGCCACTGCACTCCAGCTTGGGCAAGAGAGCAAGATCCTGTCACCAAAAAAAAAAAAAAAAAAAAAGTCCGTGAACTCTGAGTGACGGCAGTATGTGCAACAGTGGGACACGCAAGAGAGGAACTGGGTCAGAGGAGATGTGGACCCTTGAATCAGGAGATCCTGGACTCAGGAGGAAGGGAATGGCTGGTGGGGGAAATGCTGGTCTGAAATGTGTAGGGCAATCCTGGAGATCAACATCAGGGAGCTCTCTATGTAGAATTTAGTATGGAAGCCACAGGAGTGGGGAAGAAAGAACTACCGAAGGAAAAAAAAAGAGGAGTGGTCAGAAAGGTAGGAGATGAAGCTGGTAGTACGGTGTTCTGGAAGCCGAGGGTACAGTGAGCCTGAAGCACATGGTAATAAAAATTGTCAGATGCTACAGATTTCGAGCATTAGAACGGAGGAAAGGCCACTGGATCTGACAAACAAGAGACTCAGTGACCTTCTAGAGAACAGTTCTCAGTAGGATGGTAGGGAGAGAAGCCAAGTTTCAAAAGCTGAAGCCATGTGATTATAAACCACAAGTCCAAGACGTCTGGCAGTGAAAGGAAAGCAGGAGATATAAGACTAGATTAGGGCAGTAACAAAAATAAGGGAAAGGTTTTGTTTTCTTTTAGGTATTTATTTTAAAGAATGGGCATCTCTGAGCACTTTTATAAATGGAGGAGAGATGTAGAGGGGGTAAAAGGACTGAAATCCAGAAGGGAGGTAAAATTCAGAGCACAGTGATTTGTGTTGGCAAGCAAGAAAGCCCTATCTTCCTCAGAAACGAGGAGAGGAAGCTGTGAAAAACAGCTCTAGGGAGGTTTTGGTGGGTGAGACAGAGGTGATGGAGTGGAGTTCAAACCCTTTCTCCTCCTTGGTGAATCAAGCACAGAGTCTCCTGCTGAGGGTTGCTCTGGAAACTGGAGGAGATTCGGGACAATAGTTAGAGGGAAGCAAATCAAGAAGAATGAAAAAAGAAGAGCGACAAGAAACTGCTTTCTCCAAAAAGTCTTGGCAGTCCATAATCAGGCCTAGGACGGAAAGATCAGGCTGAGGCTGTGGAGCCCCCCGCAGAGGTGGACATATGCAGCTAAGGGAAATCGAAGGCGCTCTGCTAAAGGAAATGGTAACGGATCCAGCTTACTCAGGGTCTTTGAGGGATCTGTGCTTTTAAGTAGAAAGTGTTATAAAATGGGTGTTCCCCTCAAAAGAAATGTTAGAAATGTTCAGTTGTTACAAGAACATGTTCTCAGACGCGTTGCAGAAAATGTCATTTGTATAAACTGCAACGTATCTTCCATTCTCTGTGTATGATCAACATGATTCCCAAGTGGAAAAAACATCTTAACAGTAGAAAATGCAATGTAACAGGCTAGGTGCGGTGGCTCACTCCTGTAATCCCAGCATTTTGGGAGGCCCGGGTAGGTGGATCACCTGAGGTTAGGAGTTCGAGACCAGCCTGGTCTACATGGCAAAACCCCATGTCTACTAAAAATACAAAAAATTAGCCAGTCGTGGTGGTGGGTGCCTGTAATCCCAGCTACTCGGGTGACCGAGGCAAGAGAATTGCTTGAACCCGGGAGGCAGACGTTGCAGTGAGCCAAGATCACGCCATTGCACTCCAGCCTGGGCGACAGAGCAAGACTCTGTCTCAAAAAAAAAAAAAAAGGAAGAAAGAAAGGGAGGGAGGGAGGGAGGAAGGAAGGAAGGAAAGAAAGGAAATAAACGTATTTAATAATGTTGCCTAATCTGTATGCATGCAGTACAGGACACAGTTTTGTGGAACATAGTACCATCCTGTGACCTTCCTCTATGTCCACCACAAATCTGCCTGAAAAAAAAAATCTCTCCTGAGAGGACCAGATATGCTTGTGAAGCATCAGAGAAAATACAGCTTGTTTGACATTTCAAAATCCTGGTCTGTGCTAGGACTGGTCTCATCTTGATGGGTATAAATTTGTGCTTATAGGAACACAGTCACTCTATATCCAGACTAAGAAATTTTTGTAGATTTTTCAACTAAGTATCCCTGTAAGCTAGACTTACGGAATTAGGAAAAAAAAATGTTGAAGTTGTATTGAGTCTCTTTTTTTTTTTTTTTTTTTTTTTTTGAGACAGGGTCTCACTCTGTCGTCAAGGCTGTAGTGCAGTGTTGTGATCATAGCTCACCGCAGCCTCAACCTCCCAGGCTCAGCCTCCTGGGTAGCTGGGACTATAGACACGCACCACCACACCTGGCCAATTTTTTTATTTTTTATAGAGTCAGGGTTTCGCCATGTTATCCAGGCTGGTCTCAAACTCCTGGGCTCAAGTGATCCTCCAGTCTCCCAAAGTGTTGGGATTATAGGCGTGAGCCACTAAACCCAGCCAGTACTATGTCTTTTTTTTTTTTTTTTTTTTTTTGAGACGGAGTTTCGCTCTTGTTGCCCAGGCTGGAGTGCAATGGCACAATCTCGGCTCACTGCAACCTCCGCCTCCCGGGTTCAAGCGATTCTCCTCCCTCAGCCTCCCGAGTAGCTGGGATCACAGGCTGGTATTACAGGTGTGAGCCACCGCGCCTGGCTGTTGTATCTTTTTAAGAAGTTTGGAAACATCAAGTATCTGAAACAACTTCGCTTGTGATCTTATCTGGGGAAGTTTTGTAAGAGGCAAAGCTGTGAGCAGAGAGAGCATGAACTTTGGAGTCAAACAGCCCTGAGTTGAAATCCTGCTGTCCTCTCTGAGTGCCAGTGTCCTCAGTGTCCTCATCTGAAAAATTCTGGGTGATATTTCCCTGGCAGTTACTGAGGGTCCAAAGAGACAAGAGCTGAAAGGCCTGGCAATACTCTTAAGTGTTTGATAAATGTTGGTTTCCTCGCTCTGCATTTCATTTAATCCAGGTAACATTTACTGAGGAATGACCCCATATCAGGTACTGTGCTGAGAACAGCAATTCAGAGACAGGTAAGGCTGTATCTACAACAGGGGCCAACAGTCCAGTGGAGGACAATCCCTAACTTAGGGTCTCCATGCCCTGGAGGGGCCCATGAACTTGGATGGAAAGAAAATACATCTTTATTTCTTCTAACTTTTAACTGAAATGCAGTATTTATAACAATTGTCAGTGTAGTCAACATACTATGGTAGTATTAATACATCTATGGCCCTGACACCAGTAGAAATCATAGATTTTTTTAGATCATATTACATTATTGAGTAGGTTACTAAAGAAGTACTTCAGGCCAGGCATGGTGGTTCACGCCTGTAATCCCAGTACTTTGGGAGGCTGAGACAGGAGGATCACTTGAGGTCAGGAGTTCAAGACCAGCCTGGCCAGCATGGTGAAACCCCATCTCTACTGAAAATACAAAAATTAGCCGGGTGTGCTGGCGCATGCCTGTGATCTCAGCTACTCAGAAGGCTGAGGCAAGAGAATCGTTTGAATCCAGGAGGTGGAGGTTGCAGTGAGTCAAGATCACGCCACTGCACTCTGGCCTGGGCAACAGAGCGAGACTCCGTCTCAGAAAAAAAAAGTACTTCAATTGGACTGAGCGTGGTCACTCACGCCTGTACTCCTAGCACTTTGGAAGGCAGAGGCAGGTGGATCACATGAGGTCAGGAATTCGAGACCAGCCTGGCCAACATGGTGAAACCCAGTCTCTACTAAAAAGTCAAAAAAAATTAGCTGGATGTAGTGGTGTGCACCTGTAGTCCTAGCTACATGGGAGGCTGAGGCAGGAGAATCACTTGAACCTGGGAGGTGGAGGCTGCAGTGAGCTGAGATCACGCCACTGCACTCCAGCCTGGGCGACAGAGTGAGACTTTGTCTCAAAAAAAAAAAATGTCTGGGTACAGTGGCTCATGCCTGTAATCCCAGCACTTTGGGAGGCCTAGGCGGGCAGATCACCTGAGGTCGGGAGCTCAAGACCAGCCTGGCCAACATGGTGAAACCCCGTCTCTACTAAAAATACAAAAATTAGCCGGGTGTGGTGGTGCATGCCTGTGATCTCAGCTACTTGGGAGGCTGAGGCAGGAGAATTGTTTGAACCCGGAAGGTGGAGGTTGCAGTGAGTCGAGATCACACCACTGTACTCCAGCCTGGGCAACAGAGCAAGATTCCGTCTCAAAAAAAAGAAAAAAAAAAGTGAGTAAGAAGTACTTCAATTAATATTACAGATTTTTAAAAACATTTTAATAACTATATTTCAATTTAATTGGCTTCCTTGTAATCTCATTTCTGTCATGCATTTAAAAATTATTCTGAACTGGCTGTGACAGAGAAAAGGTGAAGAAACCCTAGTCAAGTTAGTGGAAAATTGAATTTTATGAATGTTTCAGGACAGAGAGGCAAATTCCATATCAAATAATCAAATGAGTAATGTCCCAGCATAGGACACAGAGGAGACAAGCCATGCAGTTCCCTTGGAAAACAGAGATGGGCAGTGACTGTGTTTTGCAGGTGAATATGATTTGCCGAGCAAGGAGGAAGGAGAAAGGCAGACTGGAGACAGTGGGAAAAATGAGTGACTCACTGAGGGGCAAGACATGTCTCAATGAGAACACCTGGAAAGCTGAGAAGCAGGGTTGACATCTGGTCAACCTCAAATATGCTCTAAGTCTAACCCATGTGAACCACCTCAGAGTGGATATTGACCCAGTTTATAGTTTGTATAAGCAAATATCTTCCCATTTCAATGCTGACAGCCGTGTGCAGTGGCTCACACCTGTAATCCCAGCACTTTGGGAGGCCGAGGCAGAATGTTTACTTGAGGCCAGGAGTTCGAGACCAGCTTGGCCAACATGGTGAAACCCCTTCTCTACTAAAAATACAAAAAGTAGCTGGGCATGGTGGCAGGCGCCTGTAATCCCAGCTGCTCTGGAGGCTGAGTCATGAGAATCACTTGAACCTGGGAGGCAGAGGTTGCAGGGAACTGGGATCATGTCACTGCACTCCAGCCTGGGCGACAGAGCAAGACTCTGTCTCAAAAATAAATATATACACACACACACACACACACACACACATATATATATGTATGCTTACAAGGTTACACGTCCACCATCCCAAACACACACACACATACACACCACACACACATATATACACACACACACCACACATACCCACACACACATATATATACACATACATATACATTACACACCCACACTTATACACACACATACCATACACACAGCCTTTTTTTTTTTTTTTTTTTTTTGAGACGGAGTCTCACTCTGTTACCCAGGCTGGAGTGCAATGGTGCAATCTTGGCTCACTGCAACCTCCGCCTCCCAGGTTCAAGCGATTCTCCTGCCTCAGCCTCCTGAGTAGCTGGGATTACAGGCACACGCCACCACGCCTGGCTAATTTTTGTATTTTTAGCAGAGACAGGGTTTCACCATATTGGCCAGGCTGGCCTCAAACTATTGACCTTGGGATCCGGCCACCTCTGCCTCCCAAAGTGCTGGGATTACAGGCGTAAGCCACCGTGCCCGGCTGGCACAGTCTTATACAAGACAAAATGTACTAATCTAGAACCTAAATCTTCATTACATGTTTAATTATACAATACTCGTGGAATTAAAAATATGCTGCCTTTTTGCCAAACACTAAAGTGATGTTAACGAAAAGTAATTCCAAAGTAGTGAAGTTAGGAATGCCACAATATTTTTCATTCCTTTCTTTCCAGTCATTTCGGAGACCACAAAGTTTAAAAATATTTCAAAATATTCGAAAGTATCCATGACGTCATTTGAGTAGTTCTTAAATTCACCAAAGTGATTCATGCAAATGACTTATTTGCTTCAAAAACTATCTACAAATTCAAATAGTGGACCAAGGAGAAAAATCTGCACAACAGTTTCAGTGTAACCAAGATCACAATATTCAATATTACCTTCAATATGGCAGATTTATAGTAGACGTAAGTTTAAAATACACAAGCTAAAATTTTTAAAGGGGCTAATCAGAAAGAAATGTAGTTTTTATGACATACAAAATTATTCAGTGATTCCACATAAGAGGTAATGCATGAATTCTACAATTCCTTAACTCATTGGCTGCTGGTATTCATTCATTACTTGGAACTTTAACAGCTTCCTAGTAAACAGAAAGTACCTTTCCTATATGTGAGATATTTTGACTGATATATCCTGAGTACCCAGAATGGTGCGTGGCACACACAGTTACTGAAGAAGTATTTGTTGAATGAATTGATTAACTTTACTTTCTTGATTTTATACGTCAGGATATTTTCACCCTGACTACTTTTGTCCAATGACCTAACACATTTAAACTTTGCTCAAGAATTTAGAACAGGCTGGGCACAGTGGCTCACACCTGGAACCTCAGCACTTTGAGAGGCCAAGGTGGGAGGATCGCTTGAGCCCAGGAGTTCGCGACCAGCTGTCTCAAACATAGGGAGACCCTGTCTCTACCAAAAGTAATTCAAAAAATTAGCCAGGTGTGGTGGCACACACCTGTGGTCCCATCTACGTGGGAGGCTGAGGTGGGAGGTCACCCTGGGAGGTCGAGGTTACAGTGAACCACTCCACCCTGGGCTACAGAGCAAGACCCTGTCTCAAAAAAAAAAAAGAAAAAAAAAAAGGGCCAAGCAGGGCGGCTCACGTCTGTAATTCCAACATTTTGGGAGGCCAAGGTGGAGAGGTCAAGGCTGCAGTGAGCTGTGATCCTGCCACTGCACTCCAGCCTAGGTGACAATGAGACCCTGTCTCAAAAAAAAAAAGAACTTAGGACAGTTTGATATTTCTCTTTGATTCTTTTTTTCTTTCAGTTTGTAATTTGCATATCTTGCACAGAATTTTAAACGTTAAATCTTATAAATGAATGAAGATGAAAACTGTATCTAACATTTACATTAATTTTTGCATTTAACAATCTTTTTTTTTTTTTTTTGAGATGGAGTCTCGCTATGTCACCCAGGCTGGAGTGCGGTGGCACGATCTCGGCTGACTGCAAGCTCCGCCTCCCGGGTTCAGGCCATTCTCTTGCCTCAGCCTCCCGAGTAGCTGGGACTACAGGCGCCCACCACCACGCCCGGCTAATTTTTCGTATTGTTAGTAGAGGCGGGGTTTCACCATGTTAGCTAGGATGGTCTCGATCTCCTGACCTCGTGATCCACCCGCCTCGGCCTCCCAAAGTGCTGGGATTACAGGCGTGAGCCACTGCACCCGGCCAACAATCTTTTAAGAAAAAACAAGGTATATTTTCTGAAATTTGTCCAGCGTGTGGCAATCTTCAGAAAACATTTGTATTTTTAGGATATTTAAATATGCAGATCACTTCACTTCACCATCATTATCTCATTTTTATCCTTATCAGTGTTGTCAGGCAGCTGTTATTTCCAAATGATGGAAGGGACAGAGAAGTTACAGCACTTGTGTTTTAAGAACTGGACCACAAGCACTTCAAGTCCTAACCCAGTGACCCTCCCCCAAGCCTTTCCATCTGCATCACTGGGGCCCAAAAGACTCAAAGCTAATAGATGTTTTTATAAAAGATCTGTGGACTGAAACTAAATATTAGTGCCCACTCTAATTTTAAGATTGGCTTTTTCAAGAAGCGATCCTTGCAAATAGAATTTACCAGAACAGTTTTTAGGCCTCACCACACTTTTGAAATAAGAATCCATCCCTAGGGTGGGGAAAGTTAGAAATACCATATACACTCAACTTCAAACCAATTTTTTTTTTCATGACAGAGTCTCACTGCATCGCCCAGGCTGGAGTACAGTGGTGCGATCTCGGCTCATTGCAACCTCTGCCTCCTGGGCTCATGCAATTCTCCTGCCTCAGCCTCCCAAGTAGCTGAGACTATAGACACACGCCATGCCTGGCTAATTTCTGTGTTTTTAGTAGAGACGGGGTTTCACCATGTTGGCCAGGCTGGTCTCGAACTCCTGACCTCCAGTGATCCATCCGCCTCGGCCTCCCCAAGTGCTGGGATTACAGGCATGAGCCACTGTGCCCAGCCAACTTCAACCCAAATTTAATCAGATAAACTTCAAAAAATAATCTGATCATATGAGCTACTTTCTCAGCCAAACTTTTAGGACAGGGGATTAGCATTGGCCTTACAGCACTTTGTTTTAGGAGACTGGCATGATTTCTCTTGAAATGTTAGGGTCAGCAGATAGGATGCAGGGCTGTAATGGGATAAGGAAGCAAGCAGGTAAGGAGTTGACTGGAGCTGATGCTCCTGGCAGGGTCGGGGTCAGGGAAAGAAGATGCTGACAAGATTGGGGCCCAGTCAGTACTCCATTCATCTGCCCCTGGGTTACCGTGATGCTAGGAGGACCACCACATAACACACATCTGGATGCTCTAGCAAGATGTCAGAACCCTGCCTTGAGAACCAGCTGAATTGCAGAACCATATCCTCCTCTTTTATGTTCTTGTGGAAATGTAAACAATTTGGCCAGGCGCGGTGGTTCATGCCTGTAATCCCAGCACTTTGGGAGGCCAAGGCAAGAGGATCACTTAAGGCTAGGAGTTCGAGACCAGCCTGGCCAACATGGTGAAACCCCATCTCTACTAAAAATACAAAAATTAGCCGGGCATGGTGGCTCATGCTTGTAGTCCCAGCTACTCAGGAGGCTGAGGCAGGAGAATCACTTGAACTAGGGAAGCAGAGGTTACAGCGAGCAGAGATCATGCCACGGCACGCCAGCCTGGGCAACAGAGAGAGACTCTGTCTCAAAAAAAAAGAAAAAGAAAAAAGAAAATGTAAACAATTTACAACTCTGGCAGTAAAACACGAACAGCAGATGAAGTTTACAGGCATTGCCTTTAATCCTATTCATGATGAACATATTTTCTAAAAACAAGTCATAGGCAAAATAACCACTGTCCCCCATTTTTTGAGGTAGTTGTTACACTTGCATGTCAGTCAGGGTTCCAGGCAGAAATAAATAGCATACTCCAGTGGGAAAATTAAGATTATTTTACAAGGTATTGGGCAAGGTTGAAGAAAACCAGCAAGGATGGTGAAATAGCCCTGACTGGCAATGACAGGGTGCCATTACCAAATCCTGCAGAGAGAGACGTTGGTGCTGGGGAGGGCCACCTGGCAGGAGCAGTGGCCTTCCTAGAGAAGCACAGCAGGGAGCAAGCCAGGGTCAATATTCTGACGCCTTTCTCCTCTCTCCAGTCTCTGCCAGGGCCTCTCATTGGCCAAACTAAACTGATGACCTTAGGGCTCAGAAGCCTTTGATGCAGTCCTGGCTGGTCTATCTGTCTCAAGGGGCACATGGCAGGGGGAGAATGGATCTGGAAGGACAAATGGAGGCTCTCCAGCCAATAAAAACTATAGCAGAGCAAATTTAAAGGAATAGATGTTTCCAGAGCTTTACTTGGAGGACACAGCTACTGACATTTTGAATCCCTTCTCCTAAGCAAAGAATATTCTATCCAAAGACAATGTATTTTAAGAACATCATGATTTTTTCTTCTACTACAGCATGGTCTTATGCCATAAAAGGAATTATGCTAATCCAGTCTATCAGTGAAACTCAGAAAAGATGGCTATCAGAGGTGGCACAGAAACATTTCAGGGAAATAATGGAGAGGCACCAAGAAATGGCTTTCTAAAGCAGCAGGAAAAAAGTTGAAGTCCATAAGCAGATAGGTTACCAATCCAGCAGCATCTCTTAGGAATGAAATGATTGATCACAAAGGTAAGATTTGTTGGAGCCCACATTGAATTTAATGCCAGTCATCCTTGTATACTAAACTCTATTTCCATAGCTGGGAGATATGACAGACTTTCTTTTTGTGACACTTTGTTCTTATGATATAGTTTTGAGTCTGTCTGTGGGATTTCAATCACCGAAATCAGGATTAGAGACAAGAAATCTTCCTTATATTATTAAGTAGGAAAGCAATGTGTTAAGGAGCCAGCCCTAACTTGGAGATAAATCTATTTTAATAAAGCACAGACATTCGTGAATAAGATGTGTCTTTGTGTTTATCATAATATCCCTGAAAACTTCTCTGATCATAAGGGAAAACCTCCCACCAATAGAATATTAGCAGTTCAATCACTAGGCCACCATGCACAAAGGTTAACTCACATTGTAGTGCCCCACAGTCGATGGAACTGAAGTGTGATGTTTTTCTTGTATTACTGTGCTGTCAGACAATGCCTGTCACATTAGAAAAAAAAAAATCTTCAAGAGAAAGACATAAAAGAGCTAAGAAAATAGACCTCTTTTTTTTTTTAAACATTAGCTTTCCATCAGAAAGCCACTTATACTGTATAACAACTGCCTGAACAGATACTGTATTGCAGCATGGGTCAACAAGAGAGAGGAGCTCTCTTTGTTGATTATTTTCAACAGAAAAATATGTAAGATGTCCATTTAGAAGTGCTTTCTCTAGAGTGCAGAGCTGAAACGAATACTATTGCAATCAACCTGCTATTATTCCTGTCTCAAATGTATGTTTTTAAAAATTCTTTTGTCCTATAAAGCACAAAGCTTTGTACAACTACGGTGAAATCCTTGAGTCATTTGACTGCTTCCCTATGCAATTCAAGAGCAGGTGAAAGGTAGACTATGGAAGTAACATACACAAAAATAATGAAGGCGACAAAACCTAAATTAGTTCCTCACTGGAGTTTTTTTGTCTGATTTTTAGAAAGAATGAGAATATTTTAAAATGGAACTTCTCAAGGACCTAGGAATTAGGTATCGATTTATTTTCCTGAATTTACAGCCTCCATAAACTTAAAAAGGAAATGAGTGACCATGGCAAAAACTGTTATAAACTCTTCCCAACATCCATTCCCCTTTCCCTCTTTAGTAACAGAACATCAGTTTCTAACAAAGTTGTTGCCCAGCTAAATGCTTTTACTGTATTTCCAATTCTCTACTACAGCAAGGTGTGGCCATGGCTGTGCCTTAGTTTTGCTCCATAATGTGTTTATGATATATACAAGTGAAAGTGTGGTTGTGAGGGATTTTGTGAAAGTTTTCCGACGGGCACGGTGGCTCACGCCTGTAATCCCAGCACTTTGGGAGGCTGAGATGGGTGGATCACCTGAGGTCGGGAGTTCGAGACCAGCCTGACTAACGTGGTGAAACCCTGTCTCTACTCAAAATACAAAAAAATAGCTGGGTGTGATGGCAGGCACCTGTAGTCCCAGCTACTCGGGAGGCTGAGGCAGGAGAATTGCTTGAACCCAGGAGGTGGAGGTTGCAGTGAGCCGACATCATGCCATTGTACTCCAGCCCGGGCGACAAGAGTGAAACTGTAATCCCAGCACTTTGAGAGTCCAAGGCGGGTGGATCACGAGGTCAAGAGATCGAGACCATCCTGGCTAACACGGTGTAACCTGTCTCTACTAAAAATACAAAAAATTAGCCGGGCGTGGTGGCAGGTGCCTGTAGTCCCAGCTACTCAGGAGGCTGAGGCAGGAGAATGGCGTGAACCCGGTAGGCGGAGCTAGCAGTGAGCCGAGATCGCACCACTGCTGACAGAGCGAGACTCAGTCTCAAAAAAAAGAAAGAAAGAAAGTTTTCCTTAAAAGGCAGGAAATAGGCCATCCTACCCACCTCCACCTCCCTCCCTGGAGTATGGATGTGACAGCTGGAACTCCTATGGCTATCCTGAACCCTGAAGTGATTTTGAGGCTGGTGGAGCAGAAGCCTGAAAGCCTGGAGCCCTGATGATTCCCTGGAGCCATTGGAGGCCATCCTTGGACTGCCTGTCCCCTGACATTTGTACATGAGAAAGATACATCCATCCTATTATTTGAGGATTTCTTTCTTTCCTTTTTTTTTTTTTTTTTTTTTTGGAGACACAGTCTCGCTCTGTCACCCAGCCTGGTCTCTGCAGCCTGGACCTCCTGGGCTCAAGCAACCCTCCAGCCCCAGCCTCCTGAGTAGCTGGGACTAGGCACATACCACCATGCCCAGCTAATTTTGTATTTTTTGTAGACCAGCCATGTTACCCAGGCTGGTCTTGAACTCCTGGGCTCAAGTGATCCTCCCAAAGTGAGCTCAAGGTGGGCTCCTGGGCTCAAGCTAGCCTTCCAAAGTGCTAGGATTACAGGTGTGAGCCACCACACCTGGCCAGGATTTTCTTTTTCAATTAGCCTGATAAAATCACACTACACTCCTGATGTGGAGGAATTGCTCTTTTTCTTCATCCTGCAGCTTTATGGTTTTATTTATTTTATTTATTTTTATTTTTTGAGACCAAGTCTTGCTCTGTGGTCCAGGCTGGAGTGCAGTAGTGCAATCTCGGCTCACTGCAATCTCTGCCTCCTGGGTTCAAGCGATTCTCCTGTGTCAGCCTCCCGAGTAGCTGGGACTACAGGCATGCACCACCACACACAGCTAATTTTTGTATTTTTAGTAGAGATGGGGTTTCGCCATGTTGGCCAGGCTGGTCTTGAACTCCTGACCTCAGATGATCCGCCCACCTTGGCCTCCCAAAGTGCTAGGATTACAGGCGTGAGCCACCACGCCTGGCCAGTTTTATTATGTATTTATTTATTTTTCTTTTGTATGTTCATTTTTTCTTTGATATAGGGTCTCTCTCTGTTGCCCAGGCTGGAGTGCAGTGGCGTGATCTTGGCTCACTGCAGCCTTGACCTCCCAGGCTCAAGGGATCCTCCCACCTCAACATCCAGGTAGCTGAGACTACAGACATGCCGCCACCAGACCACCAGGCTAATTTTTGTGTTTTTTGTAGAGACGGGGTCTCGCCATGTTGGCCAGGCTGGTCTCGAACTCCAGGGCTCAAGTGATCTGCCCCTCTTAACCTCCCAAAATGCTGGGATTACAGATGTGAGCCACTGCACCCGGCCAAGAAGGACTGTTAAAACAAACCTGACTACACCCTCTGACTTGACTGTACCTAGACTGTGACCACTGCAGTGGTGAAGACATCTGGGTTCTTAAGTTTCTTAGCCCAAGGTCAGTTTCCCAGTGCAGAGGCCCAGTGGCCACGGGGCTGCCTGGCCGCAGGGCGGCTTCACGGGCTGCACACTTAGGAGCCTGCACACTTCGGGTTTGATGCTCTGCAGCTGCTGTCTTGAATGTATTAATAATGTTATCTTGGAATTTGTGTTCTGTGAGCGAAGTCCAGTGGGGTGATGGCGCGTGCGGTGGGAACCGGCACCTAGGTTCACCCATGGTCTTGCTCCCATGGCCTTCCCACCTCCCCAGGATATGTTCCCATCCCTCTGTTACCGCCCAGTCACCACTGCTGTCCCCCTCCATGGATGGAGTCCTGAGCACAGGCATGAGGAGGCTCCAGGTGGGTCATGTACTCTGTGTACCGAGTCACCAAGCAAGAACCCAGGCGAGTAGGAGGTTTTGTGTTCACCCACGAATATCTTCATTCCCAAGAGAACATGACATTAAATAGCAAATTAAAAACACCATAATTGGTGGAGAAAGAGACCGCAGGTGAAGGAAGGAAAAAGCTTTTTTCCAGCTTTTGAATGAGGAGCCCCATATTTTCATGTTGCCCTGACCCCTGCAAATTACACAGCTGGCCTTGCCTTGCACAGAAATGGAAAGGACCAAGGAACAGAGGCCAGGACCTGTGCCCAGTTCCACCTAGCTTTGCTGTAGGAGCAGGGCGGGCCTCCTGGGTGTGCTAGAGGCGCCGCCCTCCCCAGCCTCGCCGATGCTCCAGCAGCTGATGCTGGAAATACAGGAAACTCAGCCAAGAAGCCTTTTCTAGTCCCAGTCAGGGAGTCAGTGGCACCTCCCACACCTGTGCCTCAGGGTCGCCTTGATGCTTTTTTGAGCCAGGCTGCGTCCAGCTGTAAATGCTTGGAGGCGGTGCGTGCTGGTAAATGTTTAACAACTAGCTCTCTGGGGACAGGAGCCCTCATTTGTAGCATTTGCTGGTTGCCATGGTGTAAATATTCCCACCAGGGCCAATTTTTGAGCTACCAATATTTGATAATCTTGAAAATTTAGCAAAAGTCTGGCCGGGCGCAGTGGCTCACGCCTGTAATCCCAGCACTTTGGGAGGCTGAGGCAGGCAGATTGCCTGAGGTCAGGAGTTTGATTCGAGACCAATCTGGCCAACATGGTGAAACCCCATCTCTACTAAAAATACAAAAAAAAAATTTAGCCGGGTTTGGTGGCGTGCGCCTGTAATCTCAGCTACTCGGGAGGCTGAGGCAGGGAAATAGCTTGAACCAGGGAGGTGGAGGTTGCAGTGAGCCGAGATCACACCACTGCACTTCAGCCTGGGTGACAGAGCAAGATTCCATCTCAAAAAAAAAAAAAAAAGTCTTGAAAACTTAACAATTGGCTTGGCTTTCACAAGCTAATGCAAGTAGGGTATTGCACACTACTGCTTGGAGGAACAAGGAAAGAGAACTCATTGTGATTTCATCTAAAATCTAGGAGAACATGAACAGGGAATTTACAGAAGAAAACCTGAAGAACCAGCAAATATGCATCGGTGCTCAAACTCACCGGTGATTAGGATAATGCAGATGAAACACTAAGAAGATACACCACTTTTTAAAAATCAGGTGGATAGCAAGGTTAAATCTCAAGTTCCGGTGAGATGCATGACTTGGGAATGTAAATCTGTGCAGACACTTTGGAGAGCAATTTGATAGTATCCAATACAATGTAGGATGTATGTAAGCCCCAAAGTTCCTCCTGGAGTTTAGGGACATTCCTGCACGTGCTCAAGGATGTTCTCTGAACTATTCTTTTTTTGTTTTGTTTTGCTGTTTTGTTTTGTTTTTGAGACAGAGTTTTGCTCTGTCGCCCAGGCTGGAGTGCAGTGGTGCGATCTCAGCTCACTGCAACCTCCGCCTCCTGGGTTCAAGCGATTCTTCTGCCTCAGGCTCCCGAGTAGCTGGAATTACAGGTGCACACCACCACACCTGGGTAATTTTTGTTTTTTTTTAATTTTTTGTATTTTTCGTAGCGATGGGGTGTCTCCATGTTGGCCAGGCTGGTCTCGAACTCCTGACCTCAAGTGATCCACCCACCTCAGCCTCCCAAAGTGCTGAGATTACAGGCATGAGCCACTGCGCCCAGCCCCAAAGTATTCTAATCATAGCGAACTCCTGGTGCCATCTCTTAGTCTCAACAATGATCAACTTGTGGCCAGCCCGGCTTCAGTTTTCTCTCCATCTGCTTCTCCACCTTCCCAAATTATTTTGAGGTAAATCTCAGACATCCTATCATTTTGTCTGTAAATATATTTCTATCTCTGAAAGTAAAAAACAAACAAAAAGCCTGTGGTAGGCTTTTCGTTCAATATGAGAGAGAGAAACCCCAGCAGGGTTATCAGGGAAGGGCAGATAAAGAGGGGAATTTTTACAAAGGTACTTTTACAGGAGCTATGAAGTTTGGTTAGTCTAACAATAACATTTCCAGTGCATTCCCTGAGGAAACTGTCCCTGTCCCCTCCCAGACACAGCAGGCTACAGGGGCAGCCTTCTGTTGCTTGGCGGATTTTGAGGTCAAACAGAATCTGTGCTAGGTAATCAGCTTAGTGGATAAAAAACCAAGAACTTACATCTGCAGAGTACTTACAAACTCTCAGTGTAGGGGGTTGATTCGTGTCTGTATAATGTTCCCTTGAATATTGTACTTCGTTGTCACTATTTGAGAATATGTGCCTGATTAGTAATACCCAGTACATAAAAATACCAAATATATAACTAACCACATGAGCAGGCTTTAAAATGATGGTGACTTTAATTGCTAAATTCACTCCCAGTTCTAAAATGTGGTTTGCATGTAATATTTCATCCAGAAAAAAAGGTTGCTAATAGCAATGTCATTACAGATTGTTTGTCAACCTTAATCAAAATAATTTCCCTTTCCAAATTGCTGCTTTAGTCTGTGCTTTGTGAAAGGAGTTTTAGAATTTTGTTTTAATCTGAAAATCAATCAGCTAGAGAGGTGAAAAAGTGGAAAAGGAAAAACATGAGACATGTCTGTATTTTAAGAGATTCTGTAGCAAAAGCTTCGTACACCATACTCTATGGTTTCCAATTGAGTGCTAGAAAACTTCCAGAATACAACAGAGAAATTATCCCTACATGGAATATGGTTTCATAATTCCAACACACGATACATAATTCCCCCACATTGTTTCCTTAGTTTCATTCAGTAAAAATCATTACTGTATCTTTAGATAATAAGCAGTGAGTAGCCAGCTGAGTAGGAGAAGATACTGGTGTGAAAGAACTGTGATGTCTTGGGAAAAAATTCCTGGGCTGGGCACATTGGCTCACGCCTGTAATCCCAGCACTTTAAGAGATTCTCCCCCAAGCTGGGCAGATCACCTGAGGTCAGGAGTTCAAGACCAGCCTGACCAACATGGTGAAAACCCATTTCTACAAAAAATACAAAAATTAGCCAGACGTGGTGGCACATGCCTGTAATCCCAGCTACTTAGGAGGCTGAGGCAGGAGAATCGCTCAAACCCAGTGAGCCAAGATTGTGCCACTGCACTCCAGCCTGGGCGATAAAGCGAGACTCTATCTGAAAAAAGAAAAAAAAAAGCCGGGCATGGTGGCTCAAGCCTGTAATCCCAGCACTTTGGGAGGCCAAGGCAGGTGGATCACGAGGTCAGGAGATCAAGACCATCCTGGCTAACATGGTGAAACCCCGTCTCTACTAAAAATACAAAAAATTAGCCAGGCGTGGTGGTGGGCGCCTGTAGTCCCAGCTACTTGGGAGGCTGAGGCAGGAGAATGGCGCGAACTCGGGAGGCAGAGCTTGTAGTGAGCCGAGATCACGCCACTGCACTCCAGCCTGGGAAACAGAGCAAGACTCTGTCTCAAAAAAAAAAAAAAATTCTGGAGCACAAAGGATCTGGTTCATTTTTCGGTCATGGGAAGTCAGCCTCTTGCCCTACCGCTGGTGCTACTATCAGAGTGAATCTTCATCTGGAGCAATGGCTAAATTTAAATATAGTTACTGGAATGGAACATTGCTAGATGATGGATGTCAGCTACTCTGAAAGCAGAAAAGACAGGGCTGTGGCCTCCACATCCACAGAGCAGGAGGCATTGTCCTCTGGACCCCCCTAATTATGCCTCTGTCCCTGAAGCAACATGACAACTTTCCTCTCCATACCCTGCAATTCCTGTCCCACTTTCATAAGCTCCAGAACATTCTCTTTATTGATTACTTTTATGTATTATAAAGACAGTTGGTTTATTTTGAAATTTTATGCTGGGGATGGGGAGTGGAGAGGCTCCTAATGGGGTGCCCCTGCCTCTCCACTGTTTCTGCCTCGGCAGCAGGACAGCGTGGTGGCTCCAGGGTCACCTGTATAACACCAGCTGTGGTATTGAGCCAGACATTGCCTCAGGTGGCCTCTGTTTACTCATCCGTAAAATGGGGATAATAATACACTCACCTCATAGGGTTGTTGTGAAGACTAAACGAGAACGTGTGTGCCCCAACCTCAGCAGCGTGATGGAGAAAGGGGACCACAGGGCCGAGCCTCAGAGAATCTCCTTCAGGGCCTCCTCAGCCCAAACTGCTTCCAGCTCCTTCTCTGCACATGGGCCGGCCAGCCACTTCTCTCTAGGCCTCTTTTGTTTTTTTTAAAGGTGGGAGGGGTAGATGAGATCATGAATAAATTCCCTTCCAGGCATAAAGTTCTATCAACTCCTTTTGAAATGACTGACTCAGTGCAAAATATGCACAATTCTATAGTATATGACGCCGTGACCAAATCACAGAGCTTCTCTTTCCATAGATTAAGCGTACATGTGGGGCCTGGCACGGTGGCTCATGCCTGTAATTCCAGCACTTTGGGAGGCCAAGGCAGATGGATCAATTGAGCCCAGAAATTCGAGACCAGCCTGGGCAACACGACAAAACTCCTACAAAAAATACAAAATTAACCTGGTGTGGTAGTGCATGTCTGTAGTTCCAGCTCCTCGGGAGGCTGAGGTGGGAGGATCACAGGAGCCTACGAGGTTGAGGCTGCAGTAGGCAGTGATGGCACCACTGCACTCCAACTGTGGTGACAGAATGAGACCCTGTCTCAAAATAAAAACGAAAACCCTCCATGTGAGAAACTTGTGTAGGGCTCTAAGGCAGATAAACCCAGAGGGAGCTGATGGATCCCCTGATGAACAACGAAGTTTGTGTTTATGAGCCCAGAGGAATTGCCCTTTTACCCCAGTGATAAAGGATTTTTTTTTTCGGGACGGAGTCTCACTCTGTCGCCCAGGCTGGAGTGCGGTGGCACGATCTCGGCTCACTGCAAGCTCCGCCTCCTGGGTTCACACCATTCTCCTGCCTCAGCCTCCCGAGTAGATGGGACTACAGGTGTCCACCACCTCGCCCGGCTAATTTTTTTGTATTTTTTTTAGTAGAGACGGGGTTTCACCGTGTTAGCCAGGGTGGTCTCAATCTCCTGACCTCGTGATCCACCCACCTCAGCCTCCCAAAGTGCTGGGATTACAGGCGTGAGCCACCGCACCCGGCCTTTTTTTCGTTTTTTTTTTTTTTTTTTTTTTTTGAGAGAGAACAGTCTCGCTCTGTCGCCCAGGCTGGAGTGCAGTGGCACGATCTCGGCTCACTTTAACCTGTGCCTGCTGGGTTCAAGCAATTCTCCTGCCTCAGCCTTCTGAGTAGCTGGGATTAAAAGCATGTGCCACTATGCCTGGCTAAATTTTTTTTTTTTTTTTTGTATTTTTAGTAGAGTCTGTTGGTCAGGCTGGTCTTGAACTCCTGACCTCAAATGATCTCTTTGTGTGTGTGTGTTTATGTGTATGTGTGTGGAATGGATGACCCTCCCTAAGGGCATAAAGTGGGTACACCCACATGTACATTGACCTTGATTTGTATCACATTTGACTGCTTGCAAAGCATTTTCACCACCATTATCTCCCAATTTAATGAACTAAGCCAGATTCTAGCAATTTCACAAGATCCGCTTCCTCCTGAGTAAAGCCTTTTCCAGAAATGTCAACAGTTCTGGAGAATGTGAGTATCTTTGGGTCATCAAAGTTGAGGCACCTTAACTGGGGATCCCACCAAAAGATTATAGTGGCCACTTTTGAGAACACATTTTTTCACTTACATTGTTGAATCATATGTGTGAGTGTGTTTGTGTAAGAGGCATATGTCATGGAGTTTAAGATGTACATTTTTTCACGTTTAATGTATTTGAATTTGGGATGCATCTCACAATACAGTCTTAGCTTTCTGCCTTAAACCTGCACACTGACTGGGTTGATAGTGTCACCTGGAACTTCAGAGTGTGACCTTATTTGGAGATAGAGTCTTTATAGGTGCAATCATAAGATGAGCTCATACTGTTTTAGGGTGAGCCCTAAATCCAGCATGACCAGATTCCTTATAAGGAGAGGAAAGGACACAAAGAAGACACAGGGAAGAAGGCCAGGTGACAACGGAGGTAGAGTTTGGAGTGATGTGTCTACAAGCCAAGGAACAGCAAGGATTACTGGCAAACACCAAAAGCTTGGAAGAGGCAAAGAGGGCTCCCTTCCTAGAGCCTCTGGAGGAGGCACAGCCCTGCTAACACCTTGCCTGCTGATTTTTAGCCACCAGAAATGTGAGAGTGGCCGGGTATGGTGGCTCATACCTGTAATCCCAGCACCTTGGGAGGCCGAGGCAGGAGGATAACTTGGGCTCAGGGGTTTGAGACCAGCCTGGGCAACATAGTGAGATCTGGTCTCTACTAAGAAAAAAAAATTAGTTGGGCATGATGGTATGCACCTCTAGTCTTAGCTATTCGGGAGGCTGAGATAGGAGGATCACTCGAGCCTGGGAGGTCGAGGCTGCAGGGAGCTGTGATTGCACCACTGCACTCCAGCCTGAGTGACAGAGCAAGAGCTTGCCTCAAAACAAAACAAAACAAAACAAACAAACAAACAAAAAAACCCAGAAATGTGAGAGTTCAGTTTCTTTCTATTGATTTCAGCCCTTCGTGTATGGGAGTTTGTTACAGCAGTCCTGGCAAATGAGTACACCCTGCAAAGAGTGTGCATGTACCTGTGCGTACACACACACACACACACACACTCTCACACAGGCACATATAGGTTTGTTTCTTTCTCCTTACTCACAAAAGAAGGAGGAAGGGAGCTGACGTCCCCTGAGCTGCCGATGCATGCCGAGCTGGCTACCCTCACAGAGGCCAGCTCACAGAATTCCTGCCGCTCCTGGCAGTCAGCACCCATTGACAGATAAGGAGTCTGACCACAGAGAGACTAAGCTGGGCCTGACTACAGGTCCCATGGGCTTCAGAGGTGGCATCGCCATTAGATTCTGGCAAGGAAAAAAATCATTTTTTTTTAAAGACGCATGTTAGGTAACCATGATATCAGTCTTCTGGGCATAAGAGAAATGGTGAGCATCGTACAAAGTTCTTACATTCAATTTGTTGAGTGCCCTGAATTTGTCTTTAAAGGATACATTTTTGCCACCCTTACCCCAGCAGTCTAAGAGTCAGAGAGCCTAGGCAGCCATGGCAAAGGGAATAAACCATCCTCGGAGCTGAGCTTCATCCTGGGACAAGCTCCAGAGTCCTGTGTCCCCACGTCTCTCCTCCCTACAAAATCCCAGGAGCTCTGGGTTCTCCTGAAGCCATTCCCTCCTCTCAGCCAGGGCACTCCCGTAGTCCTGCCCTGGGTGTGTTACGGTGCAGGGAATGCAATATGGTACTATTTGCATGTGTTTTTTTTCTTTCTTTCTTTCTTTTTTTTTTTTTTTTAGATGGAGTGTCGCTCTGTCACCCAGGCTAGAATGCAGTAGAGCTATCACAGCTCACTGCAACCTCCGCCTCCTGGGTTCAAGCAATTCTCCTGCCTCAGCTGAGTAGCTGGGACTACAGGCACACACCACCATGCCCGGCTAATTTTTTTGTATTTCTAGTAGAGACAGGGTTTCAACACATTGGTCAGGCTGGTCTCGAACTCCTGACCTCAGGCGATCCACCCGCTTCGGCCTCCCAAAGTGTTGGGATTACAGGTGTGAGCCACTGCGCCTGGTCAATGTGGTTCCTTTTCAAGGAAGGAAGGGAGGGAGGGAAGCATAAAGGGAGAGATGGGCCAGGGCAGTGGCTGACACCTGTACTCCCAGCACTTTGGGAGGCCGAGGTGGGCAGATCACCTGAGGTCAGGAGTTTGAGACCAGCCTGGCCAACATAGCAAAACCCCATCTCTACTGAAAATACAAAAAAAAAAAAAAAAAATTAGCCAGGCATGTTGGTGTGGCACGCCTGTAGTTCCAGCTACTTGGGGGACTGAGGCTCAAGAATTGCTTAAACCCAGGAGGCAGAGGTTGCAGTGAGCTGAGATCGTGCCACTGCACTCCAGCCTGAGCATTACAGCGACACTCCATCTCAAAAAAAAAAAAAAAAAAAAAGGTCGGGTGCGGTGGCTTGCACCTGTAATCCCAGCACTTTGGGAGGCCGAGGCAAGTGGATCACTTGAGGTCAGGAGTTTGAGACCAGCCTGGTCAACATGGTGAAACCCAGTCTCTACTAAAAAAACAAAAATTAGTCAGGCATAGTGATGCACTGCTGTAATTCCAGCTACTTGGGAGGCTGAGGCAGGAGAATCGCTTGAAGCCGGGAGGAGGAGGTTGCAGTGTGCCACTGCACTCCAACCTGGGTGACAGAGCAAGACTCTGTCTCAAAAAAAAAAAAAAAGCAGGTTGCGGGGGATGGGCAGGGAGAGGGAGAGGGAAGAAAAGGGAGTAAGCAAGGAAAGTGGGCTTAGCACAGGGCCTGGAACCTAGCAGATGCTGCTCAGTGTCTGCCACTCTACTCCCTGCAGGAAACAGGGCTGCATTTTTGCGCTTACAGAAAAGTCTTTCCCTTTACACCCAGGCATGAGAGGCCCTTTCCATGAGCCTTATACGTGACAAACATACACATGAAACACATGTATTGAGGAGCACCGGGGTGTTTTGGCCCCGTGGGATCCTGTACTCAGCATTGGCCCAGCACAAGTCAGCACTGTAAACACCACCAGCCAGGACTAGGATGTGTCAGGCCTGGAGAGATGCTTCTCCGCAAGGCCTGGCCCCTGACCTTGAACAGAAGGTGACCTTGTCTGGTCATCCTGGAGATTTGTGGGTTGTGGTGCTCCCAGCATTGGAGTCAGGCACTGCTTCAGAGAGCAGAGACGATTTAGCCAAGGGAAGACCTTAGGCCAGAGAAAGACAGGTTGTTCAATTTGTCAAATCGTCAAATAGCATAAATACAACCGATTCTTACTCATGGAAATATTATTTCCCAGTAGTCCTGGGTCCCTGCATTTCTTCTCCTCATGTTTGAATTTGGGCTTGGGAGGCATTCACAGATTAGTGTACATTTCACAACAGTTGCATATGGTCACCAAGGAACATTGTATAATATTACACAGTTCATATTCTTCTTCTTCTTTTTTTTTTTTTTTTTTTGAGACAGAGTCTTGCTCTGTCGCCCAGGCTGGAGTGCAGTGGCACAATCTCGGCTCACTGCAACCTCCGGGTTCAAGCAATTCTCCTGCTTCAGCCACCCGAGTAGCTGGGACTACAGGTGCACACCACCATGCCTGGTTAATTTTGGTATTTTTAGTAGAGATGTGGTTTCACCATGTTGGCCAGGCTGGTCTTGAATTTCTGCTCTCAGGTGATCCACCCGCCTTGGCTTCCCAAAGTGCTGGGATTACAGGCATGAGCCACTTCGCATATTATTCTTAAACGTGTCTATGTAGGGCCCAGATATAATATGTGTGAAGCATAATACCAGCTATTTATGTTACTCTGTGCCTCTAGCTATTGCTTTAAGAGATGAGAAAGATTGCCACTATAACTGATAGCAATTTACATGATAAAAATTAAATTTGTTACATATTTTCTGCCATGAAGATAATTTGTCACATGTGAAGGGGCCAAGGGAGAGCTTTCCCCTTGGTGCTCTAAAGGTTTGCTAAAAAAAAAAAAAAAAAATCAGCTCACAAAAGGCAGATGAATAGGAGAAAAAGGGCCAAGTGCAGTGACTCATCCCTGTAATCCCAGCACTTTGGGAGGCCAAGGTGGGAGAATTGCTTGAGCTCAGGAATTCAAGACCAGCCTGGGCAACATAGCAAGATCCCGTCTCTACCAAAAAAAAAAAAAAAAAAATGGCCGGGCGCGGTGGCTCACGCCTGTAATCCCAGCACTTTGGGAGGCCAAGGCGGGCGGATCACAAGATCAGGAGATCGAGACCATCCTGGCTAACATGGTGAAACCCTGTCTCTACTAAAAATACAAAAAATTAGCCAGGCGTGGTGGTGGGCGCCTGTAGTCCCAGCTACTCGGGAGGCTGAGGCAGGAGAATGGTGTGAACCTGGGACGCAGAGTTTGCAGTGAGCCGAGATCACACCACTGCACTCCAGCCTGGGTGACAGAGCGAGACTCCATCTCAAAAAATAAATAAATTAATTAACCAGGCAAGGCACATGCCTGTGGTCTCAGGTATTCGAGAAGCTGAGGTGGGACCAAGAGGCGAAGGCTGCAGTGAGTCATGGTTACACCACTGCACTCCAGCCTGGGTGACAGAGCAAGATCCTGTCTCAAAATAATAATAATAACAGTGATATTTTACTGACAATTCCAGTTGCTATTGCTTCAATAGAGCAAAATTTTGTTTTTCCAAATTGAAATTAATAATACTAAGAACTACAGTGACTCAAGAAAAGTTGCCTAACTTAGCATTACTATTAATTCAACACAAGTTATATGAAAATTTTGCTTACAACAACATAGTGACTTTGCTGAAATACAGGAAAGAAAAATGTTTTAATTTAAATTAGAATATATATATTCTAAATATATAATAAATATATATAATATATAAATATATAATGTATTAATAATTATTTTATTTATTATTTATTATTTATTATTATAAATATTATTAAATAATTATTGATTATTGATTATTAATTAATCATTAATCAATAATAATTTGAAACATTTAGACACATGCACCTGAGCCTCCATTTCCACTCCTGGGCCCTGGGCCCTGCAATGGTGGGGCAGGCCTGTTCTCTGGGCCTCCACTCTCTTTTACTTATTTATTTATTTAGAGACAGTGTCTCACTCTGTCACCTAGGCTGAAGTGCAGTGGCGTGATCACAGCTCACTGCAGTCTCAACCTCCTGGGCCCAAGCAATCCTCCCACCTCAGGACCCCACTCAACCCCCCAGGTAGTTGGGACCACAGCTACTCACCACCACAACCAGCTAAGTTTTGTATTTTTTGTAGAGATGGGGTTTTGCCATGTTGCCCAGGCTGGTCTCAAACTCCTGGGCTCAAAACAATCCACAGGCCTCAGCCTCCCAAAGTGCTGGGATTACAAGTGTGAGCCACCACGCCCAGCCTGGACCTCCACTTTCAATGGGCAGCTCCATTTAAATCACAAAAGTTCTGATGGCAGCTCCAGGTGAGGTACCCCTTTGGTGGTGATTGAGGAGAACCTTGGAGAAGGGTCCACTGAGCTGGCACTCTGGGTAGAATTCACTCCTCAGCGGGATGCGTTTCTTCTGCTAGTCCCTCCCTTCCTCTGCGTCTTCATACAAGGCATTCCAAGGCCCTAGTTACTGGCCCTGGGCCTTAAGAAAGAGTAAGGCCAGGCCGGATGCGGTGGCTCACGCCTGTAATCCCAGAACTTTGGGAGGCCGAGGCAGGTGGATCACAAGGTCAGTAGATCGAGACCATCCTGGCCAACAGGGTGAAACACCGTCTCTACTAAAATACAAAAGAAATTAGCCAGGCATGGTGGCATGCGCCTTGTAGTCCCAGCTACTTGGGAGGCTGAGCCAGGGGAATAGCTTGAACCCACGAGGTGGAGGTTGCAGTGAGCCAAGATCACGCCACTGCGCTCCAGCCTGGCGACAGAGCAAGACTCCATCTAAAAAAAAAAAATTAAACAAAAGAGTAAGGCCAGGAGTAGGCCAATGAGGAGCTGGCTACAGCTAAGGTGAGTATTGTGGACAGGGGTTTAGGTGGTTCTCTACTTGGGGGACCAAAGTGGAGAGAGTGACAGGGTGAGTCCCAGTGAGTATACACAAGGAGCTGCCCAAAGCAGATGCTAGGAGGACTCCAGGTAACATCCAAGCCCAAAGGCACCATCCAAGATTGGACCTACGTGCAGCTCCACGACAGCTGCTAACACCCAACACAGCACTGAAGCCACCTGACTCACGCACTGGGACACTGGCTGGAATTCTGGAGAGTCTGATGGAATCAGCATAGGTGAGGTGTCTCCTTATTCAATCATATTTGGCCAGGAGCTGAGATCACCTAATACAAACATGCCTACCTAGCTCCCCCTCCCTTTGCCAGGGCTTTAGGAGCATGCCTAGAAAAGGGGGCATGAGGGCATTGGAGTACCCCCAGTGTATCTATAACAAATGTGTCTACACCCAATGTATCCGACAAATGGTTGTCCAGCTGGCTTAGGGTGAAGGAGTGGGACATGAGGAACGATGGAGCTCCTTTCCTGAGGCTGCATAAATCTCCCCTGACCAGGGGTCAGCTCTCTCCTCCAGCCTGGGGGGTAGTGCCCTGAGCATGGTGATAATGGGCTCAGGAGGCTGCTGCCGGAGGGAGCAGAGGAATGGAAGGTGATGAGCTAAGCGGGGTGGAGGGGGGGCTGCATCTTTGGAGATTTATAGTCACCAGCCCCCAATCCAGACGGACTTCTTGGCTGAAAGCAACAAGCAGCCGCAGAGCTTGTAAATGCAATGAACCATCAAGGTTAGAAAAAACTGCATCCGGCAACTTTGAGCTCAGCATCCTTTTATTAAATGGGTTATTTGGCTATTTGAACAATCTATTGTAACTCAGTCCATTGACACGGTCAAGAAGGTGATCAGATTAGAATCTGAAGAGGATGAGAAGCACCAAATCACATCTCCGATGTCACGGAGGCTAAATCTACACATAACCCAAATCCACATATAACACGTCATCCTCTAAGAGGCACCCTTGCAATTGCAGGATTTCAGCATTTACAGGCCATTTCCAGCACCATAGCAACCCAAACTGCACAATACATAACAGCATCTGGAGATTCTCAGCCCTGAGCCAGGGGCCTAAGAAAAAGAAGTCACGGCAGCATTGAGATGACGAGTTCATTCACTGAAGGAACTAAAATTGAGAATTTAAGATACAAAAGTTCAATAAGTTATTGACTTGATGACAATTTTCTCTCTTATAATCTAGAAGAGAAAAAAAGGGGTATTACTGTGCCTCAGGTCTTCATTTTGACCAACAGGAGAGTGCCAAGTGGCAGGGACGAAATGGCATCATTTCGAAGGAGGGCCATTGCAGAATGGCCAGAGATACAAAAGCTGGACAACTGACTTAGTTATCCTGACTCTTTTTTTTTTGAGACAGGGTCTCTCTCTGTCATCCAGGCTGGAGTGCAGTGGCGCTATAAGGGCTCTCTGCAGCCTCCATCTCCCAGGCTCAATCCATCCTCCCACCTCAACTTCCTGAGTAGCTGGGACTACAGGTGCACACTACCACACCTAGGTAATGTTCTTTTTTTTTTTTTTTTTTTTTGTAGAGACTGGGTCTCTCTCTGTTGCCCAGGCTGGTCTTGAAATCCTGGGCTCAGGAGATCCTCCCACCACAGCCTCCCAAAGTGCTGGGATGACAGCCAGGAGCCACCATGCCCGGCCTGTCCTAACTCTCAAGAAAGCGGCTCTCAAAATGTGTAGAGAAAAGGTATATGTGTCCCAAGGGTCTGGAACATTCTGATTTTACACCTACAGACCCCAGTGAAGGGCAGTGGAGTGCAAAGCAACATAGCCACACAAGGTTGAGATCCCGCTAGCATAAGGAAGGGGCCTGGGAAGGTCAGAGGGGTTATGACGAGGCCCTGTGAGCCTTGGCCTCATCAGTCCTGGGCCACCAAAGGGCAGAGTGGCACTGCAGCAGCCTGCCCCAAGCTCCCTGCTGGAAAATGCTCCACTTCCCAGATCATTTATCCTCCTAGGTCCTGGTGGCTCATGGCCTTTTCCCAGCAGCCACTGCTGCCACCTTCACTTCTTTCTTTTTTTTTTTTAAGAGGGAGTCTCCTTTTGTCGCCCAGGCTAGAGTGCAATGGCATGATCTTGGCTCACTGCAACCTCCGCCTCCCAGGTTCAAGAAATTCTCCTGCCTTAGCCTCCACAGTGGCTGGGATTATAGGCGACCACCACCACGCCCAGCTAATTTTTTTGTTTTTAGTAGAGACAGGGTTTCACCATGATCGCCAGGCTGGTCTCAAACCCCTAACCTCAGGTGATCCACCCACCTCGGCCTCCCAAAATGCTGGGATTGCAGGTGTGAGCCACCACGCCTGGCCTCACCTTCACTTCTCTCCCTTCACTTGATGGCCTTAAACTCATGCTTCCTGTACCCCTCCAGGCTGTGGCTCTTTGAGGCTGTAGGTCCTGCTACTGTCAACTATTGCTGGTCCCAGAAGTTAGAGAAGAGTTTTGCCAAGACATTGTCCATCGCTCTTTAAAGGCAGCAGGCAGAGCAGTCAGCCATGCCGAGAGAATCACAATTGGATGTGCACACAGAAGGAGACTCAGGGCAGTACTACTCTACCATGATCATGTTGGCCAACGTTTCTATCATTGTAAATGTTGTCCTCATTGAGTTGGCACATTATGACTCTGTCCATACAGGAGGCTCAAGCACTCTTTAAAAAGCACTGCAGGGCCAGGCGCGGTGGCTCACACCTGTAATCCCAACACTTTGGGAGGCCGAGGTGGGCGGATCACCTGAGGTCAGGAGTTTGAGATCAGCCTGGCCAATATGGTGAAACCCTGTCTCTACCAAAAATACAAAATTAGCCGGGTGTGGTGGCAGGCACCTGTGATCCCAGGTACTCGGGAGGCTGAGGCAGGAGAATCACTTGAACCCAGGAGGTAGAGGTTGCAGTGAGCCAAGACTGTACCACTGCACTCCAGCCTGGGTGACAGACCAAGACTCTGTCTCCAAATAAATAAATAAATAAATAAATAAATAAATAAATAAATAAAGCCCTTCAGTTTCCCTCCTGTCTGCCCCAGGAGTGTGACACCCTCTTACCCCAACCTTTGCAGTTCATC
Organism: Homo sapiens; assembly: GCF_000001405.40. Taxonomy (NCBI): domain Eukaryota; kingdom Metazoa; phylum Chordata; class Mammalia; order Primates; family Hominidae; genus Homo; species Homo sapiens. Next base: position 124,884,308 of record NC_000010.11, on the reverse strand, counting down.
TGATTCTTTGAGTGTGCCCCTGAGTTGTCCCTCTTGCTAGCCTATTCCAGCTGATGACGCATTAGACAGTTTATCTGGCTTTCTGCTGTGACATTTCCCCAGTGTCCTAACTTTCAAGTTGTACTCTAGGGCCAGATGAGCAGCCCATCTGACCTGGCTTCTCAGGGCCCACCACCTGCTCACCAAAGGCCCACTTCTCTAGGAGAATAAAAATCAGACAAAAATAATACTGATTCTTTCTCTCTTTCTCTCTCTCTCTCTCTCTTCCTTTCTCTTTCTTTCACTCTCCTCTGTCTCTTCCTCTTTTTCTTTTTTTTTCAGACAGAGTTTCTCTCTGTCACCTAGACTGGAGTGCAGTGAGCCATCTCAGCTCACTGCAACCTCCACCTCCTGGGTTCAAGCGATTCTCCTGCCTTAGCCTCCCAAAGTGCTGAGATTATAGGCGTAAGCCACTGTGCCTGGCCTTTCTCTTTCTCTCTCTCTCTTTCTTTCTCTCTGAGATGGGGGTCTCACTATGTTGCCCAGGCTGGACTATAATTTGTAGGCTCAAGCAATCCTTCCTCTCAGCCTTACAAATAGCTAGGACTAGAGATGTGTGCCACCATGCTCAGCCTAATACTCATCTCTTAACAGATGCAGTGGCTCACACCTATAATCCTAGCACTTTAGAAGGCCGAGACAGGAGGATCACTTGAACTCAGGAGTTTGAGACCAGCCTGGGCAACATAGCAAGACCCTGTCTCTACAAAAAATTAAAAAGTAGCTGGGTGTGGAGGCACAATCCCGTAGTCCCAGCTGCTTGGAAGGCTGAAGCAGGAGGATCACTTGAGCCCAGGAGTTTGAGGTTGAAATGAGCTACTGCACTCCAGCCTGAGCAAAAGAGTGAGACCCTCTCTCTAAATAAATAAATGAATAAGAAGATATGGAAAATATAGATAGAAATAAAGAATAAAATGAAAGTTATCCAGATATCCCAAACCAAGAGATATAACCACAGATAAAATTTTAAGAAATTTCCTGAAAGATATTATTTGAATATATCATCATTGGACTTGGTTTGTGTATGTTTCTATGTATATATTCTGCTTTTGAAAACTCACATTTGTCATTTCCCTATGTAATTCCATGTGTGTACACATTGTACATAGATACATACCCACACCTAAACCAAGTCCTTAACACTATTATAAACAACAGTTGCAGTGAACATATTTGTCCTAAAGTTTTTCTCTAGATCTCTATTTTAAACATACATACCTTATCAACATACAAACACTGTAGAAATGAATCTGTTTTGTAAATGCTCCCACTTCTTAACCCTTAACGTTCTGATGGACAGCCTGATGTCACAGAAAGCAACACAGAATCTGGAATCAGAATTCCTGAGATGGTTTGGCAGCATCACCACCTACTTCCTGTGACTTGGGCAAATCAATTAATCTCTCTGAGCTGTTTCCTCATCTGTAAATTTTAAATTAAGGTAATGATAACACCTGCCAAGTCTCTTACACCTCATGGGGTTAGAGTGAGAAGCAAACGACATCACAGATGTGAGAAACTTTGTGTGGGTAAGTGAGTAGGCGAGCTTGTTATACTTCAAAAAAGAGCATTGCACACATTTTTCTCTATTTTAGCTCAGACCTCTGGTCTCCTGGAAAGATGTGAAATGACTTGGCATACAGAAAAAGAGGTCCAAGAAGCTGAGATGAATTATTCCCTGTTATAAGTAAAATGTTTATTTAGAAACAGAATGCTTGGTCTTCGGTATTGTGAGGAAAAATCGGCATTTAGATAAAAAGTTTTCTTAGCAAGGCAATTTTACTTTCTGCAGGAAGGGTGCTCCTCACAGATGGAACAATGGTGAGAGCACACTTGAACAGAGGAGGGAAGCAATTTTTATCCCTTACGTAGTTTGTCCCTGTTACTGTGTCCCGTTTCCATTGGCTGGAGCCAGACCTCACAATCTAAACTGAACCTGATTGGCTAACAGCTCAAACATTTTTTTAAATAGGTAAAAACAATGGAGAACAGAGGAAAAGAAGAAGCTGCTTAGGAAAGGACTTAGAAAAGTAACAATATTCTTTTATATATACATTTTTATTATACTTTAAGTTTTAGGGTACATGTGCACAACATGCAGGTTACATATGTATACATATGCCATGTTGGTGTGCTGCACCCATTAACTTGTCATTTACATTAGGTATATCTCCTAATGCTATCCCTCCCCCCTCCCCCCACCCCACAACAGGCCCCGGTGTGTGATGTTCCCCTTCCTGTGTCCATGTGTTCTCATTGTTCAATTCCCACCTATGAGTGAGAACATGCAGTGTTTGGTTTTCTGTCCTTGTGATAGTTTGCTGAGAATCATGGTTTCCAGCTTCATCCATGTCCCAACAAAGGACATGAACTCATCCTTTTTTATGGCTGCATAGTATTCCATGGTGTATATGGGCCACATTTTCTTCTAGAAGCTCAGCTTCTTCTTGAACTTTTCTAGTGATGGGAAATTGTATACATCCCCAGGCAAACTTTTTCATCACTGGACGGTTGAAATAAAAGCTGCTCCTGGTTCTCATAGAATAAGTCTAATTCCTCTTTTGGCTACAGCTATTTTTTTTAATGCTGTGCACATTTTATAGTCCTTTACTGTTCAGACTTGGAAAGCTAGGATGAAATAAATATTTACTAAACACCCCTCCCCCTGCAAAAAAAGAAAAAGTAATAATATTCTTAAATAAGGAAGGGGCATAGGCTGAGAGCTGGGGCATGGCTGTGAGCACATCCAGTACACATATTTTGGTTAAAGTACAAGGACATAGAATGTACTACATGCCTGTGAGCATGTCTAGCACAAGTATTTTGGTTAAAGTGTAAGGACATCGATGTACTTACTCCTTTATATCTAACAGCTACATAGGATAGGGCTTAACAAAGAGTTATTAGCACAAAGCAAGGAGGCTTGAAGGAAGTTAGTCTTTAAAAGAAATTATTATTTCTAACACTTATGGTTTATTCTTTAATAAGAAGGGAAATTTGAAGAGGAACTTTTTACTTTCTACATTCCCCTTTAATTCATGGCACAGTTGGGACTACTTATTTTCATATGAGGACATTCAATAAACAGACTTTACTAATGAATTTGAAAAGGCCTGTGTTTCCTTTACAGTAGCTAACCTGCTTTTATGCTTTTAACCATTTTTGATTATTGTTTCCTTTTTTTATTTGCTTTTTTTTTTTTTAGACAAGTTCTCATTTTATTGCCCAGACTGAAGCGCAATGGTGCAATCATAGCTTACCTCGGTCTCGACCTCCCAGGATCAAGCAATCCTCCCACCTCAGCCTCCCAAGTAGCTGGGACTACAGGCACACACCACCACACCTGGCTAATTTTATATACATATATATATATACTTTGTAGAGACAGGATTTCGCCATGTTGCTCTGACTGGTCTCGAACTCCTGGGTTCAAGTGATCCTCTTTCCTTGGCTTCCCAAAGTGCTGGGATTACAGAGGTGAGCCACCATACCTGGCCTAGTAGAACTTATCTTTAGGTGGTCCTGTACCCGGGCCTGCCATGTTCATTTCTTTTCATTCATTAATTCAACAAACACTGAGCAGTCTCCATGTGACAGAATGTGCTCAGCGGGGGGGAAAGGCCTGGTGCTTGCCCTTGTGGCCCATAGTGTCCAGATAAACCCTGTACTGCAGAGGAAATGTGTGCTGTGACAGAGGTGGGCACGGGGGCCAGGTAGTCCTTGTCCAGGAAAGTTCCTCAGAGAAGGACCACCTGAACTGAATTTCGAAGGATAAGTAGGAGGAACTAGAGGGCTTTCTGGCACCTTCTTTATTATACAGTAAGGGCAACCCAGTTCTTTTGTCTTTTTTTTTTTTTTTTTTTTTGAGATGGAGTCTCACTCTGCTGCCCAGGCTGGGGTGCAGTGGCGCAGTCTCAGTTCACTGCAACCTCTACCTCCCAGGATCAAGCAATTCTCCCGCCTCAGCCTCCCCAGCAGCTGGTACTACAGGCGCCCGCCACCATGCCTGGCTAATTTTTGTGTTTTTTGTAGATACAGGGTTTCACCATGTTGGCCAGGCTGGTCTTGAACTCCTGATCCTCCTGCCTCGCCCTCCCAAAGTGTTGGGATTACAGGCATGAGCCACCGCACCTGGCCAGGTAACCCAGTTCTTAAAGAGGCTGGACTTGCTGCAGTCAGGAGTGAGCTGTACTTTCCTCCCACCGCTGCTTTGCAAACCTCCTTTGCTGACTCTTTCCCTCCGAGAGGACACTCCAGCAGATCCCATGCCTTCCCAGTGGCTTCTAGGTGTTGGCCAACCGTCCTCTTTTTATATAATAAGAGTGTGATCTGATTTAAATCAAAACCGCAATTTCATTGCCAATTCAAAGCTTCTCCCTTTCTCCCAAGGTGAGCCCAGAGGGGCCAGAGCCCATCTTTCCTGTCTTCTGCATCCCACCTCTTCAACTTGCTGACTGCTGCCAGCAGCTCCTCCAGGCTTGGGACATGGAGAAGGAAGGGAGGGCAAAGGATCACACGTGAATTTTTACTTAGCTTGTTATGTTCACTGTGTTATCAAATGCCTTTGTGATGGTAGGTGGCTAAATGCTGACTTTCTCTTGGGATCCACTGGGGTGGGTAGAGGTGGGGGTTAGGGTCCCACTCACACCTCCAGCACTCCCTGACATGAACACGTCTCTGATACAGGTGGGAACTGACCTCTCCCACACTCCCAGCTTCCATGCCACTGCCCCACTCCTTTATGGGTGGCCTTTGGCCCGCTCTGACCCACCCAAGGGCTTTTCCAAGTTCATCACTAGTAGCACCTCTGGGAGAATCTCTGCAGTCCTGCAGACATCAACCTGAGGGGTGAGCTGGCAGTCTCTCCTTCTGGCAAGCACCCTACTCCCTAGGGTGGTCCTGTCAGTGCCCCCCTTCCTTGCCTTGAGGAGGGAGGGTGTGGGGAGAGCCACAGTGCCCACTACCCCCGAGTCTGGCAGCCCTTCTCAGCCCCTCTTCACTCCCACATGTGCGGTAGGTGGAGGCGGGGCACGCCTGCAGATCCAGCCTGGCTCTCTCTCTGCCTTTCTGCTGTGATGTGTCCCTGTCCCTTCTCTAAAATAGGGCGACCCTTGTCACTCACCAACCTTTCTTCCTAGACAGAAAAAATTACATAAACAAATGGGACTACATTTCAATCAGTCACTGTGGGTCATTTGTCTGCACCCATCGCAGGAAGAGGCTTTGTTTTGTTGTCGTCATTGAAGTCGGTTTTTTTAATTTTTATTTATTTATTTTTTTGAGACGGAGTCTTGCTCTGTCATCCAGGCTGGAGTGTGGTGGCACAATCTTGGCTCACTGCGACCCCCACCCCCCGGGTTTAAGCAATTCTCCTGCCTCAGCCTCCCAAGTAGAGTAGCTGGGATTATAGGTGCCTGCCACCACGCCCAGCTAATTTTTATATTTTTAGTAGAGACGGGGTTTCACCATGTTGGCCAGGCTTGCCTCGAACTCTTGACCTCAGGTGATCTGCCCGCCTTGGCCTCCCAAAGTGCTGGGATTACAGGCTTGAGCCACCAAGCCTGGCCAAAAGTCATTTTATTAGCTAAATAGCGGAAAGCAATCTGACGTGGAGGTTCCCTGTAAGTGTCAGTGACTACATGGTCACCAGCTCCAGAATTCTGTTCTCAGCCATCAGGACAGTGGAAGAAGCCAAGTGGGAAGGGCTGAGTGGGAGGCCTGCCCCACAGGTCCAGCTGGACTGGGAACTGGGAGAACTGGCTGGAAGAGACCAGGAAGTTTGTGGTAGGACTCCTAGAGCCAGGAACCTCTGAGGATGGCCCAAGAAGAGGCTAGTGGAGGGGCCATCGGAGCTGAAGCCTCATTAGTCATGGTTCAGGCCTGGTACACAGTGGGTCCTCAGTATTTTTTTTTGAGTCCCACATTAATATAGCTATTCAGACAAGAGAATTGTCAGTACCATATCTTGCTTTCAGGAACTCTTATGCAATGACTATGAAGACAAAGCAAAGCTTTTCCCCTAACACTCTTTGTTTGTTTGTTTTTTGAGACAGAGTCTTGTTGTGTCACCCAGGCTGGAGTGCAGTGGCACAATCTTAGCTCACTGCAATCTCCACCTTCTGGGTTGAAGCAATTCTCCTGCCTCAGCTTCCTGAGTCGCTGGGACTACAGGCATGCGCCACCACGCCTGGCTAATGTTTTTTGTATTTTTAGTAGAGACAAGGTTTCGCCATGTTGGCCAGGCCTGTCTTGAACTCCTGACCTCAGGTGATCCACCTGCCTCAGCCTCCCAAAGTGCTGGGATTACAGGTGTGAGCCACCACACCCGGCTAATTTTTGTTTTTGTTGTTGTTTCTTTTGAGACAGTTTCACTCTGTCGCCCAGGCTGGAGTGCAGTGATCTTGGCTCACTGCCACCTCCACCTCCTAGATTTGAGCAATTCTTGTGCCTCAGCCTCCTGAGTAGCTGGGATTACAGACATGCATCGCCCACGCCTGGGTAATTTTTTTGTATTTTTAGTAGAGACAGAGTTTCACCATGTTGGCCAGGCTGGTCTCGAACCCCTGACCTCAAGTGATCTGCCTGCCTCAGCCTCCCAAAATGCTGGGATTACAGGCATGAGCCACTGCACCTGGCTTTTTCCAACACTCTTTAATGAATTAATTTATTTTTTTGAGACAAGGTCTCAGTCTGTCACCCAGGCTGGAGTGCAGTGATGCCATCATGATTCACTGTAGCTTCAATCTCCTGAGTTCAAGTGATCCTCCCACCTCAGGCTCCCGAGTAGTTGGGACCACAGGTGTATGCCATCACACCCAGTTAATTTTTGTATTTTTTGTAGAGTCAGTGTTTCACCATGTTGCCCAGACTGATTTCAAACTCCTGAGCTCAAGCAACCTGCCTGCCTTGGCCTCCTAAAGTGCTGGAATTACAGGCATGAGCAACCTCTCCTTTTTTTTTGAGATGGAGTTTCACTCTTGTTGCCCAGGCTAGAGTGCAATGGCGTGATCTCAGCTCACTGCAACCTCTGCCTCCCAGGTTCAAGCGATTCTCCTGCCTCAGCCTCCTGAGTAGCTGGATTACAGGCACCCGTCACCACACCTGGCTAATTTTTGTATTTTTAGTGGAGATGGGGTTTTGTCATGTTGGCCAGGCTGGTCTTGAACTCCTGACCTCAGATGATCCAACCACCTCGGCCTCCCAAAGTGCTGGGATTACAGGTGTGAGCCACCGTGCCCAGCCTAGCAACCTCTCCTTAAAATGAATTTTGAAGCAAGAGCATTTACATCTCAGGGGGACCGACATTAAATTTTAAGATCGTACTAGAAGGGCCAGGTGCAGTGGGAGGTAGAGGCTATGGTGAGCTATGATTGTGCCACTGCATTCCAACCTGGGTGACAGAGGGAGTCCCTGTCTCAAAAAAAATAAAGAAGATTGTACTAGATTTGCCATGTAAGAAGAATCAGGACATTATTTAATTTATTTATTTATTTTTATTTTTTTTTTATTTTTGAGATGGAGTCTCGCTCTGTTGCCCAGGCTGGAGTGCAGTGGTGCGATCTTGGCTCACGCCATTGCTCTCCAGCCTGGGCAATGAGAGTGAAACTCCATCTCAAAAAAGAAGATTGTACTAGATTTGCCATGTAAGAAGAATCAGGACATTATTTTTATTTATTTATTTATTTATTTATTTATTTATTTGTTTGTTGAGATGGAGTCTCGCTCTGTCGCCCACGCTGGAGTGCAGTGGCGCTAGAGGCTCACTGAACCTCTGCCTCCCGGGTTCACGCCATTCTCCTGCCTCAGCCTCCCGAGTAGCTGGGATTAGGGATTACAGGTGCCCGCCACCACGCCCAGCTAAATTTTTTTGTATTTTTAGTAGAGACGGGCTTTCACCGTATTAGCAAGGATGGTCTCGATCTCCCGACCTCGTGATCTGCCTGCCTCGGCCTCCCAAAGCGCTGGGATTACAGGTGTGAGCCACCGCGTCCAGCCTATTTATTTCTGTATTAAGCAAATTAAAGGTAATAGTAGAATTTCTGGGTTGAAATGATGGATTGAACATATGTATCTAACTTCACTTCCTCCTGAAATCCCACTAACCCTACAATAAACAGATTAATAAACAAACACAATTAGAAACCAACAAAGACAGAGAGAACAAGAGAGGAAAACAACAGCCACATTTTGAAAACTAGAAAGCCAGTGAGCTGAGGGGAACTGGTTTCGAAGACCCAAGAAAGGCAATTTCTACACCAGCAGAGAGGAGAGCTGAGAGCCAACTTGGTTTATGCTGCAGAACCTCAAAAAAGTACAGGAGCTGGCAATACCAGGGCCTCTGGCACTGGAGGAGAAAGGGAATGGACTAAGATCAGGGCTGCTGGAAGCTATTAGTCATCAACTGGATTCCTAGATGCCCTCCTAGTCCATGTGGCTGGGTGACAGCTCCACCCAAGGCCCACCCCTGTAAAACAGAACGTCTGAATTGGTGGATGCTGGGCATGGCTGAAGATGCAGCCTCCATACCAAGTGCACATGAATATTTTATTCAAATCCCACATAGCCTCCTACTGGGCTCTTAGAAGGCTAGCAGCCAGGCTGTTACTCTCCAAGAATAAACTGGAAGACTATTTCCTGGGTAATTTGGCTAGCCGTGAGGAAGTACCTGAAGTTATTGACAACAGGAGTTCCCTAATAAGTGGGTAACCTGATCATGCCAAGAAGGAGCACAAAGTCAGCAAGTCCCACTCGTATGCACAGAGCTTCCAATGTGTTTTTTTAGCTTCCATGTCTTAATTGCAAATAGATAAACAAGAATTGTTGAAAATTTGAGAAAACTGATCTGAGGAAACCAAAAGAAAGAGGAAAAAAGTAGTTTAGAGGAAACAGAGACTATGTAGAGAAAGAAAACTAAATTTAAAAAACAAAGATTGGACGGGTGTAGTGGCTCACGCCTGTAATCCCAGCACTTTGGGAGGCCGAGGTGGGCGGATCACCTGAGGTCGGGAGTTTGAGGCCAGCCTGACCAGCATGGAGAAACCCCATCTCTACTAAAAATACAAAAAATTAGCCAGGCGTGGTGGTGCATGCCTGTAATCCCAGCTACTAGAGAGTCTGAGGCAGGAAAATTGCTTGAACCTGGGAGGCGGAGGTTGCAGAGAGCCAATATTGTGCCACTATACTCCAGCCTGGGCGACAGAGTGAGACCCTGTCTCAAATAAAATGAAATGAAATGAAATCAAATCAAAAAAAATAAAATAGATAAAACAACAAAGATCAATGAGAGATATCAGATGATATCACATCCAGGAAACAAGAATAGGATGCTATAAAAAGTAACATTCAGGGCCGGGCACAGTGGCTCACGCCTGTAATCTCAGCACTTTGGGAGGCTGAGGTGGGTGGATCACGAGGTCAGGAGATCAAGACCATCCTGGCCAACATGGTGAAACCCTGTCTCTACTGAAAATACAAACAAATTAGCCAGGTGTGGCAGCCCTCGCCTGTAGTCAGCTACTCAGGAGGCTGAGGCAGGAGAATTGCTTGAATCCGGGAGGCAGAGGCTGCAGTGAACCAAGATGGTGCCACTGCACTCCTGCCTGGCGACAGAGCAAGATGCTGTCTCAAAAAAAAAAAAAAAAGAAAGAAAGAAAAAGAAAAGAAAAGAAAAAAGAAAAAGTAATATTCAGAGAGCAAAATCTCTTGAAAACATGAGTACAGAAAAACAAACCAACAAAAAACCAAACCTCAACACAATCCTAGAACTGCAATAAGGCAAGAAAAAGAAATAGAAAGCATAAAGATCAGAAAGGGTCCGGGCGCAGTGGCTCATGCCTGTAATCCCAGCACTTTGGGAGGAGGCCGAGGCAGGTGGATCACGAGGTCAGGAGTTCAAGACCACTCTGGCCAAGATGGTGAAATCCCGTCTCTACTAAAAATACAAAAATTAGCTAGGTCTGGTGGTGGATGCCTGTAATCCCAGCTACTTGGGAGGCTGAGGCAGAGAATTGCTTGAACCCAGGAGGCAGAGGTTGCCGTGAGCCGAGATCATGTCACTGTACTCCAGCCGGGGTGACAGAGCAAGACTCTGTCTAAAAGAACAAAAAACAAAAAAACCCAGAAAGGACTAAGTAAAACTGTATTTGTGTATGATATAATTATTCACATAGAAAATAATAAGAATCTGCAAAAACTGACTAGAATCAGTTAAACATGAATAGAGGGCCAGTGTACAAAAATAATTGTATTTCTATACAGTAGCAGCAAATATATTTTTTAAAAGTTAAATACCATAAAAAGGGCAAAAGATCTGAATAAACACCTCATCAGAGACTGTATATGGATAGAAAAGAAGCATATGAAAAGGTGCTCAACATCATACATTAGAGAATTACAAATTAGAATAACAATGAGGACCAGGACCGGTGGCTCACGCCTATAATCCCAGCACTTTGGGAGGCTAAGGTGGATGAATCACTTGAGCTCAGGAGTTCAAGACCAACCTGGACAACATGGTGGAACCCCTTCTCTGCCAAAAATACAAAAAATTATCCAGGCATGGTGGCCCGTACCTGTAGTCCCAGCTACTCAGGAGGCTGAGGCGGGAGCATCACCTGAGCCCAGGGAGGTCAAGGCTGCAGTGAGCAATGATCATGCCACTGCACTCCAGCCTGGGTGACAGAATGAGACCGTGTCTCAAAAAGCAAAATAAAACAAAAAACCAATGAGACAGCACCACACACTTATTAGAATGGCTAAAATCCAAAACACTGACAGTGCCAGATACTGGCAAGGATGTGAAACAAGAACTCTCGTTTGGCTGAGCATGGTGGCTCGTGCCTGTAATCCCAGCACTTTGGGAGGCCGAGGCGGGCAGATCATGAGGTAAGGAGATTGAGACCATCCTGGCTAACATGGTGAAACCCCATCTCTACTAAAAACACAAAAAATTAGCTGGGTGTGGTGGCGGGCGCCCGTAGTCCCAGCTACTCAGGAGGCTGAGGCAGGAGAATCACTTAAACCCAGGAGGCAGAGGTTACAGAGGTGCAGTGAGCCGAGATTGCACCACTGCACTCCAGCCTGGGCGACAGAGCAAGTCTCCGTCTTCAAAAAAAAAAAAGAACTCTCATTCATTGTTGGTGAGAATGTAAAATGGTACCACCTCATTGGAAGACAGTTTGGCAGTTTCTTACAAAACTAACCATACTTTTACTGTACAATCCAGCAATCACACATTTATCCAAGTAAGTTAAAGATTTATGTCTACACAAAAACCCGCAGATGGATGTTTATATCAGCTTCGTTCATAATTGCCACATTGAAAGCAAGCAAGATGACCTTCAATGACTGGATGGATAAGTAAACTATGGTACATCCAGACAATGGAATAGTATTCAGCCCTAAAAAGGAAATAAGTTGTTAAGCCATGAAAAGACCTGGAGGAACTTCAATACATATGGCTAAGTGAAAGAAGCCAACTGAAAGGCCATACAATGTATGATTCCATCTATACAACATTCTGGAAAAGGCAAAACCGTGGAGACAGTGAAAACTTCACTGGTTTCCAGGTGTTGGGGAGAAGGTTGATTCAGGCCAAGTCCCAGCTTTGTTGACAGGGACTGGGCCCCAGACCAGGACCTGTAGGGTCTTCTGGAATCCTGAGGACTCAGCCTCCCACCTGGGAGAGGGATCCAGGAGTGTATCTGGCAGCGCAGGAGGAGCCTCTTGAGTCAGTGTTAGAAGCCATGAGGCAGCTGGGTCCCTGATGGGCACACACTAGGGACTGGGCAGGTAGGATTCCAACCTGAGCCCCTCTGCTGTGCATCTTGGGCAAACTCTTAACCTCTCTAAGCCTCATCCATAGAGTGGAGGCTTTTTTTATTGAGGTAAAAATTACAAACAGTAAAATGCATATGCTTTGTAGGACAATTCAATTAGTTTTGACAAAGTATAACCAAGCCCAAATCAAGATCTAGAGCATTCCATCACTCCAGTGAATTCTCTCAGACAAGTCCCTGTCTCTCCATCCACAAGGCACTAATCATCTATCACCAGAGATTAATTTTGCCTTCTTGGACTTCCTACAAATGGAATCGTATGATATGTATTCTTCTGTGTGTTGCTTCCTTCCATGTAATGTTTCTGAGATTCATGCATATCACTGCATGTATCAGTACTTCATTCTTTTTTTTACACTTAAAAAAAATTTTTTTTTAGAAATGAGGTCTCGCTCTGTTGCCCAGACTGGAGTGCAGTGGCACAATCATAGCTCGCTGCAGCCTTGAACTCCTGGGCTCCAGTGATCCTCCCACCTCAGCCTCCTGAGTAGCTGGGACTGCAGGCCCATGCCACCATGCCCCACTAATTTTTTAATTTTTTGCAGAAATGGGGTCTCCCTGTGTTGCCCAGGATGGTCTTGAATTCCTGGGCTCAAATGATCTGCCCACCTTGGCTTCCCATGAAAGGGCAAGCCACCACGCCCGGCCCTTTCATTCCTTTTAGTTCATATCCATCATTGTATGTGCAGTGGCGCCATGTCAGCTCACTGCAACCTCCACCTCCCAGGTTCGAGCAATTCTCCTGTCTCAGCCTCCCGAGTAGCTGGGACTACAGGTGCACGCCACCACACCTGGCTAATTTTTTTGTATTTTTAGTAGAGACAGGGTTTCACCATGTTGGCCAGGCTGGTCTCGAACTCCTGACCTCCAGTGATCCACCTGCCTCCGCCTCCAAAAGTGCTGGGATTACAGGCATGAGCCACCGCGCCCAGCCCCATTTCTTTATCGCTTTACCTGCCTATGGGCAGGTGGGTGGTTTCCAGTTGGTGGTGATTATGATAAAGGTGCTAATAACATTTTTGTATAACTTTTTGTAGACGGGTATTTCCATTTCTGTTGGGTAAATACTTACACGATGGCCACAGAAGCACACCAGTCATATCTCCCTCAAGAGAACCTGCCACTGGGGGCCCAGGTGGCCAACAGCCAGCACTGCCCCTTGGGATGCACTTCTCTTAGCTCCTCCCCGCCCATGACTGGGGAGGGTGGGAGCTAGCTCTGGCCCATTCCAGTAGGACTCCCTACTGGGCTGTGGGCTCAGGGCCTCCCCATCAGCCTAGCTGAGACTTTCTCAGAGCTGCACTGAGACCTGAGGCTCGCTCTTTTCTCTTTCTTTCCTTTTTTCTTTTCTCTTTTCTTTTTCTTTCTCCTTTTTCTTTCCTTCCTTTCTTTATCCCCTCCTTCCTTCCTTCCTTTCTTTTTCTTTCTTTCTCTTTCTTTTCTTTCTTTCCTGCCCGCCCTCCTTCTCTTTCTTTCTCTCTCTCTCTCTCTCTCTTTCTTTTTTTGAGACACAGTCTTCTCTGTCACCCAGGCTGAAGTGCAGTGGCACGATCTCGGCTCACTGCAACCTCCGCCTCCCAGGTTCAAGAGATTCTCCTGTCTCAACCTCCCAAGTAGCTGGGACTGCAGGCGTCCCCCACCATACTTAGCTAATTTTTTGTATTTTTCGTAGAGATGGGGTTTCACCATCTTGGTCAGGCTGGTCTCAAACTCCTGACGTCAAGTGATCTGCCTGCCTTGGCCTCCCAAAGTGCTGGGATTACAGCCATGAGCCACCATGCCCAGTCTCTTTCTTTTTGTTAAAAACAGAGTCTCCCTCTGTTGTCCAGGTTGGAGTGCGGTGGCATGATCTTGACTCACTGCAACCTCTGCCCCCCAGGTTCAAGTGATCCTCGTGCCTCAGCCACCCAAGAGTAGCTGCGATTACAGGTGTCCACAACCACGCCCAGCTCATTTGTGTATTTCTAGTAAAGAAGGGGTTTCACTATGTTGGCCAGGCTGGTCTGCAACTCCTGGGACCTGAGGCTTTTTCTATCCAAACCTCCTTCCTTCCCCGCTCCTTGCACAGAGGTGAGACCTGTATTGACACCCGAGGGACCTCCCTGCTCCTCCCGCTTCCTCTCCTTATCCTTCACAGGCATTTCCTCCATAGCTCTCTTGCGTGTCTAATCCTGTCCTGGTGTCTTCTTGGAAGACTCACACTGACACCACCCAGGGGTGCAATGGTGGGCTCATGCATGGGCCACGTTTTGGGGAGGACAAGCCAGTGAGGCGGTGAGCGGGAAGCACCCTGCATGGGGCCAGCCCCCCACATGGCGCGGTCAGCTGGGAGTCTTGTCAGACAACGGAGGAGGTGGGTCTGCAATGCTACTTTGCAGGCTGGAGCTGGGGAGATCTTCTCTTGCCCACCCCAATGCTTCAGGCAGGAAGGTACAGGAAATCCCTGACACATGGCAGCCCTCAGGTTCTCCTGGCCCCAGAGCAGCAGTTTCAGAGCAGGAAAGGGCCTCAGAGGAGTCTTTGGAACATGGGGAAACTGAGCCCAGAGTGATGGTGCTGCGCTTGAGGTCGGCAGGCACTTGAGCCCATGGGTGCCTCAATGGCTTTGACTGATATAGGGACAGAAATAACACCTCAATGGCATTGCCTGCCTGAGTTTAAGGAGGCCCTGCAGGTGTGTGCACTCTGCTAGCTGCATTCAGCTCCATGCCACACCCAACCTGCCTACCCAATGCACCACCCACATTCACCAGTCTGTGGCTTTAAAGACTCAGGTGAGGCCTGGCATGGTGGCTCATGCCTGTAATCCCAGCACTTTGGGAGGCCAAGGTGGGTGAATCACCTGAGGTTAGAAGTTGGAGACCAGCCTGGCCAACATGGTGAAACCCCACCTCTACTAAAAATACAAAAACTAACCAGGCGTGGTGGTAGACTCCTGTAATTCCAGCTACCTGGGAGGCTGAGGCAGAAGAATCACTTGAACCTGGGAGGCAGAGGTCACAGTGAGCCAAGATCATGCCACTGCACTCCAGTCTGGGCAACAGAGTGAGACTCTGTCTCAAGAAAGGAAAGAAAGAATGAAAGAAAGAAATATATAGAGAGAAAAGACTCAGGTGAGCCGTTCCCTAACAGGCAGGTGATGGCGCAGGCCATCATGTGCTGTCTGCAAGGCTCTGAGATTCTCTGAGCTGCCGCGGGGGAAGAAAGGGAAAGTTGAAGGGGCTTCCGGAGGAAAGTTAGGGTCAGAGGCATTTGCTTTCAAGACTGAAGCAATTGCAAGAGTGTGGCAGGCAAAGGGGCAGAGTCTGAGGGGATTCAGTGGGAGAAAGTCCGAGAATCAAAAAAAAAAAACAGACGGAGGAAAAGAAGGAAGGGAAGAAGAAAGGAAGGAAGGAAAAGGGTGGAAGGAAGTTAAAAATAGACAAATCTCCTTGCTCTTTACAGGTCATAAACACTTTCCCACACACTAGCTTTTTCTTTTTTTTTTAGACAGAGTCTCGCTCTGTCGCCCAGGCTGGAGTGGGTGGCGCCATCTTGGCTCACTGCAACCTCTGCCTCCCAGGTTCAAGCAATTCTCCTGCCTCAGCCTCCCGTGTAGCTGGGACTACAGGTGCCTGCCACCACGCACGGCTAATTTTTGTATTTTTAGTAGAGACAGGGTTTCACCATGTTGGTCAGGCTGGTCTCCAACTCCTGACCTCAGGTGATCTGCCCACCTCAGCCTCCCAAAGTGCTAGTATTACAGGTGTGAGCCACCTCGCCTAGCTTCTTTTTTTTATTATTCAAATATTTATCGAGCAGCTAAGGAGATACAAAGGTGATTTAAAACATGGTCAGAGGTGAGGCAAATGCACAAGTAATAGAAAGCAAAGGGCAAGATTCACTGAATCACAGCAGTCAGAGAAAGTGCATTAGGGAACCAAGAGTGAGATTATTTCCAGCCTGAAGAGGCCTGGGTGGCAAATCAGAAAAGGGGATTGAGATGAAAATAGAAGACTATGGTCTGGATTGTTGATGACATTCAGTATGGGCTATATTTGTCTCTCCTTTTCCTTTCTCCCTATCTTTGGGCTTAATTTATCAGTAGTGCCCAGGACTGTTCAGTGCTTTTTCTATATTTGCTTGCTTTTTGCTTTGATATCTTCTACAGAACTAGGTCTTTGGTATTTTAGGAGTTTTTTCCTGTTTTTTTGAAGGATTCTTGTCTTTTTGATCTTGGTGTTGACGGTTTTGAGTCTTTTCCATTCTGATTTGACTTTTGTGCATTTTTGGCTGAAGTATCTCGTATAGATTTCTTCACTGGCACTTTTTCTTCAGTTTCCTCGTCATCTTCATCATCATCTTCTTCATCATCACCACCATCTTCATCTTCATCATCATCTTCTTCATCATCTTCATCTTCATCATCACCATCATCTTCATCATGATCATCATCATCTTCATCAGCAGCAAGTTTTACTTGTTTCTGTGGAACCTTGCTACCACCTCCAGGGACAGATTGCTTTCCAGATATACTTAAGAGTTTCGCACTCTCCTCCTCTTCATCTTCTGACTCTGCATCTTCCTCCACAGCTACTAAGTGCTGTCCACTAATATGCACTGGCCCTGAGCCACACTACAACTGTAAGACCACTGGTGGTGTGATTTCAAAGCCCCCAAGGGAAACCGTTGACTAAACAGACATTTTCAAAGTTGCCAGTGTTACTTCAATTGGACCGCCTTCTAATTCACTGCCTCTGCTTCAACAATGTGCAATCATCCTCTGCACCAGCCCATGAACTGACTGTTCTTAAAGATAACTGGTGCTCATTTTCATCATTATCCACCTTAAAGTGATCATCTTTGTTGGCCTTAAGTTCACAACTGAAAAGATAGTTCTGGGGCCTCAGAGGACTCATGTGCATGTCCATCGAATCTTCCATCGGGTGGCGGCATACACTTAGGTGGTAGAGAAGGCGGACGGAGATAAACGACCACTGCTCAAGAGAACAGCCCCGCAGGATGGAATCACACCAGCTTTCTTTTTCTTTTTTTTTTTTTTTTGAGACAGGGTCTGGTTCTGTCACCCATGCTGGAGTGCAGTGACATGATCTTGGCTTAATGCAAACTCTGCCTCCCAGGTTCAAGCAATTCTCATGCCTCAGCCTCCCAAATAACTGGAATTATAGGCGTGCACCACCACATCTGGCTAATTTTTGTATTTTTAGTAGAGACAGCATTTTACCAAGTTGGTCAGGCTGGTCTCAAACTCCTAGCCTAAAGTGATCCACCCACCTCATTAGGCAGGCAGATCAGGTCCTGCTGGCTGGCCTTTGAAGTCCTGCTTTTAACTTAGCCCCATGTCTGGGATGGGGCCAATTGAGGAGACCTCATGAGGCTAAACTAATCAATGCCCTGAAATGACATTTCTCTTATCAGTGGATCTTCCCCCTGGCTGCACTTCAGAATCCCTGGGGAGCTTTAGCAAATACCATGGCCAGGGCCCATCCCTAGGGCTTCTGGAGCAGGGCCGGGGCCAGTGGTAGGGTTCAAGAGCTCTGCAGGTGATTTTAATGAGCAGCCAGGGTTGAGACAGCCTCTGTGTGGCTGGCACATGGGAGGAGGTTGGCCAAGCCCACCGGAAGGATTCAGAGCAAGGAGGTAGCTGAGTGACAACTACCTGACCAAGAGGCAGAAGATGGCAGCCACATGTCCACGTCCACAGACACGCTGATGTGCCTGGAGTCTTGCCTCTGATGCTTCCCATCCACATAGTGGGCACCTTCCGGAGCAATCTTTTCCAGGGTCATAGGAAGAAGGAAGGCACGCAGGCGACAACCCCATTTTGGAAGGAATGAGATGTTCGGGGTACTTGTGACTGTTGGCCACGATGTCAAAGACTGAACCAGGTCCCTGCACACCTTTCAGAACGCAGTAAAACGTCCCTATCGGGGGGTACCTGGGCACGAGGACGGGAGAGTGTGCTGCTCCGGGGAAGCAGCTATTTTCCTGCTGGGTTCACCTTGCACCCCTAAGGGTGGCCCCATTACTTTGACTGAGTGATGGAGTGACTATGGCCACAGGCTTCTGGGCCAGGCCCTCCAAGTTCCAGTCCTGGCTCCATGCTTCAAGTCCCAACCTAAATGCATGCTAGATACTTTGACCCTCAGTTTCTTTAGCCATAAACAAAATCTAATAACAGTAGTTTTAGATTTAGATTTAGATTAACAGTAGGCTGTTCTGGGGAATAAACAAGATACCGGTGTGAGGAAGCCTGACCCTTCCTAAGGCTTGACAAACGTTAGCTATGGTTCTAAGCCTGAACGGACCATCCCAGGATAACCAGATCTCTCATCATTACAACATGCCAGGAATTGAAGTGGGCAAAAAACATCAGGTCAGACATGCTGGCGGGCCAAGGGCTTTGCAGCTTTCCACCAGACACTCAGACCGTCAGAGCTGGGGGCTTGGCAGCCTGCTGGCCAGGAGTTCCCGAACCTGGCTGTGCTTAAAAGAGAGACGAGGAGCTTAAAAGGCAGCAGACCAAAAAGCTCTCCGGGTCATCCTGATGGGTGGCCAGGTTTGTGGACAGCTGAGCTGCTCCAGCTCCCTTACCAAACGGCGGTGGTGGGGAGGTGGAGGCGCAGGGAGAAGTGATCTGTCCGAGTTCCTGAAGTCAGTCCGTGGCCATGCTGGGCCCAGCACTTGCCCTGTGACCCTCAAAGCCCCACCGTCTACCCTTCACTCAAGGGCTTCCTACAGCCGTGAGGATACAAGAGAACGCCTTGTGTCCTTGGAAGCATTTTTGTAATCTAAAATGTAGAAGAGTGCATTTCCTGCCTACATAGTTAAACACTTTCCTTTAGAAGAAAGGCTGGGGCCGGGCACAATGGCTGGCTGGGTGCAGTGGCTCATGCCTGTAATTCCAACATTTTAGGAGGCTGAGGCCGGCAGACTACTTGAGGTCAGGAGTTCGAGGCCAGCCTGGCTGACATGGGGAAACCCCATCTCTACTAAAAATGCAAAAATTAGCCAGGCATGGTGGTATGTGCCTGCAATCCCAGCTACTTGGGAGGCTGAGGCAGGAGAATCACTTGAACCCGGGAGGCAGAGGTTGCAGTGAGCCGAGATAGGGCCACTGCACTTCTGGATGACGGAGCAAGATTCTGTCTCAAAAATTAAATAAATAAAAGAAAAGAAAGTCAACTTCATGAAGTGCTATTTTAGCTGAATCTGAATAGAAGCCTTAACCTTATGGACAGAGAACTCCCTGGCTGGGAGGCTGGGTTGAGACCTTTACATTTGGAGGATTGTTTCCTGCAAATCAGGAAGAGGTGAGCTCAGCCGTCTGTTTTAGAATCCACTCTTTTCAGGAGGAGGGTAAATACCAGTCTGCTGTTTGGAAATGGAGCTTGGGTGTCAAATGACAGTCATTTCTCTTTAATGGCAGACATTTGTTAATGATTATATAAGTGTCCAGAGGTGAGGCTGCGACAGCCCGGACATCATTGATTTCCTAGAAATATATTTGTACTGAGGACCAGATGGCATTTGGACTGCAAGAGACACCGAGGCTCAGACAAGCAGGTCTTTGCTCCTGCCTCTCTCTCCTCCTGTTGGCCCAGCTGGCAGTGCCAGGAAGGGGCCCCTGTCCGCTGACTCCTGCACTGGTGGTCTCCTCCCCTGGGAGGGAGGGGTAGAGGAAGGGTTCATGGGACACACACAGGCCTCAGGGTCAGTCAGCTTCGGGATGATTCCTGGCTGGGTCACTTCCTCCCAAGTGGCTTTTGGCCAAGTGGGCCTCACTGTCATCACCAGAAAGCGTGGATAATGCCACCTATGTGGTGGAAGGAAGGTGTCCGCCCAGAGCCTGGCAGGCAGTGGGTGTGCCCTGAGTGACAGCAGCTATGGTCACCAGGCCTGGACTCCTCCCTGGCCTGACCTGTTTTGGGGCTGAGATGCTGGCTCACTGCCACGCTGTGCTCTAAAAAAGGAATGTGGTCTCAGGTCCTAGGCGGGGCAGGAAACAGAGACTGTCATTCCCAGCCCACGGGCTCCTCGCAGACCTCAGTCTCCCCGTGTAAGATGAGGGCCAGACGGAGGGTCTCTGGAGCTCTTCCAGCCTCAACAGGCTAAACATTTGAATGACTAGAGGCTTAGACTAGCCATCTCAACTCTGGCTGCTCGTTAAAATCACCTGCTGAGGCCGGGAGCAGTGGCTCACGCCTGTAATCCCAGCACTTTGGGAGGCCGAGGAGGGCGGATCACCTGAGGTCAGGAGTTTGAGACCAGCCTGGTCAAAATGGCGAAATCCCGTCTCTACTAATAATACAAAAATTATTCAGGCGTGGTGGTGGGCGCTGGTAATCCCAGGCACTTGGGAGGCTAAGGCAGGAGAATCGCCTGAACCCAGGAGGTGGAGGCTGTAGTGAGCTGAGATCGTGCCACTGTACTCCAGCCTGGGTGACAGTGAGACTTCGTCTCAAAAAATAAATAAAATTACCTGCTGAGCTCTTGAACCCTACCAGTGGCCCCAGGCCTGCTCCAGAAGCCCCGGGGATGGGCCCCAGCCCTACTCCAGAAGCCCTAGGGCTGGGCCCCGGCCGTGGTATTTGCTGAAGCTCCCCCGGGATTCTGAAGTGCAGCCAGGGGGAAGATCCACTGATAAGAGAAATATCATTTCAGGGCATTGATTAGTTTAGCCTCACGAGGTCTCCTCACTTGACCCTATCCCAGCTATGGGGCTAAGTTAAAAGCAAGACTTTAAAGGCCAGCCAGCAGGACCTGCTCTGCTGCCCTGGTTGGGAAGAAAACAGGTTGGAGGAGGCAGGAGACTTGCCTGGAGTCTGTTAGGGGAAGAGGTCAAGCATAACCTGGGCTGTGGGCCTGGTAGGGCTTCCTTGCACGTGGCCAGAGGGTCCTACTCCCAAGCATACCCACCCTGGGCTGGGAAGGGCAGCTCGCTCCAGGAGGGAATCCACAGTTCTTCCTACCTTTCCCCAGGCTTCTTTCCAACAGCAGGGCCAGCCAGGCGGCAGCCTCTGACCCCTTCCAGGTCTTTGGTGGTCTGCAAAATGCTAAGGATTGAGACCCCAGTGGTCTTTCCTTCTTTTTTTGGAGATGAAGTCTCGCTCTGTTGCTCAGGCTAGGCCTGAACTCCTAGGCTCAGGTGATCCTCTTGCCTCAGCCTCTCAATTAGGTGGGACTACAGGTGTGAGCCACCAGGCCCAGTGAGGCCCAATTACTTTAACAACATCATTACCATCCATTTCTTCAGGGCTGGCTCAGTAGCCAGCCAGTACTAACTACTTTACATACATTAGCCAAGGCCAGGGGTGGTAGCTCCCACCTGTAATCCCAGCACTTTGGGAGGCCAAGGCGGGAGAATCGCTTGAGCCCAGGTGTCCGAGACCTGCCTGGGCAACATGGTGAATACCCATCTCTATTTCATAAAGAAAGAAGCAGCTGGGTGCAGTGTCTCACACCTGTAATCCCAGCACTTTGGGAGGCTGAGGTGGAAGGATCACTTTAGCCCAGGAGTTTCCGACCAGCCTGGGCAACGTGATGCAACCCCATCTCTATAAAACATTTTAAAAGACAGCACAGTGGCTCACACCTGTAATCCCAGCATTTTGGGAAGTCGAGGCAGAAGGATTGCTTGAGCCCAGGTGTCTGAGACCAGCCTGGGCAACATAATGAGACTTCATCTCTACAAGTAATAAAAAAATTAGCCCAGTAGCTGTAGTTCCAGCTACTCAGGAGGCAGAGGTGGGAAAATCACTTCAGCCTGGGAGGTCAGGGCTGCAGTGAGCTA
The DNA here is from genome assembly GCF_000001405.40 of Homo sapiens. Classification (NCBI taxonomy): domain Eukaryota; kingdom Metazoa; phylum Chordata; class Mammalia; order Primates; family Hominidae; genus Homo; species Homo sapiens. The sequence goes on along the minus strand of NC_000010.11, from coordinate 124,862,639 downwards.
AGACTGCACCACTGCACTCCAGCCTAGGTGACAGAGTGAGACCCTGTCTCTTAAGTAAATAAATAAATAAGTAAAATAAATAAATAAAATCAGCTGGGCATAGTGGTGCACACCTGTTGTCCCAGCTACTCGGGAGTCTGAGGTGGGAAGATGGCTTGAGCACAGGACGTTGAGGTTGCAGTGAGCCATGTTCATACCACTGCACTCCAGCCCAGGTGACAGAACAAGGCCCTATCTCAAAAAAAAAAAAAAAAAAAAAAGGGTAAAAGAAAGAACTGAAAGAAAGAAAGAAAGAAACTTGATAACTAGCTCAAATCTCACTGAGAGTAAATTTGCCAAGCCAGAATTCACTCCTAGTGTCCTAGTGTGACGGGCCCAATTGTCCATGCCCCTTCTGCCAAACCACCCTGCTCCTGCTCCCAGTGTGGGTCTGAGTCTACCACTGCCTGAAAGTGCAACCTTGTTGGTGCACGTGAAGCTGGGGTTCAAGCTCTTCACAGCTAGTTCTTTCAGCTATGACCCACTTGCAGCAAAGCCCCACTCAAGAGCTCATCAAGGATTCTACTTCCAGTTGTGATGCAGTAGCTTTGAGCATGTCAATTGTCCCACTGAAAACAACTAGAAAAACCAGATAAACACACACACACGCATAATCTGCTTGAAAGTATTTGATAACTCCTGAGCAGCTAGAACTTAAAATAATAGTAAATACTTGATTTTTCCAAAGAAGGCAAAAAAAAAAAGAGAAAAAAGAAATAAAACAGGTAAGATAAAGAGAAAATAAATATTATTAAGGCGGGGTGCAGTGGCTCACGCCTATAATCCCAGCACTTTGGGAGGCTGAGGCGGGAGGATCACCTGAGGTCAGGAGTTTGAGACCAGCCTTGTCAAAATGGTGAAACCCCATCTCTACTAAAAATACAAAAATTAGCCAGGTGTGGTGGCACACACTTGTAATCCCAGCTACTCAGGAGGCTGAGGCAGGAGAATCGTTTGAACCTGGGAGGTGGAGGTTGCAGTGAGCCAAAATCGCGTGCCATTGCACTCCAGCCTGAGCGACAAGAGTGAAACTCCATCTCAAAAAAAAAAAAAAGTAAAAAGTAAGTAAATATTAAAACGCTCTATTTAAACACAAATATATCATCATATAAATGTAAATAGGCTAAACACTCCATTAAAATAACTTATGTTTTTAGTGGTTTGAAATAGAATGGTACATTCTTAGGACTGAAGCCCATAAAATTCTTCCATCTAAGACTGTATTGTTGATTTTTAAAAGGGATTGGAAAGTTGCTGACTATTCTGAACAATAGTGAAATAACAGGTTGAAAAAGAACATGTAGAGAATGACCTCAAAAAAGGTCAACACAAGGCTGAAAGCTGCCTCAAATCCACACCACAGGGGCACGCTAAAGGCAAGGAGGAGACCATAAAAGCAGCCAGAGAGAATGAATGGATCATGTTAAAAATGGCAGGCTGGCAGCAGCCTTACGAAGACATAGGGGAGTAGGCTAATGCCTTCCAGAGGGAGAAAATCACTCAGAATTGTAAATCCAGAAAAAGTATTTTTCTTTTCTTTTTTTTTTTTGAGACAGAGTTTCACTCTTGTTGCCCAGGCTGGAGTACAATGGCGTGATCTCAGCTCACCGCAACCTCCACCTCCCAGGTCCCGATTCAAGCAGTTCTCCTGCCTCAGCCTCCTGGGTAGCTGGGATTAAAGGCACGCGCCACCACACCCAGCTAATTTTTATATTTTTAGTAGAGATGGGGTTTCACCATGTTGGCCAGGCTGGTCTCGAACTCCTGACCTGGTGATCTGCCCACCTCGGCCTCCCAAAGTGCTGGGATTACAGGCGTCAGCCACCGCGCCCAGCCAGAAGAAGTATTTTTCAAAGGTGAAAATCAAAATAAAATTATTCAGAGAAACAAACCTGGGAGACATTACCACCAACAGAGATTCACTAGCGAAACTTCTGGGGCCGGGCACGGTGGCTCATGCCTGTAATCTCATCACTTGGGAGGCCAAGGTAGGCAGATCACTCGAGGCCAGCCTGGCCAACATGGCAAAAACCCACCTCTACAAAAAATACAGAAATTAGCCAGGCATTGTGGCACATGCCTGTAATCTCAGCTACTTGGGAGGCTACAGCACGAGAATCACTTGAACCCAAGAGGCAGAGGTTGCAGTGAGCCAAGGTTGTGCCATTGCACTCCAGCCTGGGTGACAGAGTGAGACCCTGTCTCCAAAAAAAGAAAACTTCTGGCTGGGCACAGTGGCTCTCGCCTATAATCCCAGCACTTTGGGAGGCAGAGGTAAGAAAATTGCTTGAGCCCAGGAGTTCAAGACTTGCCTGGGCAACATAGAGGGACCCCATCTCTACAAAAAATACAAAAATTAGCTGGGTATGGTGGTGTGCACCCATGGTCCTGGTAACTCCAGAGGCTGAGATGGGAGGATCACTTGAGCCCCAGAGGTTGAGGCTGCAGTGAGCCAAGGTTGTGCCATTGCACCACAGCCTGGGCAACAGAAAGAGACCCTGACTCAAAAAAAAAATGCTTCTAAAGGATGTACATTAGGAAGAGGAATGTGATCATGGCAGAAAGAGCTGAGATGCCGTAGGAGGAGGCAGTAAAGAACTGACAGACGTGACCCTCTGCAGCTCCAGGAACTGCCTCTCTAGTGATGGCAGCTTTAGTGCCAACTGTTCAGCCTTGCCTCACCCGTGAGCTTGACTTCCATGAGCAGGTTTTCATTATGAATCAACCGCTCTCTTAAGGACACTGCTTTCCAGAGCACTGATTCTTAAAGTGTGGTTCAGAGATTCCTTGGAGTCCCTGAGACATTTTCAGGGGGTTCATGATGTCCAAACTGCTTTAATAATAATATTAAATTGGCTGGGCACTGTGGCTCACACCTGTAATCCCAGGACTTTGGGAGGCTGAGGTGGTGGATCACCTGAGGTCAGGAGTTCAAGACCAGCCTGGCCAACATGGTGAAACCCTGTCTCTACTAAAAATACAAAAATTAGCTGGGCGTGGTGGCAGGCACCTATAATCCAAGCTACTCAGGAGGCTGACTCAGGAGAATTGCTTAAACCTGGGGAGTGGAGGTTGCAGCGACCCAAGATTGCGCCACTGCACTCCAGCCTGGGTGACAGAGCAAGATTCCGTCTCAAAAAAAGAAAATAATAATAATATTCTTAAATTGTTATTTACCTCTTTATACTCCTATTCTTTCCTGAGTGTATGGTGGAGTTTTTGAGGGGCCACAGATTGAATGTAGAAGCTAATATGAAAATCTGTCTTCTGTTAAGCCATACATTAAGGAGATTTATAAAAGTGTAAAATAATACTACTGTTCTCACTAAGTGTTTTTGTTTTAGAAAATGTAGTTACTTGGCTGGGCGCAGTGGCTCACACTTGTAATTCCAGCACTTCGGGAGGCCAAGGTGGGCAGATCCCTGGAGGTCAGGAGTTTGAGACCAGCCTGACCAACATGGCGAAACCCCGTTTCTACTAGAAATACAAAAATCAGCGGATGTGATAGTGGGCGCCTGTAATCCCTGCTACTCAGGAGGCTGAGGAACAAGAATCGCTTGAACCCGGGAGGTGGAGGTTGCAGTGAGCAGAGATCATGCCCAGCACTCCAGCCTGGGCAATGGAGTGAGACTCTGTCTGAAAAAAGGAAAGAAAATGTACTTTTCATTTAAAAAATGTTATTTGTGAGAGAAATTTAGAAGCTCAAAGAAAATTTAAAAATCTGAATACATATTCTTCAAAGCTACCCCCCAAAAACTAGGAAAAGAATATGAAAGACTGTTAGTTCGATGAATGACTAGGGAAGTTTTGTGTTCTACTGTGGGAAAACTTTTTCACAGTTGCTGGCAGATTATATTAATTTAAATTTTTATTTTTATTGTTCTCAAATAGCAGCTCTCAAATTTTTTGGTCCTAGGACCTCTTTAGACTCTTAAAATTTTTGAGGACTCAAAATTGAGGGCTTTTGTTATGTGGATTATATTTATCAATGACTCCTATTAAAAATGAAAATTAAGGACATTTTTATTTTATTTTATTTTATTTTCTAAAAAAGTAGAGATGGGATCTTGCCATATTGCCCAGGCTAGTCTCAAACTAATTGACTCAAGCACTCTTCCCACGCTGCCTCCCAAAGTGCTGGGTTTTACAGGCATGAGCCACTGCGCCTGGACAGAAAATTGAGGAAATTTTAAATTTTCATCAGTTCATTCTAAAATAACAATAAACCTGCTAATGTGAATACAAATAACATTTTTTTTTTTGAGACAGAGTCTCACTCTGTCGCCCAGGCTGGAGTGGCACCATCTCGGCTCACTGCAAGCTCCGCCTCCCGGATTCACACCATTCTCCTGCCTCAGCCTCCTGAGTAGCTGGGACTACAGGCACCCACCACCACGCCCAGGTAATTTTTTTTTTTGTATTTTTAGTAGAGACAGGGTTTCACCATGTTAGCCAGGATGGTCTTGATCTCCTGATCTCGTGCTCCGCCTGCCTCGGCCTCCCAAAGTGCTGGGTGGTGTGAGCCACCGCGCCTGGCCTCGATTTCTCTCTCTTTAAAAATGTTAGACACCATGCCCTAAAAAAGCTTAACAGCCCTCAACTGATCCATCCATAACCTGTCTACCATAAAACAGCTCAGCATTCTTTGAAGGAATACAACCAAATACAATACTCAAAAACACAAAATGTGCAATGTCCAGTACCTAGTTAGAAACTACCAGACATGCACAGAAGTAGAAATATGTGGCCCATAACTAGGAGAAAAATCAGTCATTAGAAATAGACCCAGTCAGGCACGGTGGCTCATGTCTGTAATCCCAGCAGTTTGGGAGGCCGACGTGGGCAGATCTCTTGAGCTCAGGAGTTCAAGACCAATCTGGGAAACATAGCGAAACCCTATCTCTACAAAAAATATATAAAAATTAGCTGGGGGTGGTGGTATATGCCTATAGTCCCAACTACTTGGGAGGCCGAGGCAGGAGGATTGCAGGGAGGTTCAAGGCTGCAGTGAGCCAAGATTGCACCACTGCACTCCAGCCTGGATGGCAGAGTGAGAAACTGCCCTGTCTCAAAAAAAAAAAAAAAAAAAAAAGAGAGAGGAAGAGAAAAAGACCTAAAAGGAAAGATTATTAAATTAGTATGTAAGGATAAACAGCTATTAGAAATGTGTTCAGCCGGGCACGTGGCTCACGCCTGTAATCCCAACACTTTGGGAGGCCAAGGCGGGTGGATCATGAGGTCAGAGATCAAGACCATCCTGGCTAACACGGTGAAACCCCGTCTCTACTAAAAATACAAAAAATTAGCCAGGTGTGGTGGCAGGTGCCTGTAGTCCCAGCTACTCAGGAGGCTGAGGCAGGAGAATGGCGTGAACCCGGGAGGTGGAAGTTCCAGTGAGCCGAGATCACGCCACTGTACTCCAGCCTGGGTGACAGAGCAAGGCTCCATCTCAAAAAAAAAAAAAAAAAAAAGAAAAAGAAAGAAAGAAAGAAATGTGTTCAATATGCTAAAGTATTTAAAGAAAAGAGGGGCCCAATGGAGACAGAAATTGAAGATCTGAAAGAAACCCTCATGGAAGTTCTAGAGATGAAAATTACAATGTTTCATCTAGAGATGAAATAAAATGTTACTGAATAGGTTTAAAAGCAAATAAAATATGACACAGGAAAAGATCAGTAAAGCTGAAGATGTAGCTACTACAAAAACTATCCAAATTGAAACACACAAAGAAAAAAAGACTGAAAGAAAGAGAACAGAACCTCGTGACTTGTGGGATAAAATTCTATAGCTTAACATTTGTTTAACTGGAGCCTCAGGAAGGGAGGGGAGAGGGCAAAAAAACTATTTGAAGAAATAATGATGGAACATTTTCCAGATTTGATGAAAAATTACTAACCCACAAATCCAGAAAATCTCTACAAGCTTCAAGCAAGACAGACACAGGGAAAACGACACCAAAGCACATTATAATCCACTTGATGAAAACCAGTGGTAAGAAAGGAGATCCTAGAAACAGCCAGAGTTGGCCAGGCACGGTGGCTCACGCCTGTAATCCTAGCACATTGGGAGGTTGAGGCGGGCAGATTGCCTGAGCTCAGGAGTTCGAGACCAGCCCGGGGAACATGGTGAAACCCCTTCTCTACTAAAAAAAGATCCAAAATAATTAGCCGGGTGTGGCAGCGTGTGCCTGTAATCCCAGCTACTCGGGAGGCTGAGGTAGGAGAATTGCTGGAACCCAGGAGGCGGGGGTGGTAGTGAGCTGAGATGGCGCCACTGCACTCCAGCCTGGGCGACAGAGCGAGACTCCATCTCCATAAAAAAACATAGTAATAATAAAAGGAAACAGCCAGAGCTTTTTTATTTAAAAAGCACATTAGGAACAGAGGAACAAAGATAAGAACGGTGGTAGACTTTCATCAGAAACTTTCTAGGCCAGGAGATAATGGAAAAATATCTCCAAAGTACTGAAACAAAAAAGTCATCAAACTACATTTCTATGTACAGTGGAAATGTCTTTTTTTTTTAAATATCTTTTTTTAGGCCGGGCATGGTGGCTCATGCCTGTAATCCCAGCACTTTGGGAGGCTGAGGCAGGCAGATCACCTGAGGTCAGGAGTTCGAGACCAGCCTGGCCAACATGGTGAAACACTGTCTTTACTAAAAATACAAAAATTAGCCAGGTGTGGTGGTGAACCTGTAGTTCCAGCTGAGGCAGGAGAATAGCTTGAACTCAGGAGGCGGAGGTTGCAGTGAGCTGAGATCGCGTCATTGCATTCCAGCCTGGGCAACAAGAGCGAAACTCCATCTCAAAAAAAGAAAGAAAGAACAAGAAAATATCTTTTTTTAAATGAAGGCAACATAAAGGCCCTTCTCAAAGGAAAGAAAAAAAAGCCAGGCAAGGTTGCATGTACCTGTAATCACAGCTACTCAGGAGGCTGAGGCAGGAGGATCGCTTGAACCCAGGAACATGAGTCAACCTGGGCAACATAGTGAGACCTCATCTCTAAAAGAAAAGAAAGAAAGCCAAGGGAATTGATCACTAGCAGACCTGATCTGCAAGAAATGTTAAAAGCAATTTTTCAGGCAGAAAGAAAATGATACATGATGGAAATGCAAATCTACACAAAAAATAGAAGTGCCAGAAAGAGTTAATATTTGAGCAAATACAAAATTTGCAGTGTTCAGATAAAGCTGTACTTAGAAAGACATTTATAGTATTAAAGACATATGTTAGAAAACAAGAAAGGCTTTATCCATTACAAGAAACTAGGAAAAGGTTAACAGTAAGTAAAATTCAAGTAAAATAGAAGAAAGCAAATAATAAAGATATAAGCAGAAATTAATGAAATAAGAAATGTGGTTGGGGGTGGCGGCTCATGCCTGTAATCCCAGCACCTTGGGGGACTGAGTGGGAAGGATCACTTGAGCTTAGGAGTTCCAGCCAGCCTGGGCAACATAGGGAGACGTCTGTACCAAATGAAAAAAGATTACCCAGGCCGGATGGCACGAGCCTGTAGTGCCAGCTATTGGGGAGGCTGAGGTGGGAGGCTCGCTTGAGCCCAGGAGGTTGAGGCTGCAGTGAGCCATGATCACCCCACTGCACTCCAGCCTGGGCAACAGCATGAAAACCTGTCTCAAAAAATGTGCAGTTGAGGGCTGGGCAAGGTTGTTCACACCTGTAATCCTAGCACTTTGGGAGGAGAATCACTTAGGCCCAAGAGTTGGAGATCAGCCTGGGCAACATAGCTAGACCCCATCTCTACCAAAAAAAAAAAAAGAAAGAAAGAAAGAAAAGAAAGGAAAACAACTTAGCCAGATGTGGTGGTGAGCCCCTATAGTCCTAGCTACTCATGAGGCTAAGGCAGGAGGATTGCTTGATCCTAGAAGTTTGAGGTTGCAGTGAGCCATGATCAGGTCTCTCTTACACACACACACACACACCAGTTACATATGGCTTTACCAGATAATTATTTCAAAGAGTTTAAGAAAAAATAACCCCAATGTTAAACAAACTCTTCCAGAGAATGGTAATAGATGGAACACTGGCCAGCTGATTTTACAAAGCCAATACAACCTTGATTTTAAAATCTGATAAGGATGTTATAAAAAAGGAAAATTACAGGTGAATCTTTCATGAACATGGATGTAAAGTCCCTTAGCAAAATATTAGCAAATGAAATCCAGTAAAATATGAAAAGGTGAATACCTCTAACAAGAAACTTAGTTTATTCTATAAATGAAAGATTATTTTAACATTTAAAAATCAATATAATTTACCACATTTAACTCAAAAAGGGGGAAACATTATATGTGTTTGATAACATTTCATATTCATTTGTAGTAATAAAAAGAAACTTACCAGAAAACAAGGAATAAGGCTGGGTGCAGTGGCTCACGCCTGTAATCCCAGAACTATGGGAGGCTGAAGTGCATAAATGGCTTAAGCCCAGGAGATAGAGACAAGCCTGGGCAACATGGCAACACCCATCTCTACACAAAATACAAAAATTTTTGTGTACAAATACAAAAAATTTTGTGACCGGGCATGGTGTCACGTGCCTGTGGTCCCAGCTACTCAGGAGACTGAGATGGGAAGATGGCTTGAGCCTGGGAGATGGAGGCTGCAGCGATCGCACCACTGCACTCCAGCCTGAGCGACAGAGTGAGACCCTACCTTAAAAAAAAATAGAAAAAGGTAGAGAGAAAGAAAAACAAAAGGAATAAAAGATTATAGAAAGTTAAGGAAACATCCTCAGTCTGATAGAATATCTGCCAAACAAGAAATCTAGAGAAAATATCTTTGTATGTATGTATGTATGTATGTATGTATGTATGTATGTATGTATTTACTTATTTGAGACAGAGTCTTGTTCTGTTGCCCAAGCTGGAGGGTAGTGGCAGGATCTTGGCTCACTGCAACATCCGCCTCCAAGGTTCAAGCGATTCTCATGCCTCAGCCTCCTGAGTAAACTGGGATTTCAGGCATGCGCCACCATGCCCGGCTAATTTGTGTGTGTGTGTATTTTGTAGAGATGGGGTTTCACCACATTGCCCAGGCTGGTCTCGAACTCCTGAGCTCAAGCAATCCACCTGCCTCAGCCTCCCAAAGTGCTGGGATTACAGGTGTGAGCCACCGCACCTGGTCAGGAATCACCTTACTGAATGTGAAATATTGAAAGCTTTCTCTCTGAGATCAAGTTTGAGACTAATACTTCTTTTTGTTTGTTTGTTTGTTTTTTGAGACGGAGTTTCACTCTTGTTGCCCAGGCTGGAGTGCAATGGCATCTCTACTAAAAATACAAAATTAACTGGGCGTGGTGGCAGGCGCCTGTAATTCCAGCTACTTTGGAGGCTGAGGCAGGAGAATCGCTTGAACCCGGGAGGCGGAGGTTGCAGTGAGCCGAGATCGCACCACTGCACTCCAGCCTGGGGAACAAGAGCGAGACTTCATCTCAAAACACACACAGGCACACACACACATGGACAGCTAGTTCATGGATTAGAAGACTCAATATCGTAAAGATGTCAATTCTTCCCAACTAGTCTATAGATCCAATGCAATATTTTAAAAATCTCAGCAAGATTATTTGGGGGCATGCAGAAGTTGACAAGCTAATTCTGACACATATATAGAAATGCAAACAGCCAAGAGTGACCAAGAGCAAAGCTCCAGGATTCATACTACCAGACATTAACAGTTATTGCTAGCCTACATTAAGATAAATAGGCCTCGGCTAGGTGCAGTGGCTCACACCTGTAATCCCAGCACTTTGGGAGGCTGAGGCAGGCAGATCACCTGAGGTCAGCAGTTTGAGACCAGCCTGCCAACATGGTGAAACCCCGTCTCTACTAAAATACAAACATTAGCTGGGCGTGGTGGCAGGCGCCTGTAATCCCAGCTACTCAAGAGGCTGAGGCATGAGAATAGCTTGAACCCAGGAGGTGGGGGTTGCAGTGAACCGAGATTGGGCCACTGCACTCCAGCCTGGGGGACAGAGGAAGACTCTGTCTCAAAAAAAAAAAAAAAAAAAAAAACAAAGCTCAGAAACAGATCTGTGTTTGATTTGATTTATGACAAATGTAATAATTCAGGGCAGTGGGAAGCGGTAATTTTTAGCAACTGGTGCTGAATCATCCAGACATTCTTTTGTTTTGAGAGAGGGTCTCACTCTGTCACCTAGGCTGGAGTGCAGTGGCTATTCATAGGCACAATCAGAGCACACTGCAGCCTCGTCCTCCTGGGCTCAAGCATTCCTCCCACCTCCACCTCCCAAGTAGCTGGGACTACAGGTGCATGCCACCGTGCCTGCCTAATTTTTTTTGTATTTGTAGGGATGGGGTTTCCCCATGTTGCCCAGACTGTCTGAATATTCATAGGGAAAAAGTAAACGTTGGCCTTTAGATTACAAAACATAAAAAAAATTTGACCATTCCTTCATACCATATACAAAAATAAAAATGTGAAAAGTTAAAACAATAAATCTTCTTGAAAAAAACAAACAAAACAAACTCAAAGTTTCATGGCCTTGGATAGGTAAAGATTTATTAAACAAGATACAAAAACAGCCATAAAGGAAAACAATTGGTAAATTATATTAGATTGTAATGGTGAATTTCTGTTAAGCAAAAATCATCTTTAAGAGAGTAAAATGGCCTGGAGAGGTGGCTCACACATGTAATTTCAACCTTCAGGAGGCTGAGGTAGAAAGATTGCTTGAGTCCAGGAATTCGAGAACAGCCTGGGCAACATAGCACAACCTTGCCTCTACTGAAAATTTAAAAAAATTAGCCGGGAGTGGTGGTGTGAGCCTGCAGTCCCAGCTGCACGAGAGAATCACTTGAGCCTGGGAGGTGGAGGCTGCAGTAAGCTATGATTGCACCACTGCACTCCAGCCTGGGTGACAGAGCAAGACCCTCTGTTTCAAAAAAAAAAGAGTAAAAAGACAAGCTACTAAATGGGAGAAAGAAGATAGTTGGTATGTATACATATGTATGTATACCAACACACACATATATATATACACATTCACATGCATATATATCTTAAACCTCGTATCTGGAATATATATGAAGTCTGCAAATCAATAAGAAAAAGGCAGACAACATGACAAAAAAACAGGTGCAGGACCAAATAAGCTCATCAGTCTCTGGGGCAATGCAACTGCAAATCACAGTGATCTGCAGGCTAAGCAGAATGGCTAAAATGTTTTAAACTGGCAATACCAAATGTGGTTGAAGATGGGGTTGCTGGAATGCCCATACTTTGCTGTGGGAGTGTGACTTGGTGGGACAACTTTGGGAAACTGTTGGCTTCTACTAAAGCTGAACATTTGCAGCCTTTCTGACCAGCAATTCACTCTTAGCTATCTATATACCCCAAATATATGCAGACATCTGACATACATTTACCAAAACACATGATGAGAATGTTCACACCTGCATTATTTGCACCCACCTTTCAAAAGTCTCAAATGTCCATCAACAGTTGACCATTGGGTACTCAACAACCTGAATGAATCATACAAGCATCATGTTGGGTGAAAGAAGTAGGAAAGTCTATAACCAAACAAAATCATTTTTTTTTTTTTTTGAGATAGAGTTTCGCTCTTGTTGCCCAGGCTGGAGTGCAATGGCACAATCTCAGCTAACCACAACCTCCGCCTCCTGGGTTCAAGCGATTCTTCTGCCTCAGCCTCATGAGTAGCTGGGATTACAGGCATGTGCCACAACGCCCAGCTAATTTTGCATTTTTAGTAGAGACATGGTTTCTCCATGTTGGTCAAGCTGGTCTCCAACTCCCGACCTCAGGTGATCTGCCTACCTTGGCCTCCCAAAGTGCTGGGATTACAGGCATGAGCCACCGTGCCCGGCCCAGACAAAATCAATTTATGTTGATAGAGGTTAACAGAGTGAGGGTAACAACCAAGAGGGGACATGAAGGGAAATTGTGAGGCACAGGCATGTTGTTTTATTTTGTTTTGGTTTGAGACAGAGCCTCATTCTGTTGCCCAGGCTGGAGTGCAGTGGTGCCATCTCGGCTCACTGCAACCTCTGCACCCCGGGTTCAAGCAATTCTCCTACCTCAACCTCCAGAGTAGCTAGGATTACAGGCGCTTTCCACCCCGCCCGGCTGCTCTGTCGCCAGGCTGGAGTGCAGTGGTGTGATCTGGCCTCACTCCAACCTCCGCCTCCCAGGTTCAAGCAATTCCCCTGCCTCAGCCTCCCAAGTAGCTGGGACTACAGGCATGCACCACCACGCCCGGCTAATATTTTTTTTTTTTTTGTATTTTAGTAGAGATGGGGTTTCACCATGTTGGTCAGGATGGTCTTGATCTCCTGACCTCAGGTGATCTGCCTGCCTCAGCCTCCCAAAGTGCTGTGATCTCGACTCACTGCAACCTCCATCTCCGGGTTCCAGCAATTCTCATGCCTCAGCCTCCCAAGCAGCTGGGATTACAGGCACGCACCACCACACCCAAATACAAAAATACTAATTTTTGTATTTTTAGTAGAGACGGGGTTTCGCCATGTTGGTCAGGCTGGTCTCCAACTCCTGACCTCAGGTGATCCACCTGCCTCAGCCTCCCAAAGTGTTGGGCCTACAGGAATGAGCCACCAAGCCCGGCCAATGTTTTGTTTCTTAATGTTCGTGCCAGTCACATAGGTATGTTCACTTTGTGAAAATCTGACAAGCTATACATTTATGATTTGTGTCCTTTTTTGTATATATGTTACACCTTGATAAAAATTTACTCGAACAAAAGAGAAGGGGAGTGAAGGGGTGGGGAGAGAGGGAGGGTTGGAGAACAGAGAGAAAGAGTGAAGGAGGGAGAGAAGATGCTAACAAAACGGGGCTGCACATGAGTCCCACCTGCTCTCCAGGTGCCTGGAGCACCCTCTCCCAGCGTCTGCTCAGGCACAGTGCACTCAGGCCGGGTCGGCAGCAGATGGCTAGAGCAAGGTGCCAGGGCTCTCTCTCGCCATCCTCTTTCTCCTGAGGGCTTGGATGTCACTCAGCCTCGCCCATAACTCTGTGCCCACTCTCCCTGGGTGGGTGGAGATTTGAATGCCAGCCTCCGGATGAAGAAGGGGATTAATTTGATCCTCCACCTGGGTACCTCTGAGCAGGCAGGCCGAGGACTGAGCAAGTGGAAGGTGTGGATGAGCTGCAGAAATGAGGTTGGCTTCTGCTTGATGCAGCCTTCCCTGTCACGTCCTGAGCAGGGGGAGGAGTGTGCTTGTCAGGACAAGGGTCACCGAGATTGCAGCTGCCCCAGGCGAGCTCCCCTTATGCTTCCCGCTCTGGCCTGTCTGCATCCAAGGTGCCAGGACACTGTGAAGAGCGTCCCAGGCTGGGCTGAGGACAGCCACGCTTCCTGAGCAGGATGCCAAGCCCCGTGGGGCCCAGAGCAAATGCTCCAGCCTGTCCTTTGTTTATTTCAATCTGGGACAAATGTTGCCGGAGAGGATCTCTACTATCCTTTCCTGTGCTGACATTCTCCAAGCCCGTCATGGTCTGGAGCAGACACAGCTGTAAGAGGAGGCAGGAGGCCTGGGCTCTGGGTCTTTCAGTGGCTTTGTGACCTTGGGCCCATCATCATGCTACTCTTGCCTCGGTTGTTCCCTCTTTGTGAAATGAGGGGTCAGCATCCTATGTCATCCAATTTGGTAACCATTAGCCATATGGCATGCAGCTTCTTAAATCTAGATTTAAATGAATTAAAATTGAATGAAATTTAAAACTTGGGCCAGGTGCAGTGACTCACACCTGTAATGCCAGAACTTTGAGAGGTGGCGGTGGATCGGAAGGGGGGGTGGATCGCTTGAGGCCAGGAGTTCAAGGGCAACCTGGGCAACAAATTGAGACCTCGTTTTTTTCTTTGTTTGTTTGTTTGTTTTCGAGACGGAGTCTTGCTCTGTCACCCAGGTTGGAGTGCAATGGCTCGATCTCGGCTCACCACAACCTCTGCCTCCCAGGTTCAAGCCATCCTCCTCCCGAGTAGTTGGGATTGCAGGCGCACGCCACCACACCCTGCTAATTTTTCTATTTTTAGTAGAGACGGGGTTTCACCATGTTGGTCAGGCTGGTCTCGAACTCCTGATCTCGTGATCCGCCCGCCTCGGCCTCCCAAAGTGCTGGGATAACAGGCGTGAGCCACTGCGCCTGGCCCCAAGACCCCCGTTTTTACAAAACAGGGTCTCTCCCCCAGGCTGAAGTGCAGTGGCACCATCTCAGCTCACTGCAACCTCCACCTCCTGGGTTCAAGCAACTCTCCCTGACTCAGCCTCCCGAGTAGCTGGGATTACAGGTGCCCACCAGCATGCCCGGCTAACTTTTGTAGTTTTAGTAGAGACAAGGTTTCACCATGTTGGCCAGGCTGGTCTCGAACTCCTGACTTCAGGTGATCCACCCACCTCGGCCTCCCAAAGTGCTGGGATTACAGGCGTGAGCCACCACACCCGGCCAAAATTTTTCTTTTTTAAATTAGCCAGTCATGGTGGCACATGTCTGTAGTTCCAGCTGCATAGGAGGCTAAGGTAGGAGGATCATTTGAACCCACGAGGTCGAGGCTGCAGGGAGCCATGATTGCACTACTATACTCCAACCTGAGTGACAGCAAGATGCTGCCTCAAAAAAACCTCAATTCTTTCGCCTTGCTAGCTGCGTTTCAAGTGCTCAGTAGCAACGTGTGACTGACTGCTGGCTCCTGTACTAAATAGTGCAGTTCCTTTTTTTTTTTTTTTTTTTTGAGACAGAATCTCCCTTTGTCACCCAGGCTGGAGTGCTGTGGTGTGATCTCTGCTTACTGCAACCTCCGCCTCCCAGATTCAAGTGATTCTCCTGCCTCAGCCTCCTGAGTAGGTGGGATTACAGGCACTTGCCACCACGCCCAGCTAATTTTTTATATTTTTGGTAGAGATGGGGTTTCACCATGTTGGCCAGGTTAGTCTCAAACTCCTGACCACAAGTGTTCTGCCCGCCTCGGCCTCCCAAAGTGCTGGGATTACAGGCATGAGCCACCACACCCGGCCATGTGGTTATATGACCTTTTAAAATTTTTCTGGGCTGGGCGTGGTGGCTCACGCCTGTAATCCTAGCACTTTGGGAGGCCGAGGCGGGTGGTTCACGAGGTCAGGTGTTCAAGACCATCCTGACCAACATGGTGAAACCCCGTCTCTACTAAAAACACAAAAATTAGCTGGGTGTGGTGGCAGGTGCCTGTAGTCCCAGCTACTTGGGAGGCTGAGGCAGGAGAATCACTTGAACCCGGGAGTCAGAGGTTGCAGTGAGCCGAGATCACGCCACTGCACTCCAGCCTGGGTGAAAGAGCGAAACTCCGTCGCAAAAAAATAAAATAAAATTTTTCTGAGCAAAGTTTGCCCAAAGCCCAATCTAATCAACAGATAAAATGAGGAAGAGGTGGCCTGATCCCCCCGTGTTTCCCACAATGATCCCCAGCCTCCTTCGTGGGGCCCCACCTGAAAAGAAGGTCTGAGCACAGCAGTCCTAAGCTTACAACACCAGTTGACCTCTGGTCTATAAAACAATGCCTCTTGGAAGAAGACTTAGTTCAAGACAACAGTAGCCACAACTTATCAGAGTTTATTGTCTTCCAGGCTTGTTTTAAGGCTTCTACACTCTAACTCACATAATCCTTCAATATCCTACGAAAAAAGTATTACCATCCATCCATATTTACTGTACCTATAGATGAGGCTCAGAAAGGTTGAGTAACTTGCCCAGGGCACACAGTTATGGAAATGGCAGGGCTGAAATTCAAGCCCCAGGTGAGTCTGACTCCAAAGCCCACTGTTGTAAGCTACTTCCCAGACCTGGGATGGAGGGCCAGGAATCTCCTGAGGTCACCACACCAGAATGCGGGTCTCCATCACCACTGGACAGCGAGTGAGTGTGTACAGAGAATCTTGGTGTTTCCCCGGGACAGAGGTGTGCTTGGGGAAAAGGGGCTCAGGAGAGAAGCCAGGGCTGAATGGACAGGGAATCAATCCTTCCAGCTGGACCAAAGCTGATGGCCTGGGGAAGTGGTGGGGAGCAGAGATAGTCCCTCCGCTCTGAAAGGAAAGAGGATGGGAAGTCTGCTCTTACAGAACACCCCGTGGCAGGAGGGATGGCCCCCATTACTTGGAGGACACACTGGCTTAAGGCATTTTGAGGAGGCCAGCTCTGGTTTCCTCGCCTCCTGCCACACCCTCCCAGTGGATTTCTCCCCTGTGGTTCTTCTTTAAGCCACAGTCGCTGTTCATCCAGGAGTGTTCAGTTCTTCTCGTCTGTAAAGCCTGTAAGTGATTACACTGAACATAGAGTTGTACTGGCCTGGATGGCCCAGGATGCTACAAGGCTTTGCCAATGTCTCCCGGGGGAAAAACAAGCTACTATAGCAGGGTGGACGGCGTCCTACAAAACCACCATTCCCTTAATACCATTTGATTTGGATCCTTGGATTCAGTTTACACAGAGGTCAGGTGACCAACCATCTAGAGGAGTTTCCAGGACCTGGAGATGTCAATGCTAAAACCAGGAGGATCCTGGCAAACCAAGACAGTTGGTCACCCTCACGAGTGGCTACTGTCCAAGAAACTCATCCTTACTTTCAAAATGCTGCTGGTCCCATGGACTTCATCACCGGAGGTCATTTTTAGAAATGTCAACTGGAGAATGAGGATGAGGATGGCGGCCATGCGTCCATGCTGCTGACGGCCAGGCAGGACCACAGAGTCGCCCAGGTCATCGATGCACACGAACATGTCCATGCACCCAGGAGCTTGGAACCCCTCAGTCAATACCATGCAGTTGTGAAACCGGAGGAAAACTGTGGCATGGGCTGAATGCGGTGGCTCACACCCGTAATCCCAGCACTTTGGGAGGCTGAGGTGGGCAGATCGCTTGAGCCCAGGAGCTAGAGACCAGCCTGGGCAACATAGTGAGACCTCATTTCTACAAAAAATTTAAAAAATTTTTTCTTTTGAGATGGAGTCTCGCTCTGTCACCCAGGCTGGAGTGCAGTGGTGAGATTTCGGCTCACAGCAAGCTCCGCCTCCCAGCTTCACTGCATTCTCCTGCCTCAGCCTCCCAAGTAGCTGGGACTACAGGCGCCCGCCACCATGCCTGGCTAAATTTTTGTATTTTTAGTAGAGATGGGGTTTCACCGTGTTAGCCAGGATGGTCTCGATCTCCTGACCTTGTGATCCACCTGCCTCAGCCTCCCAAAGTGCTGGGATTACAGGCGTGAGCCACCGCGCCCAGCCTAAATTTTTTTTTTTTTAATTAGCCAGGCTGGCCTGGGATAACAGGCATTAACCAACATACCTAGCCAAAATTTAAGATTTTTTTTTTTTGAGACAGAGTCTCGCTCTGTCACCCAGGCTGGAGTGCAGTGGCACGATCTCGGTTCACTGCAAGCTCTGCCTCCGGGTTCACGCCATTCTCCTACCTCAGCCTCCGGAGTAGCTGGTACTACAGGCGCCCGCCACCACGCTTGGCTAATTTACAGGCATGAACCACAAAATTTAAGATTTTAAAGATATATAATGCTTTCTGTTGTCCTATGAATAATACTTGAAATAACATACTGAGGCCGGGCACAGTGGCTCACGCCTGTAATCCCAGCACTTTGGGATGCTGAGGTGGGCGGATCACGAGGTCAGGAGCTCGAGACCATCCTGGCTAAAACGGTGAAACCCCATCTCTACAAAAAATACAAAAAATTAGCTGGGCGTGGTGGCGGGTGCCTGTAGTCCCAGCTACTCGGGAGGCTGAGGCAGGAGAATGGAGTGAGCCTGGGAGGCGGAGCTTGCAGTGAACCGAGATCGTGCCACTGCACTCCAGCCTGGGCGACAGAGCAAGACTCCGTCTCAAAAAAAAAAAAAGAAAAAAAAAGAAATAACATACTGAGCTTTATTGTTGACTATTCAAAAGAAATTATTCCATTGAGAAGAATTTACAAGTAAACATTATTGATTTCATGTAGATAGTGTCAGTGTAATGTTACAAAGAAAGTCTAAAGTTTTGGCTAGAGTTTAGAAAATTTTCTGGATGTTTTCTTTTCTTTTTTTTTTTCTTGAGACAAAGTCTCGCTCTTGTCCCCCAGGCTGGAGTGCAATGGGGTAATCTCGGCTCACTACAACCTCCCGGGTTCAAGTGATTCTCCTGCCTCAGTCTCCGGAGTAGCTGGGATTACAGGCACCTGCCACCACGCCTGGCTAATTTTTGTATTTTTAGTAGAGATAGGGTTTCACCATGTTGGCCAGGCTGGTCTCTAACTCATGACCTCAGGTGATCCGCCCGCCTCAGCCTCCCAAAGTGCTGGGATTATAGGCGTGAGCCACCGCACCCAGCCTTGGATGTTTTCATATGATACTAAATGGAATATATTCAATTATTTGTCAATACTGTAATAAAAGATATGTCAGTTAAATCACCTTATATCTTTTTATAAAAAATTATATTTACGACTCTATCAAATAGAGAAAATTAAATATTAAAAGAGCTGAGAACCTAAAAATTAAAAATTAGAATATTTAGACCTCAGTGGGCAATCTGAGGTGCTAGAGCTACAAAAGTAGCTTGGAAATTGAGTCTTCAATATTCCCTTTAATGGAATTTATAAAAGAGAAGTAGTTAAATGTCTGGCCAATGGAAACACTTAAAGAGAAGTGGCTTTGGTAAATGATAGTCTTTTATTTATTTATTTATTTTGAGATGGAGTCTTCCTCTGTTGCCCAGGCTGGAGTGCAGTGGTGTGATCTCAGCTCATTGCAACCTCTGCCTCCCAGGTTCAAGCAATTCTCCTGTCCCAGCCTCCCGAGTAGCTGGGAATACAGGCATCTGCCACCATGCCAGGCTAATTTTTGTTTGTTTTTTGTTTGTTTGTTGTTTTGAGACAGAGTTTCACTCTTGTTGCCCAGGCTGGAGTGCAATGGCGTGATCTTGGCTCACCGCAACCTCCGCCTCCCAGGTTCAAGCGATTCTCCTGCCTCAGCCTCCTGAGTAGCTGGGATTACAGGCATGCATCACCATGCCCAGGTAATTTTGTATTTTTAGTAGAGACGGGGTTTCTCCATGTTGGTCAGGGTAGTCTCGAACTCCCAACCTCAGGTGATCCACGTGCCTCAGCTTCGCAAAGTGCTAGGTAAAGATGGGGTTTCACCATGCTGGGCTCAAACTCTTGACCTCAAGTGATTCGCCTGCCTCAGCCTCCCAAAGTGCTGGGATTATAGGCATGAGCCATGGCACCCAGTAATAAATGATATTCTAACAGAGATGTCAGTAGTTTAAGTCTATGAGGAAGAAATTATTAAAGTTGACAAAATAATAGAAGTGATTGGATATATAAAACTGATAAAGCTTGAAAAGGCAGAAATCATTAGAAAAACAAAAAATATAAGAGCCTTTTGAAATAATAAAGTGCCAATTCCCACAAAAACTATTAAATTGTCTAACAAACTACATGAGAACATATTTGCTGTTTTATGATAAACATAAACAAATATAGTTAGCTTTGAGGTCTTTTAATTTACTTAATCCTGACATTTGGCCAGCTGACGTTTGCAAAGCTCTGTGGATTTTAAATAAACAAAAATTAATGAAACAGCCATTCTAACAAAGTGTTTTCAATACAGTTGATGATAGAGATACTGGCTATGTTAAAACCTAAGTATGATTAAGGCTAGAGAAATTCTAAATGTGGATGCTTTGGGGCTAGCAGAAGCTAAGAGGGAATCCAGCATTGTGAACAAGATTGTTGATGACAGAAATGATCCTCTACTTAAGCTTACCAAGAAAGCCACTGAAAGAGTTTGATGCAATTCGTATGTCAAATTGTGGCCCATTTAGCTAGTGACAGTTAACTAAACAACGTGCTAAGAATCTGTAAACATCAAAAACTGATTTGGAGATTATTACAATCATATGGTGAATAATTTATACTCTACTATATACCCTTTCATTCAAGATGTATATACATATTTGAAATGTCTTTATACATTTTATTTTTTGAGACTGAATCTCGCTCTGTCACCCAGGCTGGAGTGCAGTGGCGTGATCTCGGCTCACTCCAACCTCCACCTCCCGGGTTCAAGCAATTCTTATGCCTCAGCCTCCCGAGCAGCTGGGACTACAGGCATGTGCTACCACACCTGGCTAATTTTTGTACTAGCTGGGACTACAGGCATATGCCACCACGCCCGGCTAATTTTTGTACTTTTAGTAGAGATGGGGTTTTACCATGTTGGCCCGGCTGGTCTCGAACTCCTGGTCTCAAATGATCCACCCGCCTCGGCCTCCCAAAGTGTTGGGATTACAGGCGTGAGCCACCGTGCCCAGCCTCTTTATACATTTTAGTTTATTTCAAGAGTAAAAGAACATATATCAATTTTATTATTTCTAGCATAATTATATTCCATACCAGTCATTGAACATTTTTATTATCATTCTGCCTATGGAATGGTGGAGTAGAAATTATCAGCCCTTCTTCTGCTTTTTCCCAACTTTTATTATGTAAAATTCCAAACATACAAAAAGGTTGAAAAACTAGGACACAGACATTCACATCCCCATGAGCTACATTCAACAGTCTAACCTGTGCCATGATTGTCCTTCTCTGTACATGTGTGTTTTTTGAGCCATTTGAATATGAGCTTCAGACATCATGAGTTTTCACCCTTAAACATACAGCCTGTGTTTCTTTAAAAGCAGGAGATTCTCGGCCGGGCGCGGTGGCTCACGCCTGTAATCCCAGGACTTTGGGAGGCCGAGGCAGGTGGATCGCGAGGTCAGGAGGTTGAGACCATCCTGGCCAAAATAGTGAAACCCTGTCTCTACCAATAATACAAAAATTAGCAGGGTGTGGTGGTGCGTGCCTGTAATCCCAGCTACTCAGGAGGCTGAGGCAGGAGAACCACTTGAACCAGGGAGTCAGAGGTTGCAGTGAGCCAAGATGGTGCCATTGCGCTCCAGCCTGGCTGTCGCGAGACTCTGTCTAAAAAAAAAAAAAAATCAAGAGACTCTCTCACATATCCATACCACTATTATGCCTAAGAAAACTCACAATCATTTCCCCAAAGGTCCCATGTTTTTTCCAGATTTTTCGAAGTTGAGGCCAATTCAGGGCGCTGTTTCTTTCTTTTTATTAAAAAAAAAAAATTTTTTTTTGAGATGGAGTTTTGCTCTTGTTGCCCAGGCTGGAGTGCAGTGGTGCGATCTCAGCTCACTGCATCCTCTGCTGCCTGGGTTCAAGCGATTCTCCTGCCTCAGCCTCCACAGTAGCTGGGGTTACAGGCACCCACCACCACGCCCAGCTAATTTTTTTTTTTGTATTTTTAGTAGATATGGGGTTTCACCATGTTGGCCAGGCTGGTCTCGAACTCCTGACCTCAAGTGATCCACCCGTCTCGGCCTCCCAAAGTGCTGGGATTACAGGCACGAGCCACTGTGCCCCGCCCAAGCTTGGTTTAAAAGAAGATAGCAGGCCAGGTGCAGTGGCTCAAGCCTGTAATTCCAACACTTTGGGAGGCTGAGATGGGAGGATCACTTGAGGCTATGAGTTCAAGACCAGTGTGGGCAACATAATGAGACCCCATCTCTTAAAAAAAACTTAGCTGGGCATGGTGGCACATGCCTGTGGTCCTCAGGAGGCTGAAGCAGGAGGATTGCTTGAGCCCAGGAATTTGAGGCTGCAGTGAGCTATGATGGCACTACTGCACTGTAGCCTGGGTAATAGAGCAAAACCCTGTCTCAAAAACAAAATAAAACAAAACAAATAAACAAATTAAAAATTAAAAGAGGATAGCAATAACTTTTTAACAGAAAGGGGGTTGATTCAACAAGGGTGTCAAATAGTTGATAACCCTTGAAAGTGAGGAAGGAAAAAATTGTGGTTCTTTTACTATCTCACTTTAGTATGTCTTTTAAAACTTTCGTATACAAAATTTAAAAATGGCCATGTGGCCGGGCGCGGTGGCTCATGCCTGTAATCCCAGCACTTTGGGAGGCCAAGGCGGGTGGATCACCTGAGGTCAGGAGTTCGAGACTAGCCTGACCAACATGGTGAAACCCCGTCTCTACTAAAAATACAAAAATTAGCCGGGCGTGGTGGCGGGCGCCTGTAATCCCACCTACTCAGGAGGCTGAGGCAGGAGAATTGCTTGACCCTGGGCAGCAGAGGTTGCAGTGAGCGGAGATCACGCCACTGCACTCCAGCCTGAGCAACAGAGTGAGACTCCGTCTCAAAACAACAACAATAACAACACCACCACCACCAAAAAAACAGGTAGGATCATGACAGATTGAGAAGATGAAGAACTCTTTAAGGAGTCAAGTTGTATAAAATGCATCTCTTAACTTCTCATCTTACGTGTATGCCAGGGATTTACCCTGTGCTTAGTATTTCCAGAAAGCAGTTACTTACTGTTCCCCAATTCTACTCACACAGACATACCTTGAAACGATGGACAAAGTCTTTTTTGTTTGTTTTTGTTTTTAAGATGGAGTCTTGCTCTGTCACCCAGGCTGGAGTGCAGTGGCACAATCTCAGGTCATTGCAACCTCCACCTCCCGGACTCAAGCAATTCTCCTGCCTCACCCTCCTGAGTAGCTGGGATTACAGGCGCGCACCACCATGCCCGGCTAATTTTTTGTATTGTTAGTAGAGACGGGTTTCCCCATGTTGGCCAGGCTGGTCTTGAACTCCTGACCTCAGGTGATCCACCCACCTCAGCCTCCCAAAGTGCTGGGATTACAGGAGTGAGCCACCTCGCCCGGCCCTGGACAAGGTCTTTTGGATGATACACATTCTAGTACAGATAAATCATGCTTCAAATCAGTTGAGACCAAATGGCCCCACCCTCTACCAAGCAGAGCCCACAACTGATTGGTCACAACGAATGTCCCAAACAAGTATAGATTTACTTTGCAATAAAACACCTCCCAGACTTGTTTGTATGTGCACTGGACTAACAAGGGTCTACATCTCCTAATACTTAATACAACCTAAGGGAACACCCGGCAGGAAAGGCATTGTCCAGCATTACAGCAAGCATGACACAATCTTTCAAACAGACCGGGTGCGGTGGCTCATGCCTGTAATCCTGGCACTCTGGGA
The DNA here is from genome assembly GCF_000001405.40 of Homo sapiens. Classification (NCBI taxonomy): domain Eukaryota; kingdom Metazoa; phylum Chordata; class Mammalia; order Primates; family Hominidae; genus Homo; species Homo sapiens. The sequence goes on along the minus strand of NC_000010.11, from coordinate 124,839,480 downwards.
GGCCGAGGCGGGCAGATCATCTGAGGTCAGGAGTTCAAGACCAGCCTGGCCAACATATTGAAACACCGTCTCTACTAAAAATACAAAAATTAGCTGGGTGTGGTGGCACACACCTGTAGTCCCAGCTACTCAGGAGGCTGAGGCAGGGGAATCTCTTGAACCTGGGAGGTGGAGGTTGCAGTGAGCTGAGATCGCGGCACTGCCCTCCAGCCTGGGCGATGGAGCAAAACTCCATCTCAAAAAAAAAAAAAAAAACTTCTAAAGAGAGTATCTGCAGGATCAAGGAAAGCTGCCTTACATTTTAAGACTCAAAACATCCATGTTACAGTAGACACACTTTTGCCTTAAGAAAAATATAAATAATTGCTCCAGTTTTGAATTACCTTCAGTCTCTGAAGTTATTTTTTAAGTGTTTCCTGGAAATTTAGGAAATGGATTCTGAACTAAGTAAAGTCGAACAGGCTCCAGATTTATTAGAAAAAAAAAATCAGTGTCAAGGCAAAACAAAATGTGATTTTTATCTGGAAATGAGATAAAGGTTGACTGCAGGGAAGAGACGAGCATCAACAAGGTTTATCTTATACTGGCCACAGATCTGAAAAATTCAAGCGTGGTAAAGAAACCCAGAGAATCGAGAATGTTTCTAGAATCTCCTCTAAGGTGGTATGCATGAAATAACTCATGTAGTCAGTGACCACCATTTCTGAAGTCTTTTATTATACAAACATTTACTGCAGAAAAATTATAAAATGCAAACAAATGAAAGAGAGAAAAATTATCCATCTTGCCTGGGACAACACTGTTAACATTTACGTGAATATCCTTCCAGACTGTTTTCTATCAAGAACAATACTATTTTTTTTCCTCCACAAAAATCAGATCAAACATACTGTTTGGACACCTGGGTTTCTTCATTTGGTATCTTCCATGTCAAGAAATCTTTTTTTTTTTTTTTTGAGACAGTCTCGCTCCGTCGACCAGGCTGGAGTGCAGTGGTGCGATCTCAGCTCACTGCAACCTCTGCCTCCTGGGTTCAAGCAATTCTCGTGCCTCAGCCTCCCCGGTAGCTGGGATTACAGGCGTGCATTACCACACCTGGCTAATTTTTGTATTTTTAGTAGAGATGGGGTTTCACCATGTTGACCAAGCTGGTCTTGAACTCCCTACCTCAGATGATCCATCCGCCTTGGCCACCCAAAGTGCTGGGATTACAGGCGTGAGCCACCCCAAGTGACCTTGCTTTGTTTGAATAGAGACAGGGTTTCACCATGTTTTCCAGGCTGGTTTTGAACTCCTGAGCTCAAGCGATCCACCCGCCTCAGCCTCCCAAAGTGCTGGGATTAGAGGTCTGAGTCACTGCGCCCACCCATCTTTTTTATTTCTACCTTAATATTGTTAATGGCTGCAAACACTATTTCTTCTGGAGTGTATCAAAATTTAACCATTCCCCTACATTAGCATTAATGTCACTTCCAGGTTTTTGCTATTAGAAATATGCTGCAATGAGCTTTCTTTTGTTAAGCACTACATTCTGGACCACATGTCACATCTGGCATCCAGAGGGACATTTGCTTGCAGATGTTTCAAAGCCTCATTGCTAGAAGGTAGTCCTCCCCCAATCTCTAGGGATCAGAAGAACCCCAGAGTAACCCAGTTTGGAGGTACTCTATGTCCTGACTCGCCTTATTTAGGACATTACAAAAATCGCTGTATAAAAGTAAGACAGCTGATCTAAATCCCAGAACTTTTCCAAAATCTATTTGTCATAAAGTTGAAAAGTAAACATTTTCCATTATTTATTGGCACCACATTTACGAATCCATTTGCCTTCAGGCTTCCTGCCTGTCTGGTGGAATTCAGGTTTGCTATGGGAAAGGATGAAGCAGATCCTAATGAAAAAAGGAAGATCTTTCAGTAACTGAAATGAAACCTACAGCCAAGGCAAGTCAGACCCAGAACACAGTTAATAACCATTAGTTAGTTCCACTGTATTCTTATTTTACATCATCCCAGATTATTTTTATCTCCTTAAAACATAGGCTTATAAGACAATTTAAATATTTTTGTTAAAGCAGTTATGGTCAATGCCCCACTGTGTCTGCAATTAAAAAAATACGTATCCTGAATATTTGGGTATGAGATTTCTGCTTTGATTTTACTCCAGAAAAACCAATTACAACATGTAATCAGGCATTTCCAGGCTTTGAAGTAAGTAAAAAGAATCCAGTCTCCTTTTCTCCAAATTCTTAGAGATGTTGAGTAGGATCCTAAAAGGCTGTAATTCACACGTTAAAACCCTGCTGAAAACACTCTCCCCTTGCATTTTGGAAGAGAGACATCACTCAGCGGGAATGGCTCCCTCAGAATCCAGAATACACCTGTTAGCCAGCTGACCCTTGTTCTAAAGTGATCCCACAATTCCTAAGATGCTCTCAGGCAGCAAGTTCTACAGTATCTCTACTGTTAGGGAATCCAGGCTGAGGAGTCACTTTAAACAAGATCAGTTCCTCTGTGGAAGATGCCTTTTGGGGACCTCTCCAAGATTCAATTTTATACACAATTGATACTTAGTTCTGTAGGTAACATGAAATCAACAGAAATATTTTGGAAACAGAAACTCCTGAAAATCACAGAAACATTTTAGCAAGTTGTGTTCCTGGATGTCTCCTGAAACCAGCCTGACAAAAACTTTGTATGAAGATGAGTTTTAATGCCCTTTAAAAAGCTCTTTTCAGTCCATGATGAATTGCCAGAATGAGTACACTGAGGCAAGGCCTTGTCCGGTGCTGAGACAGACATTAAAACAATGGTACCATGATTAAATAAGTTTTTTATTGTCACATTTAACTGCTTTGTCAGATATACATTGTAGATTTCAGTATGGCATCAAAATAAAAATATTTTCCTGAATGTCAAAATCTGAACAGAGGAGACGGTAATGGCACTTAAAAAAAAATAAATTCACACTGGCGCTGAAGCTGCGTAGTAGGTAGCTGATAACAACTGGAACACATTTGCAGATAAAGTGGTCTGCAGCGTTTTAAATCAAATGGCAGTGGTGTAAGGCCAACATAACCAGGAGAGTAGTTAAAAGACAGACCCCCATAGAGTGGCGATCCAAAGAACGGCAGTTCTAGCATTTCATTTTCCGTCTATATGATACTGTCTAATTTAGTATTGGAACTGGAGCTCAGTGAGTAAATGTGTATCCTATAAACTGAAACTACTTTTTCAGAACCCAGATTTTAAGCCTTCAACAACTTCCTTATTCTTACAGATTTTAACTAGTTCAAAGGGAAGGCAGTTAAACTCCAAGTATTAACCTCATGGCTGTCCTTGTCATAAATGGTGGGTCTTGCTGTTTCCAAACCAGAAGCTCAACATGCTCCTGAATGTCTTAGTGGTTTCAGACGTTGTGGGCAAAACTAGAAAACAAGTAGTCATTAAATAAAAATATAAGTGCATCCCAAGAGAGTCTCTACACATACTGCAATTATTCCCCAAATGGCAACTTAAAATAAAATAAGTATGGTTATTCAGCTTGAAAATGAATCTTTATTCACCAAGATTCCCAAACAGTTTATTATTAAATGTCTTTCCTCCACAGATAAAACTAACACTAGGATTTGTCAGAAGATCTAAATGAGTTATATCTCCTCTGTATGAACTCAGCTAAACCTACCGTGTCTGGAATCTGTTCATTATAAAACTCACTCCTTCTGTTCTCCACTGCTGTGTGTCCTCCAAGATTCCAGAACAGAGACCATAAATGTGCCAGTGCAACACAGTAGTCACTGTAATCCATCAAAGAAAAAATAATTAATTTATTTTATGACGTATTTATTTGGATGATTACTTACTGGTAATTAGTATCTCTACTTTTTTTTTTTAAAGGCAACCATTTTAAGTGATAATACATATCAAGCTAGTAGAAAAAAGTTGGAAGCCCTCTCTTTTATCTCACAAAGTCATGCAGACAAGAGAAGGTATATCTGATTTGTTCTAATCAGGCTTCTTGGAATTATCAAAATTTCTTTTCTGGCAAAGATGAATTTGGCTCATCATAGAAAGAAGTTCTTTGAAGGCTGCTGCTAAACTTGTTTCCCTTTGAAAAAGTAAATTTCAAGGCATGATAGTGCAAGAGGTAAGTTTTTGATTTATAGAACATTTATAGACTAATTGTGCTTAGTCTCTAATTTCCAATTTATTTTAAAGAACAGAAACTACGCTGATAAGTTTCACTTTGCCTAAATTTACCAGTATATCCATGAATCGCACCAGAATTAGGACAATTTGATTATCTTAATGATTCTGTCATGAAACTTGCACACTGTATCCAAAGGTAAAGAGCAGCGGATGGAGGCTCCCACAAGTTCTGTGCACAAGGACTCTCTTCTCGGGAGTTAAGGTATCTGAGAAAGCAGTTCTCCCCCCAGATTAAGTTCTCAAAAACCCTCTCAGTAAGCAATGAAGAAAAACAGTGCTAGGTGGAGAGTTTCTTTTGTTTAGTTAAATCTGGGAGGTCTGAGTGTTCCTGGGGTCCTCGTCGGGATGTGCCATGGGTCGAGAATCCTTTGAATGTGAGTATTCACTATTAGAAGGCTCTGTAGGGTCAATCAAATTTTCATAATCACTGTCGTCTGAATCCTCACCACTGTCTCCAGCTGCTCTTTGGGGAGGAGGAAGGTCAGCCCCACTTCCAGGATACTTCAGTCCGGCACTGGTGGAAGCATAATTGGAAGAGCCCACAGCTTGAGGTCGAGGCATAAAGACACTCCTTTCCATGCGAGAGTGGCTCAAAGTACTTTCTTGATTGTTTGGGTGAAAATCAGAGTAAGGGGGAGGAGGATCCGAGGCCTCTGCATCTCCAAGTGTACTTCTGCCTTCAGCTGCAAACCCAGAGGACGGCATCCGAGGACTGAACGCTGGGTCCAAGCTTTCAGACGGCATCTGTCTGCTTAACACTGCCTGCTGCAATCCTGGATGAAAACAAAGAATATTCTAACACTTTCTAGATTCTCACAGCTTTTCATCTCAATGTATAACACGGCCAACCTGAATGTTCTGGAAAATAGCAGTGAGGCAATGAAGCTGACTGTCACTATTAATTATTTTACAATTGCATAGTACTTGATAATTTACAAGGTATTTCCCTACACATTAATTCATTTAAGGCCATGACAAATTTCTGAAGTGTTATAATTATCGTTATTATTACTGTTTCCATTATAGATGCAAAGAAACCAGAGTTCTGAAAGGTGAGGTGATGTGACTAAGGGGACAGCTGGAAGTGGGCCTGAGACTCAGAATGCAGGCTCTGTCGCTCCACAACCTGTGCTGGTTCCCTGGCGTGGGGCTTGCTGTGTCACACTGTGGGACCCAAAGGTTGAAATGGAAACATCCTGTACACGGAATGGAAATGTGAGATTCTTTCTTTGGCAGCCTCCTATCAAAAAACCGATTTCTTTATAGCTACCTGTCATAATATACCTCTTTCATAATACACTTATACACCTTAAATAATAATACACTTATACGCCTTTATAGCTACCTGTCATAATACACTTATATACCTTAAAACTTTAAAAACCCTGTCTTAAGTAGATACTGAACCACAGTTTTACTCTATTTTTATTAGTGTTGTGAAAGAACCCACATAATCCATATAGCCTTGAAAGTTTTTGTAGGTAACATTTCAATTTTTAAAAAATATTATAAAACTGATACACACTCATACAATATTTAGAATATTTAGAAAGGAAAAAAGAAAATAAAAGCTGCCCACAATTCCATCATCCCAATAACACTGTCAGGATGAAAAGGGCACAGGCTTTCAAGCAAAGAGAACTAAATTGTAAGTATCAGACCTCACTTCCTTGCTGTGTTACAGAAGTCACTAATCCTTGCTGAACTCCAGTTTTATTATCCAGCTTTGGGTGTTTGTCTGTACATGTATATAAAACACGGCTGACATTACCTGGTTTACACTGTTTTATATCCTAGTTTTCTGTTTGTTGAGACAGGGTCTCACTCTGTCACCCAGGCTGGAGTGCAGTGACACAATCACAGCTCACTGCAGCCTTGACCTGTCAGGCTCAGGTGATTCTCCCACCTCAGCCTCCCAAGAAGCTGGGACTAGAGGTGCATGCCACCATGCCTGGCTTTTTTTTTTTTGAAGTAGAGATGGGGTTTTGCCATGTTGCCCAGGCTGGTCTTGAACTCCTGGGCACCAGTGATCCACCTGCCTCGGCCTCCCAAAGTGCTGAGATTACAGGCGTGAGCCACCATGGTTGGCCTAGTTTTTCTTTCTTTCTTTCTTTCTTTTTTTTTTTTTTGAGACAGAGTCTTGCTCTGTTGCCCAGGCTGGAGTGCAGTGGTGTGATCTCAGCTCACTGCAACCTCTGCCTCCTGGGTTCAAACGATTCTCCCGCCTCAGCCTCCCGAGTAGCTGGGATTACAGGTGCCTGCCACCACGCCCAGCTAATTTTTGTATTTTTAGTAGAGACAGGATTTCACCATGTTGGTCAGGCTGGTCTCGAACTCCTGACCTCGTGATCCACCCGCTTTGGTCTCCCAAAGTGCTGGGATTACACGTGTGAGCCAGCATGCCCGGCCTCTTTATTTTATTTTATTTTTTTTGAGACAGTCTCACTCTGTTGCTCAGGCTGGAGTGCAGTGGTATGATCTTGGCTCACTGCAACCTCCACCTCCCAGGTTCAAGAATTCTCCTGCCTTGGCCTCCCTAGTAGCTGGGATTACAGGTGCACGCCACCATGACCAGCTAATTTTTGTATTTTTAGTACAGACGAGGTATCACCACTTTGGCCAGGCTAGTCTTGAACTCCTGACCTCAGGTGATCTGCCTGCCTCGGCCTCCCAAAGTGCTAGGATTACAGGCGTGAGCCACCGCGCCCAGCCCTATCTGTATTTCTGATTATTTCTAGAAAAATGTAACAGTAAATCAGACTGTTATATTTGCCTGGAAACATAAATTACATTTTAACTGGATTATATATATTCTTATTAAATTAGAAAAGTTTAGCCCTAACCTTATCTTTTACACTTGACATTATCTGCCATACATTTATAAATTTTACACACAGATATTAATTCTGGTGGTGTTACAGCAAACATGGCTGTTATGCTGGAATTATTAGGTTTATGGGCCTAATTCTCATTCAGTCAGTTTGTTCCTTAGCCTAATGGTGTCTATTCATCCATGGCTACCAAAACTAGACATTTAAAACCTTTACTAAGACCAGACATGAAGCTAAAAGAATATTTGGTAGCTCCTCTATGAGGCTATATTAAAACAGGACACAGACTAGGTGTGGTGACTCACACCTGTAATCCCAGCACTTTGGGAGGCTGAGGCGGGTGGATCACCTGAGGCCGAGACCAGCCTGGCCAACATGGTGAAACCCCATCTCTACTAAAAAAACAAGAAAAAAAATACAAAAATTAGCTGGGCATGGTGGCAGACACCTATAGTCCCAGCTACTCGGGAGACTGAGGCAGGAGAATCGTTTGAACCCAGGAGGTGGAGGTTGCAGTGAGCCAAGATCACGCCACTGACTCCAACCTGGGTGACAGAGGGAGATTCCGTCTAAAAAAAAAAAAAAAAAAAAAAAAAAAAAAGACAGGACACAGTGCCTACCTGCTGGACATGCCAGGGTGGTTAACTTAGTAACAACCACCACATTCACTGTAACTAGGTCCGATTGTCAATATATACACAAATCTGTATCAATAACTTCTTGGGATTTATTCTAATTTCCACTTCAGCTTTTCTACCTTTCGTCTTCTTTTTCTTCAAGTGTCAGAGAATTGAGGGGGCTACTATGAAAAACAGCACTTGCCCTCCAGAGAAGCTGAACAAGAGACTGCTCTGCCCCAGCCAGGCTAATCTGAGACTGGATGAGCGTAGAAAGAGGCACATAATTTATTGTATAGTATAATCTGATGTTTAAAACAACATTTCCCTGATACTGAATGGTAAAATTAATAAGAAACTTACTTCTTTCTTGTTCCTTTTCATTTTTCCTCTGAGTGATTTGTCTTCTTAATTTGTTCACTTCTGCCTGACAAGATTCAACAACTCGCTCACTCTTTTCAACATCTGCACACACTGCCTGAGGAAAAAAATGACAACGAGGTTAGCTTCAAGTTCAAGCACAAGGCATTCCATAAATTCAGCGCTGATTACAACTCCAGGAAAAGTCCAGATGGTTTATTGAGTTAAAAAGCAGCCACATAAGGTAGAACAAAATCATGAAAGCCCAAAAGACTAGAATTGTTATTATTCACTGATTTGCTTTAATTTTAAGATGATTATGCTATTTAGCTTATAAATTCTTGACCAGTAAGGGTAAGATAGGAAAGATCTACTCTTTCCTTTGATTAATCATTTTTATTGAAATGAAAAGGGAACTCTTGGTACCAGTTTAGCATACAAAGAAGAACAAAAGATAAGACAGGAATAAGATGCTTTCAACTTTTATTTATTACCAACATTCAAAAAATCAGATAAGACAATTTAACAGAAAATATTTTTAAAGAAAAGTTGAAAAAAGTTTCAAAGTCAAGGTTTAATAAAAGATAGCTATCTGAGACTACATCTGTGTAATTTAGCTATTTATAATCCTGAGAACACTCTATGTGATTTGGTATTTTCAAAGCAGGCCTTATTCAATCAACAATGAAATATAACAGCCACTTTTGGCCAGTGCTGATATTCTGAAAAGGGCATGGTCATGAATTCAGGACAAAAAGCTATTTTCCACTGCAAGTTCCTTCCATAGCAGAAATACCAGAAGCTTCCAGAAAGTAGGCTGGTGACCAGTGAGTCTGTATAAAGTTCCCTATTCTGGTAGGTGCACAGTGGCCCTGATTTGGAACACTAGACTGGAAATGGCTCTTGCATGCTTCTCCCTTTGCCCCAGGCTGAACTCAGCCTGTTTTCCTCTTTTTCAGTATCTGTCTTCATTCCTCTTTTTACTCACTGAGGCCTTCATCCTTTTTATTTTTATATTTTAGAGATGAGGTCTCACTCTGTCACCTGGGTTGGAGTGCAGTGGCACAATTGTAGCTCACTGCAGCTTTGACCTCCTGTACTCAAGCAATCCTCCTTCCTCAGCTTCCCAAGTAGCTGAGGACTACAGGTGCATGCTGCCACACCTGGCTAATTTTTAACTATTTTGTAGAAATAGGGTCTCATTATGTTGCCCAGGCTGATCTCGAACTCCTTGGCTCAAGCGACCCTCTTGCCTAGGCCTCCCAAAATGCTGGGATGACAGGTGTGAGCCACCATGCCGGGCCAAAGCCTTTTTCCTTAAAGTCAGGCTTTCTCCAGGTCTGGGAGAGCTTCATCAACTTTACCACTTTCTTTGCTGTACTCAAAGGCCAGTTCAAACGCTCTTTTGTTCTTAGGTTTTAGAGCAAACTACTCCTAAAAACACAGCGGGGATGACGAAAAGAATGTGGGAAAGTATTGTTAGCACCAAGCTCAGTATTTGGCTCACAGGAGATGTTTCCATTGATGTCTGTTGCATAAATGACTAGGAGTGAACAGGCTCTGCCGAGATCCTCCCACTCGATGGAGGCAGCTGGGGGCAAAGTGAGTGAACTAGGATGAAGAAGCAGAGATGCAACCAGTTATGGCTGCCTTTTGATATTGTCTCTACTTAGAATATAACTGATGGAGACAGCTATGTTCTTAGCAAGCCTTTCTACATTTTCCTAGCAAAACTACTATCACAAATGGGGCTGTAAGTATTTGAAACAGTAGTATTAACAATCTACTTCAGGCACAGAGTGAGTGAGCCAGGCTTCTGCGAGACGGCATGAATCATTATTCCACAGCTTGACTCTGTTCTGGGAAAGCAGATTCTGACTTTCGGATCCTAACTCTATTTGTCAGTTGGAAGACAATTCAAAATTAAAGTAGAATTAAAAGCTTTTGGGCAAGACAAATAAGATGAAAACTAATAAATAAATCAGTTACCTGAACTTTCTCCTGAAGTGCATTATAAACCTGATAAATCGCCCTGATGTCTTTCATCACTCCATCCTTGTCAAAAAAGTCAGTACTGGAAGACAAACAGAAAAAAGATGCCTCAAGGTTATCATAACTGCGGTGAAATGGAAAGGCATTTTTCCTGCCTCTTCCACTTTATTGTTTAAATGCTGTGACTCCGAGGTGACAGTGTTTAAGGAATAATGCCCATACCACAAGAATTACAGAAGAGAAATTTAAAAAACCCATGTTACCAAGATCATTTAAAAAATAATAAAAAGCTATGTATTTTTCAGTGACTATGTTTAGCTTTTAGAACCTCAGAAATAATACTCTATCCAAAACTTTTGTATCAATTACAAAAAATATTGTGGCAAATGATTTAAAAAATTCATAAAAGTAAACTATCTTTTCAACAAGAACAAAATTTTGATACATGCTGGTGGTATCTAGACAATTACCTTACTGTATTCTTCAATTTTAATCATATCAAACTTGGTTTTACATTTTTCCATACACCTTTTAAATGTTATTAACAAAAGAAATATTGCTGACAAAAGAAAAAACTAGCACTTTACCTTTCAACTTACCCATGTTCTTTAATCACTTTGGCATAACTCTGAGAAGTATTTGGCACTGAAGACACTTTGTACTCTTGCTGGCTAGTATTTCCTAGATTGGGAATAGCGAGTGATATCCTCTGATTATACCTATGGGAAAAATTCAGAGAGATCATGTTAAATGTACCATTCTATCATATTCAAGTGAGACTGACAGTCTAAAAAAAAAAAGGGCTGGGTGTGGTGGCTCACACCTCTAATCTCAGCACTTTGGGAGGCCGAGGCAGGCAGATCACCTGAGGTCAGGAGTTCGAGACCAACGCCAGCCTGGCCAACATGGTGAAACCCTGTCTCTACTAAAAATAAAAAAAAAATTAGCCGGGCATGGTGGTGCACACCTGTAGTCTCAGCTACTCGGGAGGCTGAGGCAGGAGAATCACTTGAACCCAGGAGGCGGAGGTTGCAATGAGCCAAGATTGTGCCACTGCACTCCAGCCTGGGCAACAGCAAGACTGTATCTCTAAATAAATAAATAAATAAATAATTTTTTAAAAAGGGCATGCGTGGTGGCATGTGCCTATAGTCCCAGCTACTTAAGAGGCTGAGGTGACAGGATCAGGAGTTCAAGGTGGCAGTGAAATATGATAGTGCCACTGTACTCCAGCCTGGTCACAGGGTAAGACCCTGTCTCCAAAATAATAGTAATAATAAAATTAAAATAAATAAAAGTAATTAACTAAAGCAAGAATGGGGCTTGGTGGTAGGAGTCTTAGTTGCTGACGTTGGTAAACCAACAGGAAGGTCTCACGGAGCACCTCCTTCTACAGACAACCCAAGGATACATGAATTAGTGATGTTTTCCCTTCTGTAAAGTAAAACCTTGCTTATCAACTCCTTGAGAGCACAGGTCATGCCTTACACATCTTTTGTATACTCACAGTGACTGACACAATGCTGAGCCTGTAAGTGCTCAAGAGATACCCACAGATTACATAATGAAATCTTATAAAAACCTTTTTAACAATTAACAATTATTTTCACTGATGTCAATTTAATTTATTCTACAACAAATAAACTTCCAGAGGGAAACCATTTTGCTGTTTACAAACAGACAACATGATCATATAATCATAGGGGTGGTTTTTTTTTTTTTTTGGTTTAACAAGTTCACGATGCAAAACCCTCGTTAACCAGCAGGTGGTTCAATTTCACAATTTTGTATTTGAAATTTATGTTTCAAAATTATAATCAGACTTCCACAGCAATAAAACTACATTTCCACATAGTGGATTATGGAGAAGCAAATGATGATTTCCAGCTATTTATTCCTTATAAGAATTTATGCATAATAAACATGTCTTGTTAATGCTTCTTGATCCAAAAACAATTTTATGTAAATAACTGACAAGAAAAATACCTTCCGTAACCACAAAAAGAGCTAAAGGGAATAATACAAGTTTTTATTTAAAGATGCATAAAGTTTTGGGAGGCCGAGGCAGGTGGATCACCTGAGGTCAGGAGTTCAAAACCAGCCTGGCCAAAATGGGCAAAACCCCGTCTCTACTAAAAATACAAAAAAATTAGCCAGCATGGTGGTGTGTGCCTGTAATCCCAGCTACTCGAGAGGCTGAGGCAAGAGAATCGCTTGAACCTGGGAAGCAGAGGTTGCAGTGAGCCGAGATTGCACCACTGCACTCCAACCTGAGTGACAGAGCTGGACTCTGTCTCAAAAAAAAAAAAAAATGCACTATAATGCACATTTTTGAAGTCACGAATCTCAGTGACTTGTACCAACATCCTTTTTTTTTTTTTTTGAGATGGATTCTTGCTCTGTTGCCAGGCAGGAGTGCAGTGGCACAATCTTGGCTCACTGCAACCTCTGCCTCCAGGTTCAAGCGATTCTTCTGCCTCAGCCTCCCGAGTAGCTGGGAATACAGCCACGTGCCACCACACCCAGCTAATTTTTGAATTTCACCATGTTGGCCAGGATGGTCTCAATCTCTTGACCTCATGATCCATCCGCCTCAGCCTTCCAAAGTGCTGGGATTACAGGCGTAAGCCACCACGCCTGGTCCCAACGTCCTTCTTATATGTGAGGCAGATGGAAAAGCAAGCTTTACCTTCTATTTGGTCTGAAGAGCACATATTCTAAAGCGTGAGTGGAATTGTTGGCAGTGGAGATGAAGCTGAAGAGAAGAAAGACGAGGTCGGGCACGCCGAGGATGCGGGTGAGCTGCTTGTGAAGAACCTGCTCTCTGTAGGACATCTGCTGCTGCGTATTGCGCCGGAATCTGTACCACCCAATGACTTTCTGAAAGAAAAGTGTGAAAAGTTGCATGAAATCTTACAAATTTAATTCTGAATGTATCCATACAAACACACATGCACAAATGTTCATAGTAGCTTTATGTGCAAAAGCCCCACCCTGGAACAACCCAAGCGTCCATGAGCAGGAGCATGGATAAACAGACTGTGCTTCAGGCATATGCTGGAATCCTACTTAGTGATAAAAAGGAACATGAATGAGTCCTAAAATAACTATCCTGAGTGAAAGAAGCTAGACACCTCCTCACTAAAAGAAGTATAGGTTATAGGATTCTATTTGTACAAAATTCTAGAAAATGAAAACTAATCTAGTGACATAAAGAAGATCAGTGGTTAACAGGAATGAGGGGAGAAGGCAGGACTGGAAAGGCACGAGGAAGCTTTTGTAGGTGAAGGAGATGCTCGTTATCTTAATATGGTGATGGTTTCACAAGTTTACACATACATCAAACTTCTAAGAGCATACATTTGAGATATGTGTTATATGTCAATTTTACCTCAACAAATCTATTTTAAAAGTTTAGCTTTTTCAGCTCTAACTATAGCATAACTAAACTGGCTAATGAAACTGTTATGCACTCTGGAAGAATACTTCTCATAATGTGATTTGTTGGTCATCAGGAAGACAGATGACTTCAGAGATATCTGAAAGACTGCTAAAGTGCAGATTCCTGGACCCCATCCCTAAAGTGCAGATTCCTGGACCCCACCCAAATCTGCAGAATCAGAACCTCTCAAGATAGAGCCAGGAATCTGAATTTAAGTAAGTTTCTGAATTTTTCTTTTGCATACTGAAATTTAAAAACATCTGTTTTCAAAACATTTAATTCTTTATTAGAAGATCAATCTTCATACAGCTTCCTTCTTTGAAACCAACTCTGAGTTAAAATCTTGTTTTAAGAAGCAAAGGTAGTTTAAATCTAATAGTGTCATATTAAAATTAAAATTAATAGTAAATTGAGATTGTTTTGACATTTTCATGTAGAAAGTAAGCCAACTTTTGCTGAGGCTAGCATTGTCACAAATATTTTCACTAATTACTACACCACTCTAAGTGAATAATGTTTTCTCCATTGAGTTCATATCATATGCAAAGAACTACAGAGAACAAAGAAATAAGCAATAGTTCCTGACTTAAGGAGTACTACTGAACATAAAACATATCTTCCCATAGATTAAAGCAATTAATTCTGATATCCCTTAAATAAAAAGAAAACCCAAGCCTTTCTCTCAGGGTATAATTTTTTTTTTTTTTTTTTTTTTGAGACAGAGTCTTGCTTTGTCACTCAGGCTAGAGTGCAGTGGCATGATCTCGGCTCACAGCAACCTCCACCTCCTGGGTTCAAGCGATTCCCCTGCTTCAGCCTCCCGAGCAGCTGGTATTACAGGCATGTGCCACCGCGCCTGGCTAATTTATTTTTAGTAGAGATGAGGTTTCACCATGTTGGCTAGGTGGGTCTTGAACTCCTGACCTCAAGTGATCCACCCGCCTCAGCCTCCTAAAGTGCTGGGATTACAGGCATTGAGCCACTGTGCCTGGCCTCAGTATATAATCTGATAGAAGAGATGTTTTGTCCGAAGTTACAGAGCTCATGAGTGACAGCCAAGATGTGGAATCAAGATGCCTGCCTGTTTCCACTGGGCAACACTAACTTTCACATTCTACACTAGACATGATGGTGGCCATAAAAAAGGTAAAAGTAGTTTTCCTTTCAAGAAAACTTGGATACAATTAGATAGAGCTATTGATGCAGGTGAACATAGCACATTTCATTCTAAGATTCAATACTCTGTACCCAACTCCTACTTGGAATGTTGGAATTACCTACTCAGCAGACCTCAGGCATGCCCTGCACTTCCCCTGCCTTCCTGCAAAGACCTGAACAGTGCTCAGCACACTGGCTGTTTTCATGAAATACTCATTGACTAGCAGAATCTTGCAAGGTGGCTATTGGATGACTAATAGTGCTTTTCAGTTATGCCAATTCGAACTATTTTATTTCATTTTTTTTCCTAGCTGCCTTTGTTTTGTTTTTTTTTTTTTTTGGTTTTTGAGATGGAGTCTTGCTCTGTGGCCCAGGCTGGAGAGCAGTGGCGCGATCTTGGCTCAAGCAACCTCCACCTCCTAGGTTCAAGCAATTCTCATGCCTCAGCCTCCTAAGTAGCTGGGATTACAGGAGTGTATTGCCACAACCAGCTGCATTTTTAGTAAAGATGGGATTTTACCATGTTGGCCAGGCTGGTCTCGAACTGCTGACCTCCAGTGATCTGCCAGCCTCGGCCTCCCAAAGTGCTGGCATTACAGGCGTGAGCCACAGTGCCTGGCATATAACAGCTTATTGATTTGATAGATGCCAACAGTTCTAAATAGATTCTCCTGGCTGGGTGTGGTGACTCACTACTGTAATCCAAGCACTTTGGGAGGCCAAGGCAGGAGGATCACTTGAGCCCAGGAGTTTGAGCCCGGCCTGAGCCAGATAGCAAGACCCCATCTCTACAAAAAATTTAAAAAGCACACGCCTGTGGTCCTAGCTACCCAGGAGGCTGAGGCAGGGGGATCACTTGAGCCCAGGAGGGCCAGGCTACAGTGAGCTGTGATCATGCCATTGTACCAGGGTGGCTAACAGAGCAAGACTCTGTCTCAAAAAACAAAACAAAACAAAACAAAACAGATTCTCCTGTCATTCTCATCAATGAAGGATGAGATGCCAAATTAATGTGTATTGGTGATATCTTTGATTCTACCTTTTAGAGCTAACGAACAAACTAGTTGCAAAGCTACTGAGAAACTAAGTCACTGATGTTGAAAAGCACATTTTGCATAGCTATATTTGGGACATGATGAAGAATTATGGATATCTTTCCCTAAAACCTTGTCTCTGCTTATGTTTCTCGGCCAATTTTTCACACAGACTATTCTATCCACAGACCACAGACTATTCTCTATGCTAGGCATTTGCTTACATTTTCATCCCAATATGGGCACGTTTATTGTCTTTAGCTTGTGTTCTTTTGGCCTTATGATGATACAAGGATGGCTGTTTCAGTTACTGTTATCAATTTCAGAGCTTCCGGAAAGCACGAATCCTCCTTACTTGCTTTGTTTGGCCTTAGCCTAAAACCTGAGGCTTGTGCAAACATTGTAAGCACGTATGGATTCTGCCAGAACAGTAATTCAGCCTGTGACCAAACTGTACCTACTGGCAGATTTTCTTATCAAAAACATTAGCCTCTATCTTAAGCCTAACATTTTACATGTACCTTGTGGGTCATATAACCACCCTTTTGAGGTAATGATAAAATTTTGTACTTATCCTAGGGGAAAAAATCCAAACAAGAATTATAAAGCTTTTTTTTGAAATCTAAGTGTTATATATCATCTCTGTCTTTGTGCTGGAAATTCAGATTTTTGAAAAAAATCCTTACAGAGTTCATACTTTATATAAGGTACCAAAGGAAATATATAGCTCCCACTCTCAACAAATATCAAGGAAATGAAACATATTTTCCAAGTAAAATGAAACAACAAACTCATATCACTAATTGCAAAGGAGAACACGAACATTTGTTTTAGCACAAAATTCTATAAAATCAAAACTATAGACCAACTTTTAACTGTTTTGAGACTCTTGGCCGCAGAAAAAGCAGTCAACTCTAGATAGCAACCAACGAGTGGCCTTCTGTGTCTCAAACAGCAAACCTCCTTAAAAATGCCAAAATTAATTTACAAATGTGTCCCTACCTACTAGTGAAAAGACTACATAATAGAGTCTTTTTTTTTTTTTTTTTGAGTTGGAGTCTTGCTCTGTCGCCCAGGCTGGAGCGCAATGATGCAATCTCAGCTCACTGCAACCTCCACCTCCCGGGTTCAAACCATTCTCCTGCCTCAGGCTTCCGAGTAGCTGGGATTACAGGCATCCGCCATCATGCCCAGCTAATTTTTGTATTTTTGTAGAGACAGGGTTTTGCCATGTCAGCCAGGCAGGTCTTGAACTCCTGACCTCAGGTGATCCATCTGCCTCGGCCTCCCAAAGTGCTGGGATTACAGGCATGAGCCACCGAGCCCGGCTGTAGAATCTTTGTTTTCAATTTATTTTCAATTATAAAATACATAGTCATTAAAAGAAAAAAAAACCTTATCAAATAAATTCTTCCTTCATCAATAGATACCTGCACCCTTTATTCACTCCCTTTCCCAAGTCTGACTAGCATCCTTTCAGATCGTTTCCTGTGTATTTGAACACCCACTCAGGCTTTTGTTGTTATATAAAATGGGCTCAAACTACAATCTGCTTTTTTTCATGTAACATAACTTAGAGATCTTTCTATGTCATTACATGAAAACCTCTCTCCTTCTTTGTAAGGACTGCTTCATCTCCCATAGTATGGAAGCGCCAACAGAACTGATTTCACTGTTCCCCACTGCTGGACATTTAGGTTGCTTTCAAAATCCCCCCTACAAAATAACCAAACAACAAACATCCTTGTGCACTGGATTGAGGCTGGACGGCTTGGTTTAAACCATGGCTCCATCATGAATTGCTGATGACCTTAAGCAAATGATTTAACCTTAGTTTTCTCAACTATAAAATGAGTAATTTGCCTCACGGGTCTGGTGCAAGGATTAAATGTATCAATACACGTGAAGCGTGCAGAACATGCCCCCACACAGAGTTCAAGTGTTCAGTTATTCCAGGTTGTTGTATTGTTGAACCCATGTAAAATTATTTTCTTGAGCCAGATTCCTAGAGGTGAAATGGAATATTCAAAATTCTTTCGGTGATTGCAAAACTGTCCTCCCAAATCTCTGTGTTAATTTAGACTCCACCAACTACTGCTTCCCCATTACCCACAGCCTTGCCAACACTGGGTATTACTAACCTTTTTACTCTTTTGCCAATCTTATGGGCAAAAAATAGTATCTCGTTTCAATTTGTGTTTCCTGATTGAGGTAGAGTATCTTTTCAGTTGTTTCTTGGCCATTTGTGGATTTCTTCTTTCTTTTTTTTTTCCAAGGCAGGGTCTCGCTCTGTCACCCAGGTGGGAGTGTGCAGTGGCGCAATCTCAGCTCACTGCAAACTCTGCCTCCCGGGTTCAAGCGATTCTCCTGCCTCAGCCTCCTGAGTACCTGGGACAAGAGGCACGTGCCACCACTCCTGGCTAATTTTTTGTATTTTTAGTAGAGACAGGGTTTCACCGTGTTAGCCAGGGTGGTCTCAATCTCCTGACCTCGTGACCCACCTGCCTCCGCCTCCCCAAGTGCTGGGATTACAGGCATGAGCCACCGCACCCAGCCGATTTCTTCTTTCTCTTGTGAATTTCCTGTTCATGGTCGTTACTCATTTTTCTCACTTAAAATTTTGAAATCTGCCAGGTGCAGTGGCTCACACCTGTAATCCCAGCACTTGGGGAGGCCGAGGTGGGCAGATCACTTGAGCCCAGGACTTTGAGACCAGCCTGAGCAACATGGCAAAACCCCGTTTGTACTAAAAACAAAAAATTAGCCAGGTGTGGTGGTGCATACCTGTAGTTGCAGCTACTTGGGGGGCTGAGGTGGGAGGATCACCTGAGCCTGGGAGGTCGAGGCTGCAGTGAGCCATGATCATGCCACTGCACTCCAGCCTGGGGGAAAACATGAGACCCCCATCTCAAAATAAATAAATACAAATAAAATAAAAATTTGAAATCTGTTTTTAAAAAATACTTCCTGGTACTTCTAATATGTAGTGAGTGCTCTAGAAAATTCTGCTCCAAAAAGAATCTTTATAGAACAAATTTTAGTTTTAGAAAGTATAATTAAGATTCATGGCCGTCTGCGGTGGCTCATGCTTGTAATCCCAACACTTTGGGAGGCCGAGGCAGGTGGATCACTTGAGTTCGAGACCAGCCTGGGCAACATGGTGAAACCCTGTCTCTACTAAAAATGTAAAAATTAGCCAGGTGTGGTGGTGCACCCCTGTAGTCCCAGCTACTCAGGAGGCTGAGGCAGAAGAACTGCTTGAACCTGGGAGGTGGAGTTTGTAGTGAGCCGAGATCGCGCCACTGCACCGCAGCCTAGGTGACAGAGCCAGACTCCATCTCAAAAAAATAAAAAACTTTAAAAAAAAGTATAATGAAGATTCATAATTTAAAATATGAAAAATGAGGAGGTAAGGTAGCATCTGAGAGATGAGGGACGGGCTGCTAAGAGATTCCAGAATGTCTGCTCCCAGGCAAATCACTAGTATGAGAGCACTGGACCACGTGATGCCTGTGGCTGCTTTAACACCCCTTCCTGGTTGGGCAGGCAGCTTGGTTAGACTACCAGGATGGAGCACCTCTTGAGTTTACTATCATGCATAAAGCTATTTGCCTTTCTTCTGACCTATGCTTCCACACTTCCTATTCTTCCTTTTATCCTTACCTGCTCCTGTACATTAGAATGGCTGTTGTTTTAATATAACTGCACTTACTCCTGACACTGTTAAACAACGGCATTTTGTTTTCTGTTTGACAAGTTGAAAACTTTTATTGGTACTTTCTTCCTCAAGAGATGGTTAGTAACGGATCTATTTTTATAGAATTAATATCCCAAGGTAAAAAAAGTAAAACCCATACATAGTATAACACGGTAAATTACCAATGGCATTATTAGACACTACTGCAACAATAAAACTTTGGTTTATTTTCAGTTGTATTCAGACTTGCTTACCTAGTCTACACATAACTAGAACATCATATGCAAATGTTGATAGAAATAATAAATACATGACCTTTTGGAAAAACACCTGTGTTCAACTTTTTTTTTTTTTCTTTTTTTTTTAAGTTGAGATGGAGCCTCGCTCTGTCTCCCAGGCTGGAGTGCAGTGGTGCAATCTTGGCTCACTGCAACCTCTGCCGCCAGGGTTCTAGCAAGTCTCATTCCTCAGCCTCCTTAGTAGCTGGTATTACAGGCATGTAATAATAATGGTATCATGCTATAAATATCTAAATTTTTTTCTATTAATACATCAAAAAATCTATGTAGGTTAACAAAACTTTTACATATTAACATGAAATCTTATTGTTCCATTTTACATTCCTGTCTGGTTTTATCTTTTCGGTGATAAGGAACGATTTCAGAATCATACTGGGCAACAAACAGAACATACCTTTCTCCGATCTTTAAGAATCCTGTCCAAACTCTCCTCATTCACTTTGCTTGCGTAGTCATAAAAACTGTTTAAGAGAAAAAAATCTTGTACTAACACCACATAGTATTGTGACATAGACGTGCTTGGCTGCATATGCCTGTGGTAACCCTAATGAAGACCTAACTTCTCACCTTACACAGGTTTACACAGGTGAATAAAGAGAAATCAGTCCAAATGTTTTTCTGAAATGAGGCCCCTTTTGCATTGACGAATACTCAAGAGATTGCTACATTCAAAAGATATTACTTCCACATGTGGGAGGTGCTGATAGCAAGTAATTATAAAATGTGGGGTTTCAAATGGCTGTGACATTTTTCTTTGTTTCTAGGTATCAATTACTTATGAAAAAAAGATAACGTAGCAGCTCATTTTCTGAGAAATGAAGAAGGGAAGTAAACATTTGTGGGATGTGGAAGAAGACATTGGGCTGCCTACTTTCTCAGGTTGTTTCATTCCATTCTTGCCTCAGTGCTGGGAGGTATTAGTTTGACCCAACAATTCCACAAGTTTTATTCCCAGTTTCATAGATAAACACACCAAGGCCAAGTGACTTCCTCCAAATCACAGGGCTGGTAGACAGAAGGGCTGGAATTTGAAGCCAGGTCTGGCTAGCTTCGAACCTAATACAATCACCTCCAAAAGAGACCAACATGACCAGGATCCCGTGGTGCGCATCCAGGTATAATGATGCGTGGGCCTCCTCTACTACTGGACATGGGCTTGGGAAAGCCACACCTCTACTTCTTTCCTACCACCATAAACCTGGGCCTTATAAGCCAGAAAGGAGTTCAAGATACGGTTAAAAACAAACAAAAAAAGCCACTGACTTGGAAGGCAAGAGACACAAGCTCCAGCTCCAGTTCTGTTTCTCACTATATGATCTGGGGCAAGTCACTCCACCTGGTTTCCATTCCATTTTTTGCAAAATAAGGAGTTTGGAATAGACAGATGTTATCTAAGGTTTCTTTTGGCTCTAATAACTGAGTCTAATCTTTTTTTTTTTTTTTTTTGTTGAGATGGAGTCTCGCTCTGTCACCCAGGCTGGAGTGCAGTGGCGCGATCTCGGCTCTCTCCAAGCTCCACCTCCCAGGTTCATGCCATTCTCCTGCCTCAGCCTCCCAAGTAGCTGGGACTACAGGCACCCACCACCGTACCTGGCTAATTTTTTGTATTTTTAGTAGAGACGGGGTTTTACTGTGTTAACCAGGATGGTCTCGATCTCCTGACCTCATGATCCACCTGCTTTGGCCTCCCAAAGTGCTGGGATTACAGGCGTGAGCCACCGCACCCGGCCAACTAAGTCTATTCTTTAAACTCAAATCCTTGTTCTGGTACTACTTTGCTGACAGTATTTTAATGAATTCCTGAGAAGGCTGAGGCAGGGTACACCTAGAGAAGCTTTGGACAGTCAAGACCAAATCAGACACCTTCGTAGACCAGACAGAAGCAATGTGTGAACCAGAGCCTAAACAATTTCACTTGCTCTGAGATTCCCCTCAAACGAACTGCTGGCTGCTCGTCTTGCTTCCCCATTCCTGTTTTGCTTATGTGTAAATCTAAAAGAGGCGAGGTTCTCAGCAACTGATGGCTTCATTTATAGGTAGCCATCTTGCATGGTGACAATTCTCTGAAGCAATCAATAGGTGCGGGTGGATGTTCGAGGGTGAATATGACACAAGTCCCCAGGGATTTTTGGGTGCAAGGGGGCCAGGTGTTTGGGCCAGCTGACAGTGGGAGAGTGGTCAGGGTGAAAACTGCAGGGAACAGCAGGAAGCGGCAAGCAGAAAGGGCTGGCTGGCGTTACGGAAGGAACTGCTGATCAAGAACGCTGATTGTATTCGTGTGGGCAGTGCTAGAAGGAAAGCATTGGCCTGGCTTTTGGAAAGGGTAAGAAGTTGGGTCTCGGGGAGTTTTATGAAACACAGAGTTGAAATCGTGATCCCAGCCATTAGGTGGAAGGGTTTGGGGCTGAGAAAGAAGGCATAGGCCTGGTGGTGGTTTGGGGGGAAGTCCAGTGAGTAAGAGACCCTGGACTTTCTTTTCCTCACTCTTTTCCCTCCAGGTGTCTCTCTGTTGTATGCTTTCTCCTTTCCGAACGTTTCTCCCTTTATTTCTTTTTCGTTCTGTCCTTTAGTTGGTCATAATATGGCATTGGTGTATACAGTAGTCCCCCTCTTGTCTGCGGTTTCACTTTCCAGTTTCAGTTACCCTTGGTCAATCTCTCAAATATGTTTGAGAGTGAGTGGACACATTCACATAACTTCAATCATCTCTTACTGTGCCTCATTCATAAGTGAAACTTCATGATAGGTATGTACATACAGGAAAAACCATAGTACATATAGATAGGGTTCAGTACTAGCCACGATTTCTGGAGTCTTGCCACATATTGCCCAAGGATAAGCAGGGACTACTGTATTCACTTCAACAAACACAAAAAGAACGTTTTATGCTCCTTTTTCTTACATTTTTAAAGTTGAACACAAAACATTTTTTATTCCTCGTTAAGAACATCCTTTGAATTATTTTATGTTGATTAACTTTTTCTCTATAATTGAAGAGCCCTTGATAGGCTGAGAGGAAATACTTCCATTCTAAATCACTAAGCCCACAATTGACACTCTTCCCTTCCCTTTTCCTAACCTAACACAGTGCCGTGTACAAAGCACTCAATAAATACATGGATTTGGGTACCCTCATGACTTTACAGCCACAATCAGCTACAGGCCAAAATTCACTAGTTTTTTTTATCAATCAATCCTTTTAGTAAGGACTAAAAGCTTACATATGGCTTACCTAAAAAGTTTTGAACAAGGCTGATGGTTATGGATTTCTGTAATTAGAAAGAGGAAATACATCTTAGTTAATCATGTAAGACATAGGCAACTATAAAATAGCTCAGGACTTTTTTTTTTAATCAAAATCTCTGACAACAAAGACAGCTTTTCCCTCTGCCAAACAGTTGCTACATGTACACCAGTCTGAATACTCACCCTCAGTGACACACTCTCAGAATAAAAGAGACTACAGAATGAAAGTTCTATTTCTATCTGTCCATGTATGATGAGCACATTTCTGAAAGATATTATTTAGGAATACGCAGCTATTGTGTACCTTATTCAATCTTATCTATTTAAAAAAGCATCATGGGAAAAAGCAACCACTGACTGGAAGCATTTAATCAAGTGGGATAAAAGCTGTGAGGATAGGCAGGTCGCAGTGGCTCACGCCTGTAATCCCAGCACTTTGGGAAGCTGAGGCGGACAGATCACTAGGTCAGGAGTTCAAGACCAGTCTGGCCAACATGGTGAAACCCCGTCTCTACTAAAAATACAAAAATTAGCTGGGCGTGGTGGCGGGCGCCTGTAATCTCAGCTACTTGGGAGGCTGAGGCAGGAGAATCACTTGAACCCGGGAGGCTGAGGCTGCAGTGAGCAGAGATCGCGCCACTGCACTCCAGCCTGGGCAACAGAGCGAAACTCTGTCTCATATTAAAAAAAAAAAAAAAAAAAAAAAGCTGCGAGGACAGCTTGGGGACAGAGGGCCTTAACCACCCTCACCCTACCATTAATAACCAGTAATAACTCATGACAACTTGGGCCAGGTGTTTTGAAGAGGAAGGAACTCTGGAAGTCTATTAACCCTTTCAAAGATGGTCAGTACCAAGGGAAACAATCATTACAGGGTAGATCGTAAAAGCTTCTGAAAAGTTGCTGTGATTAAGCAGAGCGAACAATTTCTTTGAGCTCATCCAGGGGCTTAGGGTCTGGGTTTCTTTATAAGACCATGAAACTAATTGACCATTCAGTTATATTAATCACATTCTCCTAGAGAGCAGCTCATCACCCGTTATTTAAAAAACCACAGCCTCAGAGTTCCAGGCTGTAATTTTAACTCAATTAAAAGGAAACCACAGGCCGGGCGCAGTGGCTCACGCCTGTAGTCCCAGCACTTTGGGAGGCCAAGGTGGGTGGATTGCGAGGTCAGGAGATCGAGACCATCCTGGCTAACACGGTGAAACCTCGTCTCCACCAAAAATACAAAAAATTAGCCAGGCGTGTTGGTGGGCGCCTGTAGTCCCAGCTACTTGGGAGGCTGAGGCAAAAGAATGGCGTGAACCCGGGAGGTGGAGCTTGCAGTGAACCCAGATCGCGCCACTGCACTCCAGCCTGGGTGACAGTGCGAGACTCCGTCTCAATTAAAAAAAAAAAAGGAACCATAGCCTTCAAGGACATGGGACTAGGCCCAGTAGCTTCTGTACTTGTGTTAATGTTGTCAAAATGAAGTATTTCCACAGGAAAGAAAAGTTCACTTGCCTAGCTATGCAGTAAGATAAACCTTACCTTGGTTGGTCTGCAGGTAGAGTTATCTCAATTGATTGTTTATGGTTACAGACTAAACCCTTGTTCTACTCTTTCCCCCTTCTCACTACTGCACTTGACTAGTCTTATAAAAATAAATTAAAGCCGGGCACAGTGGTGCACACCTGTAATCCCAGCACTTTGGGAGGCTGAGGTGGGCGGATCACGAGGTCAGGAGTTTGAGACCAGCCTGGCTAACATGGTGAAATCCCATGTCTACTAAAAATACAAAAATTAGCTGGGTGTGGTGGCGCGCGCCTGTAATCCCAGCTACTCGGGAGGCTGAGGCAGAACTGCTTGAACCCAGGAGGCAGAGGTTGCAGTGAGCCAAGATCATGTCGCTACACCCCAGCCTGAATGACAGAGCAAGACTCTGTCTCAAAAATATAAATAAATAAATAAATAAAGGCCAGGTGCAGTAGCTCACACCTGTAATCCCAGCACTTCGGGAGGCCAAGGCGGGTGGATCACCTGAGGTTAGGGGTTCAAGACCAGCCTGGCCAATATGGTGAAAACAAAAATACAAAAATGAGTCGGGCATGATGGTGGGTACCTGTAATCCCAGCTACTTGGGAGGCTGAGGTGTGGGAGAATCACTTGAACCCAGGAGGCGGAGGTTGCAGTGAGCCGAGATCACACCATTGCACTCTAGCCTGGGCAACAGAGTGAGACTCGGTCTCAAAAACAAAAGCAAAAAAAAGTACAAATAAAACCTCACCTAGTAATATTTCCTTCTTTTTATCACTAAAAATGATAGAGGCCGGGCGTGGTGGCTCATGCCTCTAATCCCAGCACTTTGGGAGGCCGAGGAGGTTGGATCACCTGAGGTCAGGAGTTTGAGACCAGCCTGACCAAAAGGTGAAACCCCATCTCTACTAAAAATACAAAATTAGCCGGGCATGGTGGCGCATGCCTGTAATCCCAGCTACTTGCGGGACTGAGGCAGGAGAACCGCTTGAAACTGGGAGGCAGAGGTTGCAGTGAGTCAAGATTGTGCCATTGCACTCCAGCCTGGGCAACAAAAGTGAAACTCGATCTCAAAATAAATAAATAAATAAAAATGATAAAGTATACCATCATAAGTTATTCCAGAGATACTGTTAGTAATTAGGATGCAGAATCTTTGTTGCAAAAATATTACCTAGAGTTCAGGGAAAAGAAAAACTCATCTTCTACTTTAAAGAACTGTCATTTAATGAAATTCCTGGAGTAAGTTCTGAACTCTGAATGTGCACTGTTACCAAAGCAGTTTCTTTCAAATTTACAAACTGGATTAGAAGCACGCTAAAGACATTCTATAGATACTGTGTGGTACTTTTTGAAGGAAGTTAAAGCTTTCTAAGATGTTTTGCAATACTAAGCACTCATGGAAAAACAGGGTGATGATCTCAAACATGAAAAAGCTGCAGATCGAAATGAACTTGGAGGACACCTTAACTGACAGGTAAACCTCTGGAAGCAGGCAGGGGCTGGGCAGCCTCACCTGGAATTTCCAGAGTTTCTTGTGCCTCAACAACACAGTAGACACCTGCTCATGTACACATCGCCTCTCGGCACACATTTCTTTACAAATCCCTGCTGTGTGGTACTGTTGTTCTTGCTTCTCTTTCTGTTGGGTGCGTTGAACATTTCTTCTCCTTCCTGCTTTCATTCTTTCCAATACTTGTTACTGCATCACCTCATTAACTAAGGACACTTCTGTTGCTGCCTTCTCCCTGCTACTCCTAGAACTAAGGGTAGACAGCTCTGCTTCAAGTGAGTTAGCACAGCTTTTTCAATTCATACATATTCAAAACAAGATGCAGACATTTCATGTTCAAAATGTGATATTCTTTTTTGTTGTTGTTGAGATGGAGTCTCGCTTTGTCGCCCAGGCTGGAGTGCAGTGGCACGATCTCGACTCACTGCAACCTCCGCCTCCCACATTCAAGCGATTCTCGTACTTCAGCCTCCCAAGTAGCTGGGATTACAGGCGTGCACCACCTCGCCTGGCTAATTTTGTACTTTTAGTAGAGATGGGGTTTCACCATGTTGGCCAGGCTGGTCTCGAACTCCTGACCTCAGGTGATCTGCCTGCCTTGGCCTCCCAAAGTGCTGGGATTACAGGCATGAGCCACCACGCCCAGCCCAAAATGTGATATTCTATATTGAGTCTTCCTTATTGCAAAGAGTAATGGAAAGGTGTCTGTGCATGGAGTCAGACATTCTCATCAAATAATAAATTTGGTCAATTTATGGTATTTAAAACATTGTTATTCTGGAGGGTAAGCTATGCCAGAAAATCTCTTTATACAACTGGTAGTGAATACTACTCAATGCACTTTTCCTAATGTTTGACTTTTCAACCCGGGTTTTCCAAAGTTCCCAGTTTATGCTTTCAAATGTGTATTTATTTATTTATTTTTGAGACAAGGTCTTGCTCTATCACCCAGGCTGGAGTGCAGTGGCATGATCACAGTTCACTGTAGCCTCAATCTCCTAGGCTCAAGTGATCCTCCCACCACAGCCTCCCAAGTAGCTGAGACTACAGGTGTGTGCCACCATGCCTAGCTAATTTTTTTATTTTGTAGAGACAGGGTCTCGCTATATTGTCCAAGCCGGTCTTGAACTCCTGGCCTCAAGCAATCCTCCTACCACGGCCTTTGAAAGCTTTACAGGTGTGAGCCACCTCACCCAGCTATATTTATTTTTAAAAGAAAAATGTTACAATGGGAACAACACATTTAAGATAATACTAGTAAACGTTTTGTCCATGAGGTCCATAATCGTTTCAATGAACTGAACATCGCTAATAAGTTAAAGATTGTACAGCAAAAGATAGTTGTCATGGCCCTGTACTAACAGGGACTCCCCACTGATTGTTACTTCTCCATATCTACAAAACCATGAAAACAGGTATTTACTGCAAGAGGCAGATGGTTTATGAATCAAAGAATCAGTACTTTATGTTATATAGAATTTTAATTATTTGGGCTGGGTGTGGTGGCTTACGCCTGTAATCCCAGCACTTTGGGAGGCCAAGGTGGGCGGATCACCCAAGGTCGGGAGTTCAAGACCAGCCTAACCAACATGGAGAAACCCCGTCTCTCCTAAAAATACAAAATTAGCGGGTCATGGTGGTGCATGCCTGTAACCCCAGCTACTTGGGAGGCTGAGGCAGGAGAATCACTTGAACCTGGGAAGCGGAGGTTGCGGTGAGCCAAGATTGTGCGCCATTGCATTCCAGCCTGGGCAACAAAAGCGAAACTCCGTCTCAAACAAAACAAAACAAAACAAAATTAATTATGTTTTATTATGTTTCTTTTTTTTTGAGACGGAGTCTAGCTCTGTCGCCCAGGCTGGAGTGCAGTGGCACAATCTCTGCTCACTGCAAGCTCCGCCTCCCAGGTTCATGCCATTCTCCTGCCTCAGCCTCCTGAGTAGCTGGGATTACAGACCCGTGTCACCATACCCAGCTAATTTTTTATATCTTTTAGTAGAGACGGAGTTTCACCGTGTTAGCTAGGATGGTCTCAATCTCCTGACCTCTCCTGACCTCGTGATCTGCCCACCTCGGCCTCCCAAAGTGCTGGGATTACAGGCTTAAGCCACCGTGCCCGGCCCTATTTCTTTAAAAATAAACAGCCAGAGTATTAATCAGAAGTGCTATTTTTGTGATCATGCCAGGTAAGAGAGGTCTTTCTTTCATGGTTTGCTGTCCGTTAACTGCAGGTGGCAATTTAACCTTCATCTTCCAGATTATGCTTGAAAACTCAGGTGCATACAATAAATAACTGCACAGATGTTCTATGAAACAAAATTCTGTTTTAGGATTTTATTTATTTATTTATTTTTTTGAGATGGAGTCTTGCTCTGTCGCCCAGGCTGGAGTGCAGTGGCGCAGATCTCAGTTCACTGAAACCTCCGCATCCCGGGTTCACGTCATTCTCCTGCCTCAGCCTCCCGCATAGCTGGGACTACAGGCGCCTGTCCGGCTAATTTTTTGTATTTTTAGTAGAGACGGGGTTTCACCATGTTAGCCAGGATGGTCTCGATCTCCTGACCTCGTGATCCACCCACCTCGGCCTCCCAAAGTGCTGGGATTACAGGCGTGAGCCACCACGCCCGGCTGTTTTAGGGTTTTAAAGAATTAAGCAAAACGAAAAGAAAAATAAAAACACCCTAGATGGGCCAGCGTGGTCGCTCACGCCTGTAATCCCAGCACTTTGGGAGGCCAAGGCGGATGGATCACAAGGTCAAGAGATCGAGACCATCCTGGCCAACATGGTGAAACCCCATCTCTACTAAAAATACAAAAATTAGCTGGGAGTGGTGGCGTGCACCTGTAGTTCCACCTACTCGGGAGGCTGAAGCAGGACAATCACTCGAACCCAGGAGGTGGAGGCTGCAGTGAGCTGAGATTGCACCACTGCACTCCAGCCTGGTGACAGAGGGAGACTCCATCTCAAAAAAAAAAAACCAAAAACATCCTCGACGAAAGACTAACTATACCGTCTTACACATCGCAAGTCTTTTTTCTTTTAAGATGAGATCTTGCTCTGTTGCTCAGCCTGGAGTGAACTGGTATGATCACGGTTCACTGTAGCCTCAAACTTTCGGGCTCAAGCAATCCTCCCACCTCGCTTTCTGAGTAGCTAGGACTACAGAAGCACAACACCACGCCTGGCTAATTATAAAAATTTCTTGTAGAGACAGGGTCTCGCCACCTTGCCCAGGCTGGTCTTGAACTCCCGGCCTCAAGCCATCCTCCTGCCTCGGCCTCCCGAAGTGTTGGGATTACAGGTATGAGCCACTGCACCCAGTTTCAAACCTTTACTTAGTAAATAAGTCTATAATGTGGTGAGTGGGTTTTATAGTTTTGATCCACCAGGGCAGGAGTATCCAATCTTTTGGCTTCCCTGGGCCACATTGGAAGAAGAATTGTCTTGGTCCACACATAAAATATACTAACACTAGCTGATGAGCTTAAAAAAAATTTCAAAAAAATATCATAATGGCTGGGCGTGGTGACTCATGCCTGCAATCGCAGCACTTTGGGAGGCCAAGGTGGGCGGATCACCTGAGGTCGAGAGTTCGAGACCAGCCTGACCAACATGGAGAAACCCCGTCTCTACTAAAAATACAAAAATTAGCCGGGCATGGTGGCGCATGCCTGTATTCACAGCTACTAGGGAGGCTGAGGCAGGAGAATCGCTTGAACCCGGGAGGTGGAGGTTGTGGTGAACCAAGATCGTGCCATTGCACTCCAGCCTGGGAAACAAGAGTGAAACTCGGTCTCAAAAAAAAAAAAAAAAAATCTCATAATGTTTGAAGAAAGTTTACCAATTTGTGTTGGGCCTCATTCAAAGCTGCCATGGGCTGCATGCACCCTACAGGCCGTGGGTTGGACAAGCCTGCATTAGGAGGTAGTTCAGCCTCTTGATTCCCCTTAATCCTGACCTAACTTCAATACACACCCTTGGGGCCAGGCGTGGTGGCTCACACCTGTAATCCCAGCACTTTGGGAGGCCAAAGCGGGTGGATCACCTGAGGCCACGAGTTCGAGACTAGCCCGACCAACATGGAGAAACCCCCGTCTCTACTAAAAATACAAAAATTAGCCGGGCATGGTGGCATGCACCTGTAATCCCAGCTACTCGGGAGGCTGAGGCAGGAGAATCGCTTGAACCCGGGATGCGGAGGTTGCAGTGAGCTGACGCCACTGCCCTCCAGCCTGGGCAACAGAGCCAGACTGCATCTCAAAAATAAATGAATAAATAAATAAATAAAACACCCTTGTCCCCTACCCCACATACTAGAAGCCTATCAGAACAGGCTTGAAATTAATTATTTGCTCCCAACATGACCAAAGTTGCCACTTGCCAACAGTATTTCTTCATTTTTCTTTTCTTTTTTTCTTTTTCTTTTTTCTTTTTTGAGACAGAGTTTCGCTCTTGTTGCCCAGGCTGGAGTGGAATGGCACAATCTCAGCTCACCACAACCTCCGCCTCCCAGGTTCAAGCGATTCTCCTGCCTCAGCCTCCCGAGTAGCTGGGATTACAGGCATGTGCCACCACACCCGGCTAATTTTTGTATTTTTAGTAGAGACGGGGTTTCTTCATGTTGGTCAGGCTGGTCTTGAACTCCCAACCTCGGGCGATCCGCCCAACTTGGCCTCCCAAAGTGCTGGGATTACAGGCATGAGCCACTGCACCCCGCTAGCCAACAGTATTTCAAACCACAAACCACTCATCTCCACATATTCTGTATTTTAGTCATATGAACAGGCCAGATTCGCTATGTGTTTTATGCAGACCTCGTTCTGTGCTCCCCTGAATGTACTGCCCATTAAGTTTACCTCCTGACACACATCTTTACTGATTTCTCCACTAGCAGTTTTCCTCTCAACTTTGGGCAGTTCGGGGATTTTCTCTGTTACTTTCTTATAGAATTCTTCTCGCACTGTCTGGTATTTCTTCCTGCCTGTCTAATCCTCCCCGCAGCTCTAGGAGGCAGGGATGATTCTGGGTATTTCCTTCACTGCCCAGCACACGCCTCACATATGAAAGTTCTTCAATAAATGTTTGCCGCATAGCCAGGCACGGTGGCTCACGCCTGTAATCCCAGCAGTTTGGGAGGCTGAGGTGGGCGGATCACGAGGTCAGGAGATCAAGACCGTCCTGGCTAACACGGTGAAAACCCGTCTCTACTAAAAATACAAAAAAATTAGCCGGGCGTGGTTGCAGGCACCTGTAGTCCCAGCTACTCGGGAGGCTGAGGCAGGAGAATGGCCTGAACCCGGGAGGCGGAGCTTGCAGTGAGCCGAGATCGTGCCACTGCACTCTAGCCTGGGCGACAGAGCAAGACTCCGTCTCAAAAAAAAAAAAAAAGTTTGCCGCATAAATAAATGAAAAGTTCCTTGCTTTGTTCAGAGTATTAGGATATGCAGTTTGGTGATCTGCCTGAAGTGTACCTGAAAGGACTATGACCTCTATTTATCAAAAGGAGGCTGATCCAAAGAGAGTGGGCGTGTCTATAGCTATAAAGACTCCTTCATCTTCCCCAGATATCTCCTCCGAAGTGGGTATTTGGCTTATCCCTCAGAAGGCTGTATAGGTTTAGTAAATATCCCATGTAAACAAATGTAAATATCCTTGCTGGATCCCTTTAGGAAGGACCAGCACAATATATGAATTCGTTATAGTATGAGGTGATATTGGCAATGGGGAGAGCCTGATTTGCAAACTTGAGGTTCATGGTGGTTTTAAAGAGACTATCAATCAAGTGGTCACACAGCAATTCAGTGAAAGTCACCCCCATTGGTGGGTAAGGAATACTTTATAGAAGACCCATACTTATAGCTAGACATTCTGTTTTCTCTGACTTTATACTGACATAAAAACATTTCATATCATTTATTAGTGCAAATAATTTTAGTTTTTTTCTTTCTTTTTGAGACAAGATCTTGGCTCACTGCAACCTCCGCCTCCCGGGTTCAGGCGATTCTCCTGCCTCAGCATCCTGAGTAGCTGGGATTACAGGCACCCGCCACCACGCCCGGCTAATTTTTGTATTTTTAGTAGAGACGGGGTTTCACCATGTGGGCCAGGCTGGTCTCGAACTTCTGACTTCAGGTGATCCACCTGCCTCAGCCTCCCAAAGTGCTGGGATTACAGGCATGAGCCACCATGGCCGGCCTTATTTTCGTTTTTTTCTACATACTCTTTGAATTCTTTTTTTTTTTTTTTTTTTTTTTGAGACAGAGTCTTGCTCTGTCCCCCAGGCTGGAGTGCAGTGGCGCGATCTCGGCTCACTGCAACCTCCGCCTCCCAGGTTCATGCCATTCTCCTGCCTCAGCCTCCTGAGTAGCTGGGACTACAGGCGTCCGCCACCATGCCCGGCTAATTTTTTTGTATTTTTAGTAGAGATGAGGTTTCACTGTGTTAGCCAGGATGGTCTCGATCTCCTGACCTCGTGATCCGCCCGCCTCGGCCTCCCAAAGTGCTGGGATTACAGGCGTGAGCCACCGCGCCTGGCATACTCTTTGAATTCTTTAGGATAAAATCAGTTAAGGGCAAAACAACAAAACAAACATTAAGTAAATATACAAAAAAGATATTTCTAAGGTCATTGAGAAATTTACTTACCAATTACTTGCAGAAATTCTGTGTTGCTGATTTGTGAGTCACTGATGCTAAACGTTTCCTCTTGTCTTACCTCTCCCAGTAAAAATCCTTCCTAAAAGTAATTAAAGAAAATAATTGCAGACTAAAAATAAAAATGACTTTTACTGAAATTAAGAGGAATTGAGGACATATAAATTTATAATTTTCACAATAATCCAAACAAGCTTCCCATGTAAACCACTATTCTATAAACCAACAAACAGTCTAAAGCAATCTGAGGTATATCTATTAATTGGATTGTTCCAAAAAAGGATAACAAGATAAAATATTATTTTAATCCCTTCAACTCCTCCCTGTTTTTGGAAGAGTGAATTTCATCACCTAAATCTTAAGTATCATAACCAATGTCAAAAAACTCAAGAAGTAGAAATATTTCAAAGTTGCTTTCTTGAAATCACATACAATTTATTTTGTTGTTGTAAAAACATCGCTGATGATGAAAAGATAAAGGTAACACAATGACAACTAAATGCTTTTATACAGGCTGGCATAGAAAATTAGGATTTTAGCAAAACAATTAAATTCCCTATCATCCACATGAACCTTTTTCTTGTCTTTTTTTTTTTCTTTTTTTTTTGAGACGGAATCTTGCTCTGTCACCCAGGCTGGAGTGCAGTGGCGCGATCTCTGCTAACTGCAAGCTCCACCTTCCGGGTTCATGCCATTCTCCTGTCTCAGCCTCCTGAGTAGCTGGGACTACAGGCACCCGCCACCATGCCTGGCTAATTTTTTTTTTTTTGTATTTTAGTAGAGACGGGGTTTCACCGTGTTAGCCAGGATGGTCTCGATCTCCTGACCTCGTGATCCGCCCACCTGGGCCTCCCAAAGTGCTGGGATTACAGGCGTGAGCCATCGTGCCCAGCCGAACCTTTTTCTTTAATAAATGCAGGGGTTAACTTATTTACACTTTTGGAGGGCATTTACCACCACAGTTGATTGGCTCATTACCTACTCTTTGTGTACTTGCGCCATGTTCTGCACAAGCACAGCTGGGAGAAGACATACTCTAAATCCTAAAGTAACTTTCCTATACAGAGGGTTGAACTGAGAAGCTGTCCTGGAATCTCTCTCCCCAGATATCACACGGCTTACTCCTTTCCTTCATTCAGGTCTTTACTCAAATGGCACCTTAGCGGAGAGGCCTTGCCTGACCAACTTAATGGAAATAGCATCTGCCAGGCACTCTGCCCCCTTTACCTTACATTCTTTTTCTTCTTGGTCTTCTCACTATCCATCATATTACATATTTATAAATAAATACATTTATTATCCCTTGCCAGAATGTAAACTCCACGAGAGCAGGGACTGTGTGCTTATTCACTGCTCTATCTCAGCACCCAGCACAATGCCTAACACTTAGTAGGTGCCTCACTAACAGTGGTTGAATAAATTTGTTGAAACAATGCCCTTGTACGATATATCCTTCTATTCTAAGTTGATCCTTCAAATCAATTAATGAAGTTTCCTGTTTAAAAACATTTCCAGTTTAAAGTGAGAATCTATGGGAGTGGGGAAAGACAGACACTTTTTTTTTTTTTTTTTGAGACGGAGTCTCGCTCTGTCGCCCAGGCCGGACTGCGGACTGCAGTGGCGCAATCTCGGCTCACTGCAAGCTCCGCCTCCCGGGGTTCACGCCATTCTCCTGCCTCAGCCTCCCGAGTAGCTGGGACTACAGGCGCCCGCCACCGCGCCCGGCTAATTTTTTGTATTTTTAGTAGAGACGGGGTTTCACCTTGTTAGCCAGGATGGTCTCGATCTCCTGACAAGACAGACACTTTACAGCCTAGTTTTTGTATTTGATTTGAGGAGGGGGAGTGTCCTAAAATACCAAATAATCACAAAGCATTTCTTAAACTTAGGAAATACATAGGCCGGGCACGGTGGCTCTTGCTTGTAATCCCAGCACTTTGGGAGGCCAAGGTGGGTGGACTGCCTGAGGTCAGGAGTTTGAGACCAGCCTGGCCAACATGGAGAAACCCCGTCTCTACTAAAAATATAAAAACTAGATGGGTGTGGTGGTGCGCACCTGTAATCCCAGCTACTAGAGTGGCTGAGGCAGAAGAATCGCTTGAACCCAGGAGACAGAGGTTGCAGTGAGCCAAGATTGTGCCACGGCACTCAAGCCTGGGTGACAGAGCAAGACTCTGTCTCAAAAAAAAAAAAAAGAAAGAAAAAAAGAAATATATATATTCCCTTAAAAAAAAAAAACTCTCTGAGATCCAAAGGAGTGTCCATGACTACTAATTTGAGAAACACTGCCTAAATCAGCTTGTTTTACCCTAAGAAAATCTTTCAGTTATGAATTCTCACCATAAAAGCAGTTTTGTCTTGTCACAAGCAAAAGACAAACAAAACAAATACCCACTTTCAAAAAATCAAAGTGAAAAAATAATTTCATATTCACACAGAACTTTAGACTTAAGAACATAGCTAGATTCCTAGTATTCTACAGCACTGGGTTGCTGGATTTAGCAAAAGATACAAGACACACAATAAAATTTTAATTTCAGATAACAAATAATTATTTTGTAAGTTTTGGGATATACTTATACTATAAATAAATTGCTATTTATCTAAAATTCAAATTAACTGAGTGTGCTGTATTTCATCTGGTAACCCTACAACAGTCTTCCATTTGTGGAATAATGATATAACTCAACAGTGACATCAAGAAATTCTAGGTCAGATGCGGTGGGTCACGCCTGTAATCTCAACACTTTAAGAGGCCAAAAACGGAAGATCGCTTAAGGCCAGGAGTTTGAGATCAGCCTGGGCCACATAGCAAGACCTTGTCTGTAATTTTTTTTTTAAAAGGACATTCTAAAGCCAAGTACAAGTGGAATGTTTATACATCTACTGGTCTGGATTATCTGAGCCAATGTTCCTTTATAGTAGGAGTTGGCAAACTATGGCATGGGGACTAATTCCAGCCTAATGCTTATTAATGTACGGCCTGTAAGCTAAAAATGGTTTCTATGTTATTTTATTATTATTATTTTTGTAGCCCAGGCTGGAGTGCAATGGCGCGATCTCGACTCACCACAACCTTTGCCTCCCGGGTTCAAGCGATTTTCCTGCCTCAGCCTCCCTAGTAGCTGGGATTACAGGCATGTGCCACCACGCCTGGCTAATTTTATATTTTCAGTAGAGACGGGGTTTCTCCTTGTTGGTCAGGCTGGTCTTGAACTCCTGACCTCAGGTGATCTGCCCGCCTCAGCCTCCCAAAGTGCTGGGATTACAGGCATGAGCTACCGTGTCCAGCTAATAAGAGTCACTTGAATCTTTTATTGTCTATAGATGCTTTCTCCCAATAATAGCAGAGTTGAATAGTTGCTATAGAGACCATATGGCTTACAAAGCCTACAAAGTTTACTATCTGGCCCTGTACAGAAAAGTATGGTAGCCCCAGGTCTACAAATGAGTGGTTTTAAATTAATTTCTTGACTGGACAAAATAAGTATGTACTACAAAAGTAAATTGTTGGTTCTTCAACCTTAAAATTGAAATTATTTTCAAGGATTCCACATCTATAATTGTGGCAAAGTTAATATAAACAGGCATGGTCATATAAAACACAGTTGCAAACTATTGGCATTGGTGAAAATTTCTATGAAGTCAAGCACCACGCCTTGCAGAGTAGATATTAAGGGATATCTCTTGAATTAATTTTTTTCAACAGGTAGCTGCTTGTTCTTACAGTAATCTTGCCATATACATAAACTGTGATATTAGTAGGCATTCAAGAAATAAAGGACCCATTTTTAATAGTCCATGGACACTAGGGGTATCACAAACCCTTACATATGGAACTATATTACATTATTAAATAGCTGGTTGTAGTACCCTAGGCCATAGTCTTCAAAGCTGCTTCTGGAAAAACCCATGATGTATATATTCCTATTCCTATCATTAAGTTCTACCATCAACACTGAAGAGATGAAAGGTACAATAATTTAATTGCATTCAATTTACTAATGGAATCACCTCCCTGTGAAATCAGTTTTTATTAATGGAAGCTAAGATTGCTGACATCAAACCAAATGCAGTTCCTCCTTCTGCAGTGTACCATTTTGCTTTGTAATGACAACCAAAAACCCCACACATAGGTTTAATGAGTTTGAATCATTCACTATTAACATCACTTAAAATAATCCCCCAATTTGGTGGCCAAATTATATACCTCCTTTAAGAGAGAAGTGATCTAGTTTCACAAAGCATTTCCAATCAGAGGCCAATGACGTTAAAAGACAATTTGTAAAATAAAGACACTGAAACAGACAGGATCTGCTCCTCCTGTGGGCTCACAGCCTATGCATTTCCCATCACTCAGTAGTGGGCCTGTCACTTCCCTATTTCACTGTGACTAGTGAAAGAACTAGTCACAAAGAACTAAACACGCAACTTCAAGGAAATACAAAATAGACCCTGCACCGAACGCTCCTGTATACATTCTCCATTTTGCATCAGGGCGAAGAAAACACACAACCGTGTCTAACAAGTATCAGTAGTGACAGCCACGGTTTCACTCGCAGCACCCCCACGACAACCTGCGAGACCGGCGGGCGGGGCTGAGTACCTCGCCTACTGGACTAAACGCCCGGCCTTTAGATTCCTTCCCGACCCCGTGCGCCCCTCTTAAGTCTAGAAGCCTGACTTTCAGGGAGGGGCAGGCGCTCGGTTTCCACCGAGCGACTCCTGACACTGCAGGAGGCCAGGTGGGACAGTTTTGCTGCACGGGAGACGGCTGTGCCGGGACGGCCGAGCGGCTGAGAGCGCGAAGCCAGGGGGCCTGTCCCAGGGGCGAAGGAGCCCCCAGAGGCAAGAGCTCACCGGGGGCGGGAGCCGCCCGGGTCACCAGCTCCTCCGGCCGGCCCTGGTGCCCAGGGGGCGAGCCGCATGAGGTCCCGGCTTGGCCGCGAGCGCCGGCCTGAGACAGAGGCTGAAAGCCCCCAGCGGGCGCGGCAGGGGGCCCGGCACCTACGTGGTCCGCGTTGCTGTTGGCGCTGTGGAAACACACAGCACTGAAGGTGTAGCCCGAAATGGACGCCGCCATGATGGAAATCTCCAGCTACCCCATCATGCCCCGCGGAGGGCACACGGCCTTCCGGACGGCCCGACCCCTTGGCATCATGGGAAGTGGAGTCTGCGGCGGGCAGCGGCCGAGGGCCCTGAGCGCTCACAGTCTTGAAGGCTGAGGAACGCCGGTTTTTGCGATCGGAAGGACCCCGGCACCGTATCCTCCGCAGGGGTGTCGCTCCCGACACGCCTCAGACAGCGGTTGATAGTTCCGCAAACAGTTCTTTCCCTTTGCAAGTGAAACCTTAGTATTAAAAGACAACATTCTAGCCGGGCGCAGTGGCTCACGCCTGTAATCCCAGCACTTTGGGAGGCCGAGGCGGGCGGATCACCTGAGGTCAGGAGTTCGAGACCAGCCTGACCAACATGGAGAAACCCTGTCTATATTGAAAATACAAAAACTAGCCGGGCGTGGTGGCACATGCCTGTAATCTCAGCTACTCGGGAGGCTGAGGGAGGGGAATGGCTTGAACCCGGGAGGCGGAGGTTGCGGTGAGTCGAGATCGTGCCATTGCACTCCAGCCTGGGCAGCAAGAGCGAAGCTTCGTCTCAAAAAAAAAAAAAAAAAAAAAAAAAAAAGGCCAACATTTAGGCTGAGCGTGGTGGCTCGCGCCTGTAATCCCAGCACTTTGGGAGGCCGAGGTGGGCGGATCACGAGGTCAGGAGTTTGAGACCATCCTGGCTTACACGGTGAAACCCCGTCTCTACTAAAAATACAAAAAATTAGCCGGACGTGGTGGCGGGCTCCTGTAGTCCCAGCTACTCAGGAGGCTGAGGCAGGAGAATGGCGTGAACCTGGAAGGCGGAGCTTGCAGTGAGCCGAGATCGCGCCACTGCACTCCAGCCTGGGTGACAGACCAAGACTCCGTCTCAAAAACAAAACAAAACAAAAAGCCAACATTTGAGGCCGGGCGCGGTGGCTCATGCCTGTAATCCCAGCACTTTGGGAGGGGGGGGCGTGTGTGGGGAGTGTTAACCTGAGGTCAGGAGTGTTATGCGCGTTTGTGTGAAGAGACCACCAAACAGGCTTTGTGTGAGCAACAAGGCTGTTTATTTCAACTGGGTGCAGGCGGGCTGAGTCCGAAAAGAGAGTCAGCAAGGGAGATAGGGGTGGGGCCGATTTATAGGATTTGGGTAGGTAGTGGAAAATTACAGTCAAAGGGGGTTGTTCTCTGGTGGGAAGGGGCGGGGGTTACAAGGTGCTCAGTCGGGGAGCTTCTAAGCCAGGAGAAGGAATTTCACAAGGTAATGTCATCAGTTAAGGCAGGAACCGGTCATTTTCACTTCTTTTGTGATTCTTCAGTTACTTCAGGCCATCTGGATGTATACGTGCAGGCCACAGGGGATATGATGGCTTAGCTTGGGCTCAGAGGCCTGACAAGGAGTTCAAGACCAGCCTGGCCAACATGGTGAGACCCTGCCCACTCCCCTCTGCCCATCTCTATTGAAAATACAAAAACTAGCCGGGCATTCTGGTGCATGCCTGTAATCTCAGCTACTCAGGAGGCTGAGGCATGAGAATCGCTTGAACCCGGGAGACAGAGATTGCAGTGAGCCGAGATTGTGCCACTGCGCTCTGGCTCTGTCTCAAAGAAAAAAAAAAGGAAAAGAAAAAAGGCAACATTTACAAGCTCAAGGATGAAAGGATGGAGGAAATTCAGGCAAATAAACAGTTTGGTATAGTAGTGACATAATTTGATAACAGATAACACAATCACTTTGGCTGCAGAGTTGAGACTGTAGCGTCTTGGGGTGGGAGGGAAGTGAAACGGTGGTTCAAGTCACCATCATCTCTCTCTCTCAGAATTTTGTATCCTCTTACTCAGGGAGTCCGAACTGGTGGCAGTTTTGCCTCCCAAAATGGCATGTGGCAATGTTTGGAAACATTATCAGATATCATAATTCGGTGTCAGGTGCCACTGGCATCTGGTGGGTGGGTAGAGGCCAGAGAAGTGGCTAAACGTCTTACAGTGCACAACAACAGGCCCACAATGAAGAATTATCATCAGTGGTGACAAGGCTGAGAAACCCAGTGTTCCTGCTTCAGCTTTTAATCCCCTCCTTGCCAAATCTATGCTCAACATAGCAAGATGGTCAACATTTAAATGTAAGAACTAAACCATGTTGCTTCTTGGCCAAACACCAAATCTTGCCAAGACCTGGCCCCTATTACTTGTCTGACTTTATTACCTGCTACTGCCCCCTTTATTTACCGAGCTTCAGCTACATTAGTCTTCTTTCTGCTTCCTGGACGTCCCTAGCTCATTCCACTTTAGGGCCTTTGTGCTTGCTGTTTTCTTTGCTTGGGATGCTCTTCTCCCAGGCAGCTGCATGGTTTACTGTTTCTGCCCTAGATGATTTGATGTGCCACCGAGACCTCCTGTCTGCCTTGCAGGATTGATTGATTGCTGCAGGTCAGCTCTCTCCTATAAGTATACCTAGTTGAAGAGAGCTTCATTGCCTAAGGCCAGTCCTCCCTTTGTGGGCATCCAGCATTCAATGCCTGGTCGGGGTAGATGAAAAAAGGGAGGGCCAGGAGGGATTTGCTGAAATTCTGTTGTAGTGGTACCTCAGTCCAACTACTTCATTCAGCCAATCCTGCTTCTTTTTCTTCTCCAACAGATGATGATTCTCAGAGTACTCCCTAATCAACTTCCTCCCTGTTCATCTCAGTGTCACACTTTGCTCCCTGGGAACCAAACCTATGACAACCTCTTTTAGGTTTTCACTCAGTGCTGCCACCCCCTCAGAGAGTCCTTCCCTGGTACCCTATCAAGGATTGCAACCTTCACCCCATGTTCTCAATAGTACTTCCCTGTTTACTTTTCCCTTTACCACTTATCATCTAGCAGCAACGCTGTGTTATTCATCTTTCCTGTCCATTGTCTTTCCCCCTCTTCGAGCATGTTCTGAACTTCACGAAGACAGGGATTCTTCTTTTTTTTAATTTTTGTTTTTAGATATAGGGTCTTGCTCTGTCACCCAATAGCTCACTGCACGTCAAACTCCTAGACTCCAGTGATTGTCCTGCCTCAGCCTCCTGAGTAGTTGGGATTACAAACAAGAGACTCCACACCTAGCAAAGACAGGGATTCCTGCTTATTTACTGTTGCATCTCCATCATCTGGAATAATGGCTGGCATGTAAATGTTGCCAGATACAAGACTGTTGAATGAACACTGCATGAAAAAGTGGGAGGGTTTTAGGGAAGATAGCTGTGTTTGATCAGCAGGGTGCTGGAGGGGGATGGAAACAGAAGCAGCTGATAAAAAGCGTAGGCTTGCTAATAAGGAGGTGCCTAGGTTTGCTCACTGAAGAAACCATTTGGGATGTAGGAGATGAGAGAGGAAAGAGGCAGATGAACTGGGAAAATTTAGGGGGTGAAGGAGAAAGAGGATGAGAAGAGGAGATGAGTGGCTACAGTGAGATTCTGGACTTTGGGGACAGAGAGATGAGAATAAAGAATTTTTAGGCTCTGACCCGGCTCGGTGGCTAACACCTGTAATCCCAGCAATTTGAGAGGTCAAGGCAGGTGGATCGCTTGAGCCCAGGAGTTCAAGACCAGCCTGGGCAACATAGTGAGACCCCCATCTCTACAGAAAAAATTAAAAAATTAGCTGGACATGGTGTTGGGCACCTGTAACTCCAGCTACTTGGGAGGCTGAGTTAGGAGGATCGCTTGAGCCCAGGAAGTCGAGGCTGCAGTGAGTTAAGTGATCATGCCACTGGGCTGGGTGCAGTGGCTCATGCCTGTAATCCCAGCACTTTGGGAGGCAGAGGCGGGCAGATCATTTGAGGTCAGGAGTTCAAGACGAGCCTGCCAACATGGTGAAATCCTGTCTCTACTAAAAAGACAAAAAAAATGAGCCAGATGTGGTGGCATGTGGCTGAAATCCCAACTAGTCAGGAGGCTGAAGTGGGAGAATTGCTTGAGCCCAGGAGGCAGAGGTTGCAGTGAGCTGAGATCATGCCACTGCACTCCAGCCTGGGTGACAGAGTGAGACCCTGTTTAAAAAAAAAAAAAAAAAAAAGATCATGCCACTGCGCTCCAGCCTGGGGGATAGAGTGAGACCTTGTCTCAAACAAACAAACAAACACACAAAAGAAAATCTTCAGCAAAACACCTATAGTGATAGAGCACACTCATGTAGTGGTTATGCTTGAAAACTTTATGATAGATTGCTTGGGTCCCAGTCTCAGCTCCAGAACTTACTTCTATGTGCCGTAGTTAGCTCATCTGCAAAATGAGGCTAATACTAGTATCTACCTCATGTGGCTATCTTTTTTTTTTTTTTTTGATGGAATCTTGCTCTGTCACCCAGGCTGGACTGCAGTGGCGCGATCTCGGCTCACTGCAACCTCTGCCTCCTGGGTTCAAGCAATTCTCTTGCCTCAGCCTCCCGAATAGCTGGGATTACAGGCACCCACCACCACGCCCGGCTAATTTTTTTGTATTTTTAGTAGAGACCGGGTTTCACTGTGTTGGCCAGGCTGGTCTCGAACTCCTGACCTCGTGATCTGCCCGCCTC
This sequence comes from Homo sapiens, assembly GCF_000001405.40. Taxonomy (NCBI): domain Eukaryota; kingdom Metazoa; phylum Chordata; class Mammalia; order Primates; family Hominidae; genus Homo; species Homo sapiens. The sequence goes on along the minus strand of NC_000010.11, from coordinate 124,797,277 downwards.
AGCCTCCCAAAGTGCTGGGAATGTGGCTATCTTTAGGAGTAACTGAAATAATATATTGGATGCGCTGAAAACAGTTCTTGGCACACAGTGACAGCTGTACGATTGCTAGCCATCATTTCTATCATCATAAATTAGTTTAAAAGGTAAGAGATCTATAGGCATTGACAAAAAAGATCTCTAAGTACAATATATCACTGGAATATTGTTAAATGAAGATGTAAAATGCAAACATGCAAATAGTAATATTCCATTTATATATATATCAATACAAAGCAAAGCATTTCTGCATGAGAATGCCACACTTTGCTATGATGGGCCTGAAAGTGGGAACAAGAAAATCCAGCTTCATTTGGATTATGCCCATTTGAGGAAACTGCGACTTAAGATGTTTAAATTAAGTAACTCACTCAAGGTCATACTTTGTATGGAGTAAGTTGTGATTCAAGTTCAAGTCAGTTTGCCTGTACAGTCCATGATCAGGCAGGAGAATGCAAAGGAAAGGAGTGAGGGGTGTCAGGCACTGAAGGAGAGGAAAACTGGGCAAGTCTTGGAGGCCTTTCAAGAGGTAATGGGAAACAAGGCATAGCTGGGGCCTGAGAAGGAGCCAAGTGCCAAATGGCTCCTGGAAGGTTTACTCAGAAGCTGCTGCAATGGCCTGAGTGGCCAGAAGGAAGGCAGAGCAGTGGTGACAGGCTGGAGAAATGCCTGAGCCCAGAGACCAGTCCTGACCAAGAAGAGCAGTGCAGGGAGGAAAGGAGGAAGATGATGCTCCACTTTGGGTGACAGGGTAGATGGTCAGGGATCAACCAACCGCAAACACAGAGGAGAAAGGGTTTGGTGGGGAGGCATGGTGGGGGGGTGGTAATGCAAGTGAGTTCAGTGTTGAACACATTGAGTTTAATGTAGCAAGGGACATCCAGGCAGCTGCAATACAATAAAATAAGAGAAAATACAAATCTGGAGGGAGAGCGAGGTTGGAATCAGAAGTCACTAACACAGGCATATGAAAAGGTGCTCAACATCACTGATCATCAGAGAAATGCAAATCAAAACTACACTGAGATATCATCTCACTCCAGTTAAAATGGCTTCTATCCAAGAGGCAGGCAATCACAAATACTGGCGAGAACGTGGAAAAAAGGCAACCCTTGTACACTGTTGGTAGGAATGGAAATTAGTAAAATCATAATGGAGAACAGTTTGGAGTTTCCTCAAAAGAGTAAAAATTGAACTACCATATGATCCAGTAATCCCACTGCTGGGTATATACCCCAAAGAAAGGAAATCAGTACATTGAAGGGATAACTGCACACCCATGTTTGTTGCAGCAGTGTTTACAGTAGCTAAGGTTTGGAAGCAACCTGAGTGTCTAACAACAGATGAATGGATAAAGCAAAAGTAGCACATAGACACAAGGGAGTACACAAAAAAGAATGAGGGCCAATGTTGTCTGTCTGCCAAGACAACAGAAACATGATCATTTGCAACAACGTGGATGGAACTGCAGATCATTACGTTAAGTGACATAAGCCAGGCACAGAGACAAACATCACATGTCCTCACTTACTTGTGGGATCTAAAAATCAAATCAATTGAACTCATGGACATACAAAGTAGAAGGATGGTTACCAGAGGCTGGGTAAAAAAAAAAAAAAAAAAAAAAAAAAAAAAAAAAAAAAAAATGAATAAGACCTACTATTTGATAGCACAATAGGGTGCCTATAGACAATAATAACTTCATTGTATATTTTACAATAACTTAAAGAATGTAATTGTATTGTTTGTAACTCAAAGGATAAATGCTTGAGGGGATGGATACCCCTTTCTCCAACGTGCTTATTTCATATTGCATGCCCGTATCAAAACATCTCATATACCCCATAAATATATACACCTATGTACCCACAAACATTTTATTTTATTTATTTATTTATTTTTGAGACGGAGACTCACTCTGTCGCCCAGGCTGGAGTGCAGTAGCGCGATCTCGGCACACTGCAAGCTCCGCCTCCCGGGTTCAAGAGAATTCTCCTGCCTCAGCCTCCTGAGTAGCTGGGATTACGTCACCATGCCCAGCTAATTTTTGTATTTTTAGTAGAGACGAGGTTTCACCATGTTGGTCAGGCTGGTCTCGAACTCCTGAGCTCATGATCCTCCTGCCTCGGCCTCCCAAAGTGCTGGGATTACAGGCATAAGCCACTGCGCCCGGCCCCACAAAAACTTTAAAAAATAATTTTAAAAAATTAACAAAAGAAGTCACTAACAATAAGAATGATAATTAATATCTACTGAACAGACTGTATCAGGCTCTGTTCTACACTCTGTACATGCACGGTCTATGAACTTATCTAATCTTCCTAACAACACTCTGATGTAGGCCGATTTTATTTCATTAATTTTTTTTGCCAGAGAACAGATTTAATACCTAATGAAGTAGGCCCCTTTTATTTTATATTTTATTTTATGTATTTATTTTTGAGATAGAGTCTCATTCTGTCACTCAGGCTGGAGTGCAGTGGCACGATCTCAGCTCACTGCAACCTCCACCTCCAGGGTTCAAGCGATTCTCCTGCTTCAGCCTCCTGAGTAGCTGGGATTACCGTTTCTCGCTCTGTTGGCCAGACTGGAGTGCAGTGGCGGGATCCCGGCTCACTGCAAGCTCCGCCTTCCGGTTTCACGCCATTCTCCTGCCTCAGCCACCAAGTAGCTGGGAGTACAGGAGCCCGCCACCACGCCCAGCTAATTTTTTTTTTATTTTTAGTGGAGACGGGGTTTCACCGTGTTAGCCAGGATGGTCTTGTTCTCCTGACCTTGTGATCCGCCCGCCTCGGCCTCCCAAAGTGCTGGGATTACAGGCGTGAGCCACCGCACCCGGCTGACCTAAAACTTTTAAAGCCTCACTCAGCCCCACTCAAGCTTGCTTTCTCTAGCATCTAGAACCTAGAAAAGATCAAAACAACCGCTTGCCCAGGGCAGCACTAATTGGCCGGGTCATCCGGTGGTTTTATTGCTCTGTAATAAGGTTACCTAAGTTCTTTCTTGAATTTTATTTTATTTTATTTATTTATTTATTTTTGAGACAAAGTTTCACTCTGTCGCCCAGGCTGGAGTGCAGTGGTGCAGTCTTGGCTCACTGCAACCTTCGCCTCCCTGGTTCAAACAATTCTCGTGCCTCAGCCTTCTGAGTAACTGGGATTACAGGCGACTGCCACCATGCCTGGCTAATTTTTGTCTTTTTAGTAGAGATGGGGTTTCGCCATGTTGGCCAGACTGGTCTCGAACTCCTGACCTCAGGTGATCCGCCTGCCTCGGCCTCCCAAAGTGCTGGGATTACAGGCTTGAGCCACTGCGCCCGGCCTTTACTTTAATCATTACGCACAAGGATTTCCATCTGCCTTTTTTTTTTTTTATTATTGGAGACAGAGTCTCACTCTGTTGCCAGGCTGGAGTGCAGTGGCGCAATCTCGGCTCACTGCAATCTCCGCCTCCCAGGTTCAAATGATTCCCCTGCCTCAGCCTCCCAAGTAGCTGGGACTACAGGCGCGCGCCACCATGCCTGGCTAATTTTTTGTATTTTAGTAGAGACAGGATTTCACCATTTTGGCCAGGATGGTCTCTATCTCCTGACCTCGTGATCTGCCTGCCTTGGCCTCCCAAAGTGCTGGGATTACAGGCGTGAGCCACCGTGTCCGGCCTCCTGTCTGCCTTTTATCTTACCCTATCACTAGTGGCTGCCTGAAGATCTCAGAACAGCATCTATAGGAGATGCGCATCCGATCCTAGGAAGGATTTCTGATGCTATTTTATCTTTAGGGACTTGTTACTGGGCTTCTGTCTGCCAAGACAACAGAAACGTGGCCTAGCAAACAATTCCTTTTGGTTGGAAGGCAGTCTCGCTAGGGGCATTTGAGGGCCTTGCCTAGGACATAGGACCAGCAGTATTTCACAGCTACTACAGAAAATACCCCAGACTTTGGCCCATAAGATCTCTTGTATTATACTGCAGATCTACCAATGGCACTCAGACCCAGAGGCAGATGCAATCTCCGGTTCGCGGGTTGGGAGCAGTTTTGTGGAACAAAGACACCGTCTAGTTCTGACATGGTACAGGGAGGAAACACACAGAGGTTAAGACTTAGACAAGAGGCCAGGCGCGGTGGCTCACGCCTGTAATCCCTGCACTTTGGGAGGCTGAGGCGGGAGGATCACTTGAGGTCGGGACTTCGAGACCAGCCTGACCAACATGAAGGAACCCCGTCTCTACTAAAAATACAAAATTAGGCCGGGCGCGGTGGCTCACGCCTGTAATCCCAGCACTTTGGGAGGCCGAGGCGGGTGGATCACGAGGTCAGGAGATCGAGACCATCCTGGCTAACACGGTGAAACACCGTCTCCACTAAAAAAAATACAAAAAATTATCCGGGCGTGGTGGTGGGCGCCTGTAGTCCCAGCTACTCCGGAGGCTTAGGCAGGAGAATGGCGTGAGCCCGGGAGGCGGAGCTTGCAGCGAGCCGAGATCGAGCCACTGCACTCCAGCCTGGGCGACAGAGCGAGACTACGTCTAAAAAACAAAACAAAACAAAATTAGCCTGGCGTGGTGGCGCCCGCCTGTAATCCAGTTACTCGGGAAGTTGAGGCAGGAGAATCGCTTGAACCCGGGAGGCGGAGGTTGCGGTGAGCCGAGATCGCGCCATTGCATTGCACTCCAGCCTGGGCGACAAGAGCGAAACTTCGTCTCAAAAAACAAAACAAAACAAAACAAAACAAAACAAACTTAAGCAAGGCCAGGTGCCTGGGTCGAGGCAGAGCTGAGGCTTATCCGGGCATCCTCTCACTTAGCAGTCTTTCTTCCACAACACACTGATCCCCGTGTTTGGCGTATTGTGGAGAGTTGCAGGGCATTCCTTTCCCTGGACATAAATTTCCACGTCTACCGGTGACATCAAGTCACAAGAGGCCAGAACGCGGTTTTCAAGTCAGAATCTTAGCCAGAAACGAAGTTGGCCTCTTGCCAAGGAGCCAAATAACTGGATGGACGCTCGCACCCGCTTCGCAGACAGGCGCACGCAGTGGAGAGGTGAAGTGATTTCTGCGTTTGGGTAGAGCGGCGTCGGCTTTAGGTGTCCACGGTGCGGAAGCCAGCCGTTTTCCAAAATGCAATACCTCTAATGGTCCCTCACGAACAGCAGTCCCCAAATACAGCCGCTCTTGGACCTCGACGAAGGGGATGCCACTAACGCTGTGGGGAGAGCGCACGGTCCCCGCCGGCGCAGGGAGCCGGGGGTAGAGCAGAGGGCGTCGCGTCCCCATCCCAGCCCCAGCGCGGGGGCTGGAGCAGTCGAGAGGGCGGCCTCCCGCCGCCTAGAGGCGCCGGTCCGCTCGTCCGCTCTGCCTGTGCCCCGTCTCTATGGCGGCCCCAACGGCCGTCCAGGACGTGGAGCGAAATGAGCTCGGGCGCTGACGGCGGCGGTGGCGCTGCGGTGGCGGCGCGGTCGGACAAGGGCAGTCCCGGGGAGGACGGTTTCGTCCCGTCGGCGCTGGGGACCCGCGAGCAGTGAGTGTGACGCTGGGCAGGGGAGGATGAGCCGTGCCGCCCTGCCTGGGCCCCGAGAAGGGGACGGCGGGGTGGAGACCCGGGGCTCAGGGACAGGGAGACCCTCGGGGGCGTGACGGGAGCAGGGCCACCTGGCGGGGGGCTTACGGGGATTTCAAAGAGTGGAATCCCTAGGGGTCGCCCTACGCGGTTAACCGACGTTTCAAGGGATTGGAGCCCAAGGGGCTTGTGGGTGCGGGACAGGCTTTGGCTCCTGGGAGGCCTTTTGGGAGTCTCGAACCTGAGGGCCAGGCTTGGGGGAAAGGGGGAGAGGGCGAGGCTGGCGAATAGGGCTGGTCGGCGAGAGTGAGAGACCGAGGGAGAAGTGCTGGGCCTGGGAGCCGAAAAGGCTGAGTAGGAGGGGAGGGATGTGGGAGCTGGAAGTGGGGTGGGAATAGCGGATGACCCGAGGCGGGAGCGGGGAGATAGTGGGGGATCTTGGGGTGAAAGAAAGCGATCTGACCTCAAACAGACGCTCAGGAATTATTAAATGAATTAATGTGGGTGGATGAATGGCTGCAGGGAACAGTTGGGGAGAGGTAAATTGGCGGGATGAGAGGGAGCAGGGATTCTAGAGAATCATTGTAGGAAAAGAGACGGCAAATGAAAAGGATTCAGAGGGCCGGGTGCGTGGTGGCTTACGCCTGTAATCCCAGCACTTTGGGAGGCCGAGGCGGGCGGAGCACAAGGTCAGGAGATCGAGACCAGCCTGACCAACATGGTGAAACCCCGTCTCTACTAAAAATACAAAAATTAGCGGGGTGTGGTGGCGCACACCTGTAGTCCCAGCTACTCGGGAGGCTGAGGCAGGAGAATCGCTTGAACCCGGGAGGCGGAGGTTGCAGTGAGCCGAGATCGCGCCACTGCACTCCAGCCTGGTGACAGAGCGTGACTCCGTCTCAAAAAAAGAAGAAAAGCGTCCAGAGAAAATTTAAACGGAGGGCTAGAAGACTGGAATAGGCAGAGACAAATAGCACAGGAAAGAGACTGTGTGCCTGCACACTTGAGACCAGATGTGCTTGTTTCATCAAGTTTTGAACTTGGGTCAGGGACTTAGGGATACGTGGACAAATGTCTTTGTGTTTTTTTAGGCTAAAACTTATTGTTGTGCATCAGATATTGTCCTAAATGCTTTACATGTACAGTATAAACGTATTCTGCTTGCCCATGTATTTCCTTCTTTTAACTCAAGGACGTTAAAAGATTGAACTATGTGTATTTATTAATAACACTAGTGATGTTTAAACCTCTGTCATAAATAGCTCTGTAATGTATTAGAAACATACATTTAATTCATAATACAGTTTAATTCAAGAGTCTTGCTTTGCATTTCATTGTTTACATAGTTGGGATGCTGTCTATGAGAGAGAACTGCAAACTTTCCGAGAATATGGAGATACAGGTGAAATCTGGTGAGTTAGGAAAAGAATCAAGTTATAATCTAGAAGATTATATGTATATGTGTGTGTGTTTAAAAAAATACGTATATATTCGCCGGGCGCGGTGGCTTACGCCTGTAATCCCAGCACTTTGGGAGGCCGAGGCAGGCAGATCACGAGGTCAGGAGATAGAGACCATCCTGGCCGACATGGTGAAACCCTGTCTCTACGAAAATTAGACAAAAAATTAGCCAGGCATGGTGGCGCGCGCCTGTAGTCCCAGCTACTTGGGAGGCCGAGGCAGGGGAATCATTTGAACCTGGGAGGCGGAGATTGCAGTGAGCTGAGATCGCGCCACTGCACTCCATCCTGGGCGACAGAGTGAGACTCCATCTCAAAAAAAAAAATGCATATATTCAAGTGCTTATACCCAAAGAAAGCCTAAAAATCCTGGGAACCCTGGATTAAGTCTGGCTTTAGTGGGTAGATTTAAAGTATGTCTCTTCTTTTATTCTTTTTTAATTTTTTACTTTTTTTTTTTTTTTAGAGAGGTGGGGTGTCATTCTGTCATCCAGGCTGGAGTACAGTGGCATGATCATCATAACTCGTTACATCCTGGACCTCCTGGGCCCAGGTGATCCTCCCGCCACAGCCTCCTGGGTAGCTGGGACTATAGCTGCATGCCATCATGCCCAGCAAATTTTCTTTTTTGTAGAGACAGGGTCTCACTGTGTTACCCAGGGTGGTCTCGAACTCCTGGCCTCAAGCAGTCCTCCCACCGTGGCCTTCCAAAGTGTTGGGAGAATGGGTGTGAGCCCTCTTTTAATATCTCACATTTACGTTTGATGACAGCATTTCACCCTATAGTTGTCCTTTGTCAATAAACAATAAAATTCTGAGACACCAACACATACAACTGTTAATGCTGATATAGAGAAATGTTAGTAAATAACATACTGACCTTGTCTATTCTGTTGTATTCCTGGAGGTGGTTTCTCCTAAATTACAGTAGAGACAAAGCTGAAGCAGTCACAGATGTTTTCACTTTCAAATAAGAGTTTGAGCATATGGTATAAATAGCTTAAATGGAATATAGTGGTGACTTTTGCTCTGTATCCCTCAGTTATTTGACTGATTCTCTCTAACAGGTTTGGAGAAGAGAGTATGAATCGACTAATAAGGTGGATGCAGAAACACAAGATTCCACTGGATGCTTCAGTGCTTGATATTGGAACTGGAAATGGTGTTTTCCTGGTTGAACTTGTTGGTACTTTTAGTATTTGTTTGTTAAAGACAAATTTTAAAAGGAAAATTTTTAAAGGCCCTGCAATTGAGGATATTAACCATCTAAATATAAAATAGTAAAGCAGTCATACTTGGAGAAGTCAGATAGTACAAAAGGGAGGCTACATGGATTGTGAGAGAACCTAGGCAATCTGAGTCCTAGTCTTGACTCTTTTGGCTATAGTCTTAACCTTGAGTAAGCCACTTAATTTTTCTAGGCTTCTGTTCTTTCCTAAGGGTTGTGACTAGGTGATTGCTATTGGTTTCTTGTAGCTCAAAACTCTAGAAATGCATATATATATATATATATAAAGATGACCTTTTGCAATTCCAGTAGGACATACGTATCTTATCTTATAGGTAAGCATATGGTTTGAAAAGTGCATTTTGTCCATGGAACTGTGTTTCGGTAAACATTCCACTGCTAGCTAAACCATCACTGTTGTATGCCTGCAGTGTGCTCTTGCTATGCTGTGTGCTGTGGAGGAATTATAAGACTTAGGCTTCATCCTAGATAATTTTACAGTCTTAATTAGTACAGAAATAAACATAAGAGTGAAATTTGTTAAGTAACCACCACATGCCAAGCCTCATGTTTGGCATTGGCAACAGGAAAATTTAGACTTTGTGCTTGAATTGTTTACATTACAATAGAGTATGGACTGACATATGGACAGTTGTGCCATCACTTGATGCATGCAGTAATACACTGAATATAGAAAAGAGGGTGATTAATTTTGGAGTGGAGGGGTAGGGAAGCATCTTGGAGGAGTAAATATCCAAGTTGGGTGGAAATTTCAGGGACAGTTTGGTGACCTAGTGGCGTGTAAAGAGGGAGAAGATTTCAACTAATGGAAATATTATCTAAAGGCCTGAAGGCTGAAGCAGTATTTTATGTTCTGGGCCTGTAAATAATTTGATAAATTGAAATACAAAGTATACGTGGGGATGGACAGACATGAGGATTAAGTTAAAGATAGGAACCATATTATGCTTTGCCATGCTTAAGACCTTCGATTTTGCATTTAGGCTATGGGGAATTGTTAAAATGTTTTTAGTAGTGGAATATGATTAGAAGAACTTGAAATAACCCTTCTTGAAACATTGAGATATAGTGTGTGTACATTAAAGTGCACAAATCAGAAGTATACAGCTAAGTGAATTATCAGAAAGTGAATACATCCACATAACAATCACCTGGTCAAGATGTAAAATATTATAGAACTCTAGAAATTCCCCTTGAACTCTCTACCAATTATTACTCCTTTCTTCCTTTTTTTTTTTTTCAGGCTTTGTCACCCAGGTAGGAGTGCACTGGTGAGATCATGGCACATTGTAGCCTCAACCTCTCAGGCTCAAGCGATCCTGTCGCCTCATATTTTGATTTTTTTTGTAGAGACAAGGTTTCACTATGTTGCCCAGGCTGGCCCTCCTTCCTTTTTAAAAGTAACCACTATCTACCAATCATGAACAAAAGATGAGTTTTAACATCAGATTAATTTGCCTGTTTTTGAAGGTATAAATGAAACTCTTTAGGGTGTGCTATTCCTGGTGTCTTTCAGGCTTTTTTTTTTTTTTTTTTTTTTTTGAGACAGAGTCTTGGCTCTGACACCCAGGCTGGAGTGCAGTCTCACGATCTTGGCTCACTGCAACCTTCACCACCTGGGTTCAAGTGGTTCTCGTGCCTCAGCCTCATGAGTAGCTGGGATTACAGGCGCACGCCATTATGCCTCGCTATGTAGTTCATTTTTATTGCCATATAAGATTCCTTTGTGGCTGGGCGCTGTGGCTCATGCCTGTAATCCCAGCGCTTTGGGAGGCCAAGGCAGGTGGATCACAAGGTCAGGAGATCGAGACCATGCCTTGGCTAACACGGTGAAACCCCGTCTCTACTAAAAATACAAAAAGTTAGCCGGGAGTGGTGGTGGGCGCCATATAGTCCCAGGTACTCGGGAGGCTGAGGCAGGAGAATGGTGTGAACCCGGGAGGTGGAGTTTGCAGTGAGCGGAGATCAGCCTGGGCGACAGAGTGAGACTCCGTCTCAAAAAAAAAAAAAAATTCTTTTGTACAATTATATCAGTTTCATTTATTCTTTCTTTACCTGTATAGGTTCTTTTGGGTTTTAATAGTTTACTGGTAGAGGCTAATGATTTATACTTTGAGATTAATAGCTTGTAGATTATTTTCTTTTCTTTTTCTTTCTTTTTTTTTTGAGATGGAGTTTCACTCTGTAGCCCAGGCTAGAGTGCAGTGGTGCGATCTCAGCTCACTGCAGCCTCTGCTTCCTGGGTTCAAGCGATTTTCCTGCCTCAGCCTCCTGAGTAGCTAGGATTACAGGCGTACACCATGCCTGGTTAATTTTTGTATTTGTAGTAGAGATGGGGTTCTGCTATGTTGGCCAGCTGTTCTCAAACTCCTGACCTCAGGTAATCCATCTGCCTGCCTCAGCCTCCCGGAGTGCTGGTATTATAGGTGTGAGCCACTCTGCCTGGCCTGAACTTCTTTTTTTTTTTTTTGAGACGGAGTCTCACTCTGTCCCCCAGGCTGGAGTGCAGTGGGGCGATCTCGGCTCACTGCAAGCTCCGCCTCCCGGATTCACGCCATTTTCCTGCCTCAGCCTCCTGAGTAGCTGGGATTACAGGCACCCACCACCACGCCTGGCTAATTTTTTGTATTTTCAGTAGAGACGGGGTTTCACTGTGTTAGCTGGGATGGTCTCGATCTCCTGACCTCGTGATCTGCCCGTCTTGGCCTCCCAAAGTGCTGGGATTACAGGTGTGAGCCACCACGCCCGGCCCTGAAATTCTTAATTGAAGTGTAGTTTATGTAGAAAGGTGAGCATAAGTGGTACAAAATGAACCCCTTGTGTTATTCACCAACCTGACCAAAAAATAAGACATTTCTAGTACCATAGGAGCTTCCTTGTGGCCCCTCCCACTCCTTCCCTTCTAAAGGTGACCACTGCTGTCACTTCTATCATCATATAGTAGGCTGTTTTTGATATTAACTGTAGTAGCTTCTTACGGTTTTAATTTGCATTTCTCTAATGAGTAATGAATGATGTTGAGCACCTTTTCAGGTGCTTGTTTGCCACTTGTGTATCTTTTTTTTTTTTTTTTTTTTTTTGAGACAGAGTCTCGCTCTGTTGCCCAGGCTGGAGTGCAGTGGCATGACCTCGGCTCACTGCAACCTCCACCTGCAGGGTTCAAGTGATTCTCCTGCCTCAGCCTCCTGAGTAGATGGGATTACAGGTGCGCGCCAGCACGCCTGGCTAATTTTTTTGTATTTTTAGTAGACATAGCGTTTCACCATGTTGGCTAGGCTGGTCTCGAACTCCTGACCTCAGGTGATCTACCCACCTTGGCCTCCTGAAGTGCTTGGATTACAAGCGTGAGCCACCACGCCTGGCCTGTTTATCTTCTTTAGTAAAATGTCTCTTCAGATCTTTTGCCCATTTTTAAATTGGATTGTTTACTTATTAAGTTTTGACAATTTTTAACGTATTCTGGATATAAGTTCTTCACCAGGTACAAGATTTGCAGATGTTTTCTTCTATTCTTTGGCTTATCTTTTCATTCACTTAACAGTATCTTCTGAAGAGCAGTTCTTAATTTTGATGAAGTCCAATTAATTTTTTCCTTTTTTGGATCATGCTTTTGTTGTAGTATTAAAGGACTCTGCCTAACACAGGGTCACTTAGAACTTCTTCTGTGTTTTTGTTTAAAGTTTTAACACTTTACCTTTTACATTCTTTTTTTTTTTTTTTTTTTTTTTTGAGACGGAGTCTTGCTCTGTCACCCAGGCTAGAGTGCAGTGGCATGATCTTGGCTCACTGCAACCTCTGTCTCCTGGTTTCAAGTGATTCTTCTGCCTCAGCCTCCCGAGTAGCTGGGGCTACAGGAGCGCAACACCACGCCTGGCTAATTTTTGTATTTTTAGTAGAGATGGGCTTTCACCACATTGGCCAGGATGGTCTAAAATGCCTGATCTCGTGATTTTCCCCCCTTGGCTCCCCAAAGTGCTGGGGGTGCAGGGGTGAGCCACCGCGCCCAGCCTACCTTTTACATTTAGACCTTTTTTTTTTTTTTTTTAAGATGGAATCTTGCTCTGTCTTCCAGGCTGTAGTGCAGTGGTGTGATCTTGGTTCACTTCAACCTCTGCCTTTGGGGTTCAAAGAATTCTCCTGCCTCAGCCTCCTGAGTAGCTGAGATTATAGGTGTGTGTCACCATGCCCCGCTAATTTTTGTATTTTTAGTAGAGACAGCGTTTCACCATGTTGTCCAGGCTGGTCTTAAACTCCTGACCTCAGGTGATCCACCCATCTTGGCCTCCCAAAGTTCTGGGATTACAGGCGTGAGCCACCCTGCCCTGCCTATTTTTATGTTTTTAATTTCATTGAGTTCTGTTCTTTTTTTTTTTCTTCCTGATTTTACTTTGTTCCTTTTTTTACTTTCTTAAGGTGGAAGCTTAGGTTATTGATTTGAGACTTTTCTAATGAAATTATTTAATGCTATGAATGCTATGAATTTATCAGTAAGCACTGCTGCATCCCACAAATTTTGATATGTTATATTTTAAAAAATTGTTCTACACCTCACTTGAATTTTTTTTTAAATTGTTGATTTGTTGTATTTTTATTCAGTCCAAAATATTTTCTAATTTTTCTAATTTTTTTTAATCCACGAGTTATTTAGAAATTTGTTTAATTTCCATGTTTTTGGGATTTTTCTGTTATGTTTCTGGTACAGATTTATAGTCTAATTCAGTTATAGTCAGATAACATGCCTTATATGATTTGTATGATTTCAATCCTTTTAAATTTGTTAAGGTTTGTTTTAAGACCCAAGATACAGTGTGTCTTGGGGAATTTTTCATGTGAACTTGAAAAATGTATGTATTGCCAGGTGTGGTGGCTTACACCTGTAATCCCAGCATTTTGGGAGACTGAGGTGGGCAGATCACCTGAGGTCAGGAGTTTAAGACCAGCCTGACCAACATGGAGAAACCTTGTCTCTACTAAAAATATAAAATTGGTTGGGCGTGGTGGTGCATGCCTGTAATCCCAGCTACTCGGGAGGCTGAAGCAGGAGAATCACCTGAACCTGGGAGGCGGAGGTTGCGGTGAGCCGAGATTGCACCGTTGCACTCCAGCCTGGGCAACTAGAGTGAAACTCTGTCTCAAAATAAAATAAAATAAAATAATTTAGCCAGGTTTGGTTGGTGGCAAGTGCACCTGTAGTCCCAGCTACTTGGGAGGCTGAAGTGGGAGGATCACCTGAGCCTGAGGAGGTCGAGGCTGCAGTGAGCCATGATTATGCCACCGCACTCCAGCCTGGGTGACAGAGTGAGACCTTATCTCCAAAAACAAAGGAAAATTCATATGTAAGTTTTTGTGTGTACATATGTTTTCACTTCTCTTGGGTATTTACTTAGGAGTGAAATTGCTGGGTCATACGCCAGTTAAGCATACTCGGTAAGTTTAACCTTTTAAGGAGCTGCTGGACCATTTTCCACAGTGGCTGCACCATTTTAAATTTCCATCAGCAATACATGAGAGTTTAAATTTCTCCATATTCTTGGCTGGGCACAGTGGCTTATGCCGGCAATCCTAGCACTCTGGGAGGCCAAGGCCGGTGGATCACTTGAGGTCAGCAGTTTGAGACCACCCTGGCCATCATGGTGAAACCCTGTCGCTACCAAAAGATACAAAAATTAGCCAGACGTGGTGGTGTTTGCCTGAGTAGTCACAGCTACTCAGGAGGCTGAGGTGGGAGAATTGCTTGAACCTGGGAGGTGGAGGTTGCAGTGAGCCGAGATGGCCCCACTGCACTCCAGCCTGGGAGACAGAGTAAGACTCTGTCTCAAAAAAAAAAAAAAAAAAAAAGGTTTTTCCCTATATCCTCACCAATACTTTTTATTATCTATCTTTTAAATTATAGCCATCCTAGTGGACATGATGTTCAGCCCCTTTTTGTTTAGTTTTTACATGTTATATTGTTTTCCATCCTTTTAACTTACCTTATTATTATATTTGAAGTGAATTTCTTGTAGCCAGCATATAGTTGGTAGTTATTTTTATCTATTCTAACAATCTCTAACCTTTAACTGGTGTATTTAGAACATTTATGTTCAATGTGATTATTGATACGTTTGGATTTAGGTCTACATTTTATTGTTTTCCCTTTTTTACCTCTGTTTTTTTTTTTTTGAGACAGAGTTTCACTCATGTTGCCCAGGCTGGAGTGCAATGGAGGGATCTTGGCTCACTGCAACCTCCACCTCCTGGGTTCAAGTGATTCTCCTGCCTCAGCCTCCCTGAGTAGCTGGGATTACAGGTACCCGCCACCACACACGGCTACTTTTTGTATTTTTAGTACAGACGGGGTTTCGCCCTGTTGTCCAGGCTGGTCTTGAACTCTTTTTTTTTTTTTTTTTTTTTTGAGACGGAGTCTCGCTCTGTCGCCCAGGCTGGAGTGCAGTGGCGCGATCTCGGCTCACTGCAAGCTCCGCCTCCCAGGTTCACGCCATTCTCCTGCCTCAGCCTCCCGAGTAGCTGGGACTACAGGCGCCCGCTACCACGCCCGGCTAATTTTTTGTATTTTTAGTAGAGACGGGGTTTCACCGTGTTAGCCAGGATGGTCTCGATCTCCTGACCTCGTGATCCTCCCGCCTCGGCCTCCCAAAGTGCTGGGATTACAGGCGTGAGCCACCGCACCCGGCCGGTCTTGAACTCTTGACCTCAGGTGATCTGCCCGCCTCAGCCTCCCTTTGTGCTGGGATTACAGGCTTGAGCCACTGTGCCTGGCCTTACCTCTGTTTTTTATTCTTCTCTTTTTCCTTTCCTGCTGGTGTTGGTTTATTTGAACATTTGTTAGTATTTCATTTTAATTTATGTGTATCTTCTTGAATATATCTCTTTGCGTATGGCTGTTTTAGTGGTTGCTTTAAGCAGTTGACTGTGTCTTTTGGTGTGGCTTTTCTAGTGGTTCCTGTGTAGATTACAATATATATAGTTGTCAAAATCTCCTTGGAATCAGTATTTTACCACTATAAGTGGAATGTGAAAACCTTATCATGTTGGGTTCTTGATCTTTCACCTTTATGTTGTAGTTGTCTTTACTATTACCTTTATGTTGAAAATTCCATTAGATAATATTATGATTTTTTTCAAACATTTTAAGGAATGCACTAGGAGAAGAATATTTAATTATATTCACCTAGATATTTATTTCACCTTTGTATTCTGGATCTCCTGAGCTTTTTTTTTTTCTTTCTGTCTAAGAAATTCTTCTTGGAAATTATTTTAGAGAGGGTTTTCTTGCAACAAATTTTTTTTGTTTTCCTTTACCTGAGAATAGCTTTATTTCACCTTCATTCCTAAGGAGTGTTTTTTTTTTTTTTTTGGCTGAATATAGAATCTTTTTTTTTTTTGAGACACAGTCTCACTCTGTCACCCAGGCTGGAGTGCAGTGGCACAATCTCACAATCTCGGCTCACTGCAACCTTCGCCTCCTGGGTTCAAGCGATTGATTCTTCTGCCTCAGCCTCCCGAGTAGCTGGGATTATAGGTGTCCACCACCACACCCGGCTACTTTTTGTGTTTTTAGTAGAGATGGGGTTTCACCATGTTGGCCGGGCTGGTCTCGAATTTCTGACCTCGGATGATCTGCCTGCCTCAGCCTTCAAAAGTGCTGGGATAACAGGCGTGAGCCACCGCAGCCGGCCTGAATATAGAATTCTGAGCTAGCCGTTTCTTTCAGTACTTTAAAAATGTTATGGGCTGGGCACGGTGGCTCACGCCTGTAATCCCAGCATTTTGGGAGGCCGAGGCGGGCAGATCACGAGGTCGGGAGATCGAGACCATCCTGGCCAACATGGTGGACCCCCATCTCTACTAAAATACAAAAAATTAGCCGGGCGTGGTGGCATGCCCTTGTAGTCCCAGCTACTCAGGAGACTGAGGCAGGGGAATAGCTTGAACCCGGGAGGCGGGGGTTGCAGTGAGCCAAGATCGCGCCACTGCATTCCAGCTTGGCAGCAGAGCAAGACTCCGTCTCAAAAAAAAAAAGTTACGTCACTTGTTTTTGACTTCCATGTTTTCTCATGAGGAATCTGCAGTCATTTGAATTGTTGTTTTCCTATGAATGCATCATTTTTCTAGATGCTTTTAAGATTTTTTTTCTTTGTCTTTTGTTTTTTGCAGTTTGCTTATGATGTGTGCTGTGGCTTGGATTTCTTTGGCTTATCCTATTTGGTGTTCACTGAACTTTTTACATCTGTAAGCTTATGTCTTTTGCCAGATTTGCGATATTTCTAGCTTTTGTTTTTTCTATTTTTTTTTTCTGTATTACTGTCTTTCTCCTTTCATTTTGGGAGTCTATACACATGAAATGTCAATTTTTCTGTTGCTCCACAGGTCCCCGTGAACTCCACAGGTTCAATTTTTTAAAAGTCATTTTTGTCTTTGTCGGCCAAATGTTATATTTCAATTGATCTGTCTTCAGATTCACTGACTTTTTCTCTGTCACCTTCATTTTGCTGTTAAGTCCACACATTGCAATTGGCTGACATGTCTTAATTTTTTACTGCATGATTTCTTTATTTACCATTACGATTTATTTTTTGTAGGAGGTAGTTCATTTGTCTGAATGGTTTTTCACAATGTGAATTTTCTAATTACATCTCTATAGTATTTAACATGTTTTCTGTCCCTCGTGTTGTCTGTACGTTGGAAATTAGACCTAAATTAAGGGTCAGCAAACCACAGTCTACGGGTCAAATCTGGACCTCCTTTGTTTTTATAAATATTTGTTGGAATACAGCCACATTTATTCATTTGCATATTGTCTATGGCAGCTTAAGTGTTGCATTGGTAGAGTTGACTGGTTGTAACAGAGACTGTATGGCTGGCAAAGCCTAAAATATTTATTCTGTTTCTTTTTGTTTTTTGAGACAGAGTCTTGCTCTGTCGCCCAGGCTGGAGTGCTGGAGTGCAGTGGCGTGTGATCTTGGCTCACTGTAAGCTCTGCCTCCTGGGTTCACACCATTCTTTTGCCTCAGCCTCCCGAGTAGCTGGGACTACATGTGCCCGCCACCACGCCTGGCTAATTTTTTGTATTTTTTAGTAGAGACGGGGTTTCACTCTGTTAGCCAGGATGGTCTCGATCTCCTGACCTCAGGATCCACCCACCTTGGCCTCCAAGAGTGCTGGGATTACAGGCGTGAGCCACCACGCCTGACTATTCTGTTTCTTTTTTTTTTTTTTTTTTTTTTTGAGATGGAGTCTCGCTCTGTCGCCCAGGCTGGAGTGCAGTGGTGCAGTCTTGGCTCACTGCAAGCTCCACCTCCCAGGTTCACACCATTCTCCTGCCTCAGCCTCCTGAGTAGCTGGGACTACTGGCACCCGCCACCACGTCCGGCTAATTTTTTGTATTTTTTTAGTAGAGACGGGGTTTCACTGTGTTAGCCAGGATGGTCTCGATCTCCTGACCTCGTGATCCACCCGCCTCGGCCTCCCAAAGTGCTGGGATTACAGGCGTGAGCCACTGCGCCCAGCCACTATTCTGTTTCTTTATAGAAAATGGTTGCTGGCTGGGCATGGTGGCTCACACCTATAATCCCAGCACTTTGGGAGGCCAAGGTGGAAGGTTTGTTTGAGCTCAAGAGTTTGAGACCAGCCTGGGCAACATGGTGAAACCCCGTGTCTACTAAAGACACAGAAAAATAGCCAGGTGTCGTGGTGTGTCCTTGTAATTCCAGTTACTCAGGAGGCTGAGGTGGGAGAATCGCTTGAGCCTGGGGAGGTTGAGGCTGCAGTGAGCTGTGATCACGCTGTTGCATTCCAGTCTGGGTGACAGAAGGAAACCCTGTTTCCATAAAAAAAAGAAAAAGATTGCTGACCCTGGATTGAGAGATTTTTATTAGATTTTTTTTTTTGGCAAGTAAACTTATTAGGTGTTGGTGTATATTTGCATATGTGGCGTAGAATATTTGGTGTAGAACATTCATCTTTTTGTTATATTAACAGCCATTGAAGACCATTTCTTATACGTACTACTTTTTCATTGATCAGCTACATTTTTGATGGTTACTTTTCCTACATTTTTGATGGATGTTTTTGCTATATCATTTTAGGTTACTATTTTTCTTTTACTATCTTCTGGCTTCCATTCTTTATCACTTATTGTTAGCTATAAGCCTTATCATCATCCTTTTAAAGGTAATCTGTCGCCTTGTATCCCACATCCCTACTCCCTGGATGTTTTTGAGATTTTTCTGTTTTTCTTTTTTTTTTTTTTTGGTACGGAGTCTCACGCCGTCACCCAGGCTGGAGTGCCATGTGCCATCTCTGCTCACTGCAACCTCTGCTTCCGGGGTTCAAGTGATTCTCTTGCCTCAGTCTCCCGAGTAGCTGGGATTACAGGCATGTGCCACCACACCTGGCTAATTTTTGTATTTTTAGTAGAGACGGGGTTTCACCATATTGGCCAGGCTGGTCTCGAACTCCTGACCTTAGGTGATCCGCCTGCCTTGGCCTCCCAAAGTGCTGGTATTACAGGCATAAGCCACCATGCTGAGCTGATTTTTCTGTTTTTGTTTTTCATCAGATACACTATGATGTGTCTAGGTGGAGTTTGCTTTCATCTGCCTTGAATTTATACTGTTTCTTGAATCTGAGGCTTGGGTCCTTTGTCACTATTGGAGTATTCTTAGCCATATGCCATTTTTTCTTCTGCCCTATTCTCATTTCCTTTCCTCTCAGATTCCACATATGGATTGGGTATACATATATGTTTGTGTGTATGTATGTGTGTGTGTGTGTGTATGTATAGACTGTGTGTTAAAATTGTCTATACATACACACTATAACCTCCAACTCCGGAGCTCACTATAACCTCCAACTCCTGGGTTCAAGCGATTCTCCTGCCTCAGCCTCCCAAGTAGCTGGGATTACAGGCACCCGCCACCACGCCTGGCTAATTTTGTGTGTTTAGTAGAGATGGGGTTTCACCATGTTGGCCACGCTGGTCTCGAACCCCTGTGGATATAGAGGGTTGTGTGTGTGTGTATGTATATATAGTCATACACTACATAACAATGTTTCAGTTGAAATGTACCACATATACAATGGTGGTCCTATAAGATTATAATACTGTATTTTTACCCTTTCTATGTACAGATATCTTTAGGGCTGGGCACAGTGGCTCATGCCTGTAATCCCAGCACTTTGGGAGGCCAAGGCAGGTGGATAACTTGAGCTCAGGAGTTCAAGACCAGCTTGGGCAGCCTGGCGAAACCCTGTCTCTACAAAAAAAAACAAAAAACAAAAAAACAAAAATTAACCAGGCATGGTGGTGGCATGAGCCTATCCAGCTACTTGAGAGGCTGGGGTGGGAGGATTGATTGAGCCAGGAGGCAAGGCTGCAGTAAGCCATGATTGTGCTACTGCACTCCAGCCTGACTTACAAGAGTGAGACCCTGTCT
Source organism: Homo sapiens (assembly GCF_000001405.40). Taxonomy (NCBI): domain Eukaryota; kingdom Metazoa; phylum Chordata; class Mammalia; order Primates; family Hominidae; genus Homo; species Homo sapiens. The sequence continues at coordinate 124,777,537 of NC_000010.11, read as the reverse complement.
CAAAAAAAAAAAAAAAATCTTTAGGTACACAGATACCATCGTGCTACAGTTGCCTCCAGTATTCGGTACAGTAAAATGCTGTACAGGTGTGTAGCCTAGGAGTAATAAGCCATACCATGTAGCCTAAGTGTGCAGTGGGCTCTACCATTTAGGTTTTTGTAAGTACACTCCATGGTGACACATGACTGTGTGTGTGTATGTGTTACATCTTATATTCTGTGCTATATTCTGTCTTTTTTTCTTTTTTTTTTTTTTTTTGAGTCAGAGTTTTGCTCTTGTAGCCCAGGCTGGAGTGCAATGGCGCGATCTTGGCTCACTATAACCTCCACCTCCTGGGTTCAAGCAATTCTCCTGCCTCATCTTCCTGAGTAGCTGGAATTTCAGGTGCCCACCACCATGCCTAGCTAATTTTTGTATTTTTAGTAAAGAGGGGTTTCACCGTGTTGGCCAGGCTGGTCTCAAACTCCTGACCTCAGGTGATCCACCTGCCTTGGCCTCCCAAAATGATAGGATTACAAGCTTGAGCCACCATGCCCGGCCCATATTATGTCTTTGATATTCTTTCCTGTTTTTAATTTTCCATTCTTTTGTCATTCTGTGTATAACAGGGATATTTTCTTCTGACTGTTCTTTGCTGATTTTTTTTTTATTTTTTGCTGTGTGTAGTCTGCTATCAAGCCCACCCTTGAACTTCCTAATTACTGTATTTTTCAATTATGTTATTTTTTATTTTATTTTTTTTGAGACAAGAGTCTTGTTCTGTTGCCCAGGCTGGAGTGCAGTGGCATGATCTCGGCTCACTGCAAACTCCACCTCCCGGGTTCAAGCAATTCTCCTGCCTCAGCCTCCCGAGTAGCTGGGATTACAGGCACTCACCACCACAAAATTAGCCTGGCTAATTTTTGTGTTTTTAGTAGAGATGGGGTTTCACCGTGTTGGCCAGGCTGGTCTTGAACTCCTGACCTCAGGTGGTCTGCCTGCCTCCGCCTCCCAGAGTGCTAGGATTATAGGCGTGAGCCACCGTGTCTGGCCCTGTTTGTTTCTCTGTTGTGGTTTTCAGTTCTCTGCTAGAATTCTCCCACTTGTCATTGTCATTTCTGTCAGTTGTTTTGAAATCTTTTTCTGAAAATTCATTTATTTGGGTCTCCTGTCGGGTCTGTTTCTAAAGTCAATTTCTCCCCTTGGGTTTGGTTGTTTCCTTGAATGTCTGCTCATTTTTGGGTGCCAGAAATTGAATGTGAAAGACATTGGAGATAGTTTGAGGCCCTGAGTGATATCTCTAGAAACCTAAAACATCTATTTGTGATTTTTATAAGTTGTACTAGAAGAATAAACAGGCATGGGAAAAGAAGGAACCGGTAGGCCGAGGTGGGCGGATCACGAGGTCAGGAGATCAAGACCATCCTGGCTAACACGGTGAAACCCCATCTCTACTAAAAATACAAAAACAAAATTAGCTGGGCGTGGTGGCGGGCGCCTGTAGTCCCAGCTACTTGGGAGGCTGAGGTGGGAGAATGGTGTGAACCCGGGAGGCAGAGCTTTCAGTGAGCCGAGATCGTGCCACTGCATTGCAGCCTGGGCGACAGAGCGAGACTCTGTCTCAAAAAAAAAAAAAGAAGGAACCGGTAAGAATCAGTTAATAGACTCATCCTGGGTTCTAGGTCTCCCAGAGAAGCAGTTAAGGGAAATGGGGAGAAAATCTCAAGGAATAAGGAGGGATACAGCTAAAAGGGTGGAAGGTTGGCATCAAAAAAGAGAATATTAGACCTTTAGATTAAAAACAAAAATAAAGGGAGCAATCTACCTGTAGAAAGTAATTGGTATACTTGTTCCTTGAGTTTAGATTAGGAATCAGTTACTTAGGGTTAAAAAGACTTGGTAGGTCTTCATGGATTTGATGTGGCAGTAGGTTAAGTTTTAAAGGAAGTAACCATTTAGTAAATGGTGAAGAGCAGGAAGGGAATTTCAGGCTATACTGTACTTTGTAACTTACTTTGTTTTTCATGTTTCCTTTGAAATTATTTTTAGTCTCATTGGTCTAAAAATGTTTAGTGTTGTTAGGGGGTGTGTAAAGACCAGAAGCTTCCATGCTTTTGCCATAGACACTACACAGCCTAGATGGGTTAATGGCTAGCAAACACCAAAACTCTCAAGTCCATTGAGTTAAAGAAACTTCTTGGGGATACTGATACCTGCCCACCCTACCTCACAGGTTTTCTGTAAAGATCTAATGGGATGTATGAAATATTTTTAAAGACGTAAAAGTAGTATACAAATGTAGAATGGTTAAAAATCACATGGCTGGTGGAGAATTGCATAATGTATAATTACACTGAAGGGAAAATTTAAAAATTGATAGCTTATTACATTTGCATTGATTTTGTTAATATAATTTAATTGGGTTAAGTAAAATATATGACAAATTTATGTGTGAATTGGAAATTATCAGCATCAAAAGTTAATGTTACCTTTTTTTGCCTGAGGGCTTATACATATATTTTCATTATTTTTGAGAACATGAATTTCCTTTTGAAAAAGAGATAAAATATTATGAAAACAAAGGTATTGTCATAGTATATACACTTTCAGTTTTTATTTAGAGTCTACAATAAAATTTAAGCATTATGAATTGGATTATATGTCATTTTCTCTACATCAAAAATAAGACATCACCAGTCCTAAAGGAATATTATAATTCATAAACAAAACATTATATTAAAATTTTATACTAAAGTATAAAATTATTTCTCTCTAGGCAAAATTTGGTTTCTCTAATATTACTGGAATTGATTACTCTCCTTCTGCAATTCAGCTTTCTGGAAGTATTATAGAAAAAGAAGGTTTATCTAACATTAAGTTAAAGGTAACTATTATTTATATTACTATAATATTTACAATAGAGGTTAAATGTTTCTAGAGCATATTAATTGACAGGTTTTAAACTCATAAATTAGGGATCAATCATAAATAATACAAATTGAAACATTTTTAAATAGCCATATTAAAAATTTAATCTAGTTGGTTTGGGGAAATTATTTTTTCTTCTGTATGTTTGTTCATACACTACTGCTCCTGATGTTTGCAAATACACATAATACTTAACTATGGATTAACCAGATCAAAAGGGTTTTTTTTTTTTTTTTTTTTTTTTTTTTTTTTTTTTGAGACTGAGTCTCGCTCAGTTGCCCAGGCTGGAGGGCTGGAGTGCGGTGGCGCCATCTCGGCTTACTGCAAGCTCCGCCTCCTGGGTTCATGCCATTCTCCTCTCTCAGCCTCTGAAGTAGCTGGGACTACAGGCGCCTGCAGCCACGCCCAGCTAATTTTTTGTATTTTTAGTAGAGATGGGGTTTCACCGTGTTAGCCAGGACGGTCTCGATCTCCTGATCTCGTGATCTGCCCGCTTCGGCCTCCCAGAGTGCTGGGATTACAGGCGTGAGCCACCGCGCCCTGCCCACATCAAAAGGTTTTAAATGCATCAAGTGGTATAATGTCACCAAAAATCATTTAGTTTATTTTTGTGTCCTATGATCTGTGAGATGATGATTCCTAAATTTACATTTCTAGCCCAGGCCTCTCTTCTCAGCTCTAGAGTTATAGACAGGCATGCCCTGTTTTTTTGGCTTCCCAAATGGTATGTTTTTTGACAAATCAAAGGTTTGTGGCAAGCCTGTTGAGCCCCATCTGTTGACACCATTTTTTCAACAGCATGTTCTCACTTTGTATCTGTGTGTCACATTTTGGTAATTGTTGTAATATTTCAGAGCTTTTCATTATTATTTTATCTGTTATGGTGATTCATGATCATTGATCTTTGATATTACTATTGTAATTGTTTTGGCGTGCCATGAACTGTGCCCACGTAAGATGGTGAGCTTAATTGATAAATGTATGTTCTGTCTGCTCTACCTACTGGCTGGTCTCCTATCTTCCTCCCTCCTCCTCAAGCCTCCTTCTTTCTTGGGACACAGCAATATTGAAATTAGGCCAATTAAAAACCTTACAGTGGGACAGGCGCAGTGGCTAATGCCTGTAATCCCAACACTTTAGGAGGCTGAGGTGGGCAGATCACTTTGAGGTCAGGAGTTTGGGACTAGCCTGGCCAGCATGGTGAAACCATATCTCCACCAAAAGTACAAAAAATAGCCAGGTGTGGTGGCGGGCACCTGTAGTCCCAACTACACTCCAGCCTGGACAACAGAGGGAGACTGTTTTAAAAAAAAACAGAGGCAGGAGGATTGCCTGAACCTGGAAGGTGGAGGTTGCAGTGAGCTAAGATTGTGCCACTGCACTCCAGCCTGGGTGACGGGGAGACTGCGTCTCAAAAAACAAAAATAAAAAAACAAGGATAAAAAATAAACAACCCCCACCTCAACACAGTGGCCTGTAAGTGTTCAGTTGAAAGGTAGAGTCACACATCTCTCACTCTAAATCAAAAGCTAGAAATGATTAAGCTTAGTGAGGAAGGCATGTTGAAAACCGCGATAGGCCAAAAGCTAGGCCTCTTGTGACAAAATTTAGTCAAGTTGTGAATGCAAAACAAAATTTCTTTAAGGAAATTAAAAGTGGTATTCCAGTGAACACATGAATGATGAGAAAGTCAAACAGCCTTATTGCTGTTACGGAGAAAGTTTTAGTGCTCCAGATAGAAGATCAAACCAGCCATAGCATTCTCTCAAGCCACAGCCTAATCCAGAGCAAGGCCTTGACTCTTTTCAATTCTGTGAAGGCTGAGAGAGGTGAAGAAGCTGCAGAAGAAAAGTTTGAAGCTAGCAGTAGTTAGTTCATGAGATTTAAGAACAGAAGCCATCTTGGCTGGACACAGTGGCTCACGCCTGTAATCCTAGCACTTTGGGAGGCCAAGGTGGGAGGATCACCTGAGGCCAGGAGTTTAAGACCAGCCTGGCCGACATGCTGAAACTGTCTCTACTAAAAATACAGAAAGTTAGCTGGGCATGGTGGTGGGTGTCTGTAATCCCAGCTACTTGGGAGGCTGAGGTAGGAGAACCGCTTGAACCTGGGAAGCAGAGGTTGCAGTGAGCCAAGATCGCGCAACTGCACTCCAGCCTGGGCAACAGAGCGAGACTCCATCTCAAAAAAAAAAAAAAAAAAAAAAAAAAGAAAAAGAAAAGAAGCCATCTCCATGACATAAAAGTGCAAGATAAAGCACTAAGTACTGATGTAGAAGGTAGAAGGTGTAGCAAGTTAGCTAGGAAATAACCAGTGAAGCTGGCTAAACAACACACAGATTTCCAATGGAGATGAAATAGCCTTATATTGGAAGAAGATGCCATGTAGGAGTTACATAGCTAGAGAGGAGAAGTCAGTGCCTGGCTTTAAATCTTCAGAGGAGAGGCTGACATTATTGTTAGAGGGGGCTAATGCAGCTGATGACTTTAAGTTGAAGCCAATGCCCATTTCCCATTCCGAAAATCTGAGGGCCCGTAAGAATTATGCTAGATCTTCTTTGCATGAGCTCTATAAATGGAACAACAAAGCCTGGATAACGGCACATCTGTTTACAGTATGGTTTACTGAGTATTTTAAGCCCATTTTTGAGACCTACTGCCCCAAAAGAAAAAGACTCAAAGTATTACTGTTCATTGACAATGCATGAATTCACCCAAGAGCTCTGATGGAGATATATAAGAAGATTAATCTTGTTTTTTTTTGAGACGGAGTCTTGTTCTATCACCCAGGCTGGAGTGTAGTGACTCGATCTCAGCTCACTGCAAGCTCTGCCTCCCAGGTTCATGCCATTCTCCTGCCTCAGCCTCCCAAGTAGCTGGGACTACAGGTGCCTGCCACCACACCTGGCTAATTTTTTGTATTTTTAGTAGAGATGGGGTTTCACCGTGTTAGCCAGGGTGGTCTGGATCTCCTGACCTGGTGATCCGCCTGCCTTGGCCTCCCAAAGTGCTGGGATTACAGGCGTGAGCCACCATGCCCAGCCGATTAATCTTGTTTTTATGCCTGTTAACACAGGATCTGTTCTGTAGCCCGTGATGGATCAAGGAGTAATTTCGACTTTACAGTCTTAAATGTGTTATTTAAGAAATGCATTTCATAAGGCTATGGATGTCATAGATAGTGATTCGTCTGATGCATCTGGGCAAAGTAGATTGAAAACCTTCTGGAAATGGGCTGGGCGCGGTGGCTCACGCCTGTAATCCTAGCATCTTGGGAGGCCAAGGTGGGCGGATCACAAGGTCAGGAGATCAAGACCATCCTGGCTAACATGGTGAAACCCCATCTCTACTAAAAATACAAAGAATTAGCCAGGTGTGGTGGCAGGTGCCTGTAGTCTCAGCTACTTGGGAGGCTGAGGCAGGAGAATGGCGTGAACCTGGGAGGCGGAGCTTGCAGTGAGCTGAGATCTAGCCGCTGCACTCCAGCCTGGGCGACAGAGCAAGACTCTGTCTCAAAAAAAAAAAAGAAAAAAGAAAACCTTCTGGAAATGATTCACCATTCTGCCTGTCGTGAAGAACATTTATAATTCATGGGAGGTCAGAATATCAACATTAACAGGAGTTTGGAAGAAGCTGATTCCAACCTTAATGGATGACTTGGAGAGAGGTTCAAGATTTCAATGGAGGAATTAACTGCAAATACAGTGGTAGTAGCAAACTAGAATTAGAAGTGGAGCCAGAAGGTGTAACTGAGTTGCTACAGTCTCTTGATAAAACTTGATCAGATAAGGAGTTGCTTCTTATGGTGGACGACCAGAGAAAGTGGTTTCTTGAGATGGAATCTACTGTGAACATTGTTGAAAAAGGATTTTGAATATTCCATAAACTTAGTTGATAAAGCAGTAGCAAGGTTTGAGAGCATTGCCTCCAATATCGAAGGATGTTCTGCTGTGTGTAAAATGCTATCAAACAATATCATGTACTCCAGAGAAATTTTTCATAAAAGGAAGAATCAGTCGATACGGCAAACTTTATTACTGTCTTATTTTAGGAAATTTTCACAGCTACCCCAGCCTTCAGCAACCAATACCTTGATCAGTCAGCAGGCATCCTTATTGAGGCAAGGCCCTCCAGCCAGAGAAAAGATTATGACTTACTCATGATTTCGATGATGGCTTGTTAGTGTTTTTTTAACAATAAAGTATTTTTTGTGGGGGATGGAGTCTTGCTCTGTCACCCAGGCTGAAGTGCAGTGGTGTGATCTTGGCTCACTTGCAACTTCCGCCTCCTGGGTTCAAGTGATTGTCCTGCCTCAGCCTCCCGAGTAGCTGGGACTACAGGCACCCGCCACCACACCCAGCTAATTTTTGTATTTTTAGTAGAGATGGGGTTTCACCATATTGGCCAGGCTGGTCTTGAACTCCTGACCTTGTGATCCACCCGCCTCGGCCCCTCAAAGTGCTGGGATAACAGGTGTGAGCTACCACGCCCGGCCATTTTTGTATTTTTTTAGTAGAGACGAGATTTCATCATGTTGACCAGGGTGGTATCAAACTCTTGATCTCAGATGATCCCTCCACCTTGGCCTCCCAAAGTGTTGGGATTACAGGCATGAGCCACCACTCCTGGCCTACAATAAAGTATTTTTTAAGGCACCCAATTTTTTTTTTTTTTTTTTTTTTTTTGAGATGGAGTTTCGCTCTTGTTGCCCTGGCTGGAATGCAATGGTGTGATCTCGGCTCACCACAACCTCTGCCTCCCGGTTTCAAGCGATTCTCCTGCCTCAGCCTCCGAGTAGCTGGGATTATAGGCATGTGCCACCATGCCCGGCTAATTTTTGTATTTTTAGTAGCGATGGGGTTTCACTATGTTGGTCAGGCTGGTCTTGAACTCCTGACCTCAGGTGATCCACCCACCTTGGCCTCCCAAAGTGCTGGGATTACAGGTGCGAGCCACCATGCCTGGCAAGGCACCCATTTTTTAAAAAGACATAATGCTATTGCACACTTAATAGACTGTAATACAGTGTAAACATAACTTCTATATGCACTGGGAAACCAAAAATTTTGTGTGACTTGCTTCATTGTGGTGTTTGCTTTGTTGTGTTGGTCTGGAACAGAACTTGCAATATCTCTGAGGGATGCTTGTAAAATCTGCCTGTTCAAAACTTCCATTTGGAAAGCTAATAGTCTCTCAACTTAATTAGTCCAAAATGAAACTCTTGGTTTCCTCCTCAGACCTGATTTCCCCAGTCTTTCCCGTTTCTACTAATAACACTCCCATTTACCCTGTTGCATTTACACAAAACCCAAGGAGTCATCCTTGATTCTTCTTTTTCCTTAAAGTCCTATATCCAATTCTGTTCGTTTTATTTATACACACATATATATATATATATTTTTTTTTTTTTTTTGGAGACAGTGTCTTGCCCTGTAGCCCAGGCTGGAGTGCGGTGGTGTTATTACAGCTCATTGCAGCCTCAATCTCCTGGGCTCAAGTGATTCTTCCACCAAAGCCTCCAGAGTAGCTGGGACTACAGGCCTGCTTCACCACACCTAATTTTTTTGTAGAGATGGGGTTTTGTCATGTTGCCCAGGCTAGTCTTGAATTCCTGGCCTCAAACAATCTGCCTGCCTCTGCTTTCCAAAGTGCTAGGATTACAGGTATGAGCCACTGCTTCTGGCCAGTTTTATCTTCAAAATATATCAAGAATGTGATCATTTCTTGTTATCTCAATTGCTCCCTGTGAAGTCCGAACCACCATTATTTCTTGTTTAAACTACTACAGTAGCCTTTGATTTTGCCCCTCCATTTCCACTCATGCTGCTCTGATGTTCTTTTACCACAGGGCAGCCAGAGTGATTTTTTCTTTGTTATTTTTTGAGACGGAGGCTTTTTCTGTTGCCCAGGCTGGAGTGCAGTGGCACCATCCTGGCTCACTGCAACCTCGGCCTCCTGAGTTCAAGCAATTCTCATTCCTCAGCCTCCCAAGTAGCTGGGACTACAGGCATGCACCACCACACCCAGCTAATTTTCTTCGTATTTTTTTAGTAGAGATGGGATTTCAGCACGTCGCTCAGGCTGGCCTTGAACTCACGACCTAAGGTGATCTGCCTGCCTCGGCCTCCCAAAGTGTTGAGATTACAGGTGTGAGTCACTGCGCCCGGCCTAATTTTTGTATTTTTAGTGGAGACCGGGTTTCAACATGTTGGTCAGGCTGGTCTCAAACTCCTGACCTCAAGAGATCCACCTACCTTGGCCTCCCAGAGTGCTGGGATTATGGGCATGAGCCACTGTGTTCAGCCCTGGCCAGATTTTTAAAAATGTCTGTTCATGTCGCTTCCTTGCTCACAATCCTGAACTGACTTCCCCATTGCATTGTAAATAGATTCTGAACCTCATCCAGCCTTACAAAGTCCCTCATTTCTTACCTTCTTCCTCGTTTATCATCAATACTCGGTCACATTGGCTTTTCTTCTGTTCCTGAAACATGTCAAGCTTGTTTTGAGTCTGTATACTTGCTGCCCTCTGCCTAGAGTATTCTTGCCCCAGATCTTAGCATGTTTGGTTCATTCTCATAATTCAGATCTTTGCTCAAATAACACCTTAGAGAAAACTTTATTTATTTATTTGTTTTTATTTTTTGAGATGGAGTTTCACTCTTGTTGCCCAGGCTGGAGTGCAATGGCGTGATCTCGGCTCACCGCAACCTCCGTTTCCTGGGTTCAAACGATTCTCCTGCCTCAGCCTCCCGATTAGCTGGGATTACTGGCATGCGCCACCACGCCCAGCTAATTTTTGTATTTTTAGTAGAGGCGGGGTTTGTCCATGTTGGTCAGGCTGGTCTCGAACTCCTGACCTCAGGTGATCTACCCGTCTCGGCCTCCCAAAGTGTTGGGATTATAGGTGTGAGCCACTATGCCTGGCCAAGAAAAGTTTCTACTCTTTTCCAAACTGTTTCTCTTCCAAGTCACTTAATGTCTTATTTCTCTGGCTTTATTTTCTTCATGGCACTTTATCTGAAGTTACTTATTTAGCTTATTTATCTTTTATCTTTCTCTTTGTAGAATATAAGGTATATTTTCTTTCTTTTCTTTTCTTTTCTTTTTTTTTTTTTTTTGAGGCAGTGTCTCGCCCTGTCGCCTAGACAGTAGTGCAGTGGTGCGATCTCTGCTCACTGCAACCTCTGCTTCCCAGTTCAAGCAATTCTCCTGCCTCAGCCTCCCAAGTAGCTGGGACTACAGGCACATGCCACCACGCCCGGCTAATTTTTTGTATTTTTAGTAGAGACAGGGTTTCACCGTGTTAGCCAGGATGGTCTTGATCTCCTGACCTCATGATCCGTCTGCCTTGGCCTCCCTAAGTGTTGGGATTACAGGCGTGAGCCACTGCGCCCGGCCAATATAAGGTATGTTTTCATACAGGGACCTTTTCTATTTTGTTTACTGTTTTTTTTTTTTTTTTTTTTTTTAAGATGGAGTCTAGCTTTGTTTCCCAGGCTGGAGTGCAATGGCGTGATCTCGGCTCACTGCAAGCTCTGCCTCCCGGGTTCACGCCATTCTCCTGCCTCAGCCTGCCGAGTAGCTGGGACTACAGGCGCCCACCACCACTCCTGGCTAATTTTTTGTATTTTTAGTAGAGACAGGATTTCACCGTGTTAGCCAGGATGGTCTTGATCTCCTGACCTCGTGATCCTCCTGCCTTGGCCTCTCAAAGTGCTGGGATTACAGGCGTGAGCCACTGCGCCTGGCTCTGTTTTGTTTACTGTTATATCCAGGGTCTGAAAAGTACCTGACAATAGATGTCCACAAAATATTTGCTGAATAGATGAGTATTTTTATATAGGCATTTAGGATGAGGAAGCCTCTTCAAAGTTAGCTCTTCAGAGTGATAGTCATTATTTTGCTTCAGGTATAATGAATACTTTGGACATGAAGGAAGGGAGAAGACCCACCTTCCAATATACATCAACATAATATATACATTTTTAAGTCAATAGAGTTTTAGATTAAACATGATTTACAATTGCTGTATTAAATGTGTGTGAATAATTGTGAGCTAATTGCCTAATTATTTTTTTCAAAATGAGTTTTCAGAATTTTCATTGGTAAATTGTGAATATTTTATAAAATTGAGGCGGATTGCTATTTCCGATGCTTAGTATGCATCAGGTTATTAACAGTGAATGAGATGGTGATGTATGACTTCACACCTCCAACTGAAGTAATTACAGTTTAACAGTTATTTAATTTCTTAAGCCTTATGCCATTCATTATATCCATTAGTAATTTCGTAAGCTGCTTAGTCAAGACCCAAGAAATTCTTTTTTTTTTTTAAAGGCTGGTCAAGTGAAGCAGTGATAATAGAGAAGGAAGGAATAAATTTGTAACTGGTTTTGATCGATTAGTTGTAAACACCACTGCACTCAGACCAGCCAAGGCCCAAGAACTTTTGATCTACCGTGTTTATTTTAGGTTACACACTAGGAATATAAGTTAAAAATCTTATTCCCATAGCTGAGTGCTGTGGCCACATCTACTTAGGAAGGCTGAGATGGGAGGATTGCTTAGCTCAGGTTTTCAAGTCTATCCCGGGCAACATAGCAAGACTCCTGTCTTCAAGAAATCTTATTTCCAGTGAACTTAGTTCCAAATAAATTGTCATTTTTAAGAATATGTCAAATTTTCTACTTTTTGACAGAAACAGGTTTTTCATAAACTAGGCTTGTGAGCTCCATAATGTGCTGGTATTATTAGGGAATATGGCTAGCTTTGATTTGTTTCCAAATTTGTAGAGATTTGGAATGTTCAGGAAATACCAGTCTCTCTTATTAATCTTGGCTTTAATGATCTTGGACTGAAGCTCATAAAAGTTAGCTATAAAGTTGAAAATATGTTTATTATATGTAAAATGCCATTATAATTAATGGGTCCTTTTATTAATAACCTTTTACAGGTTGTCACTTACATTCTGTAAGGATTTTGTTTTAATTGTTCTCACATAGACATTGACTTTTAATATAGGTAGAAGACTTTTTGAATCTCTCCACACAGCTGTCTGGATTTCATATTTGTATTGACAAAGGGACTTTTGATGCCATAAGCCTTAATCCTGACAATGCAATTGAGAAGAGGAAGCAATATGTGAAATCTCTCTCCAGGGTGTTGAAAGTAAAAGGCTTTTTTCTAATAACGTCATGTAATTGGACCAAGGAAGAGTTGCTAAATGAATTCAGTGAAGGTAAGTGACTATATGGTGTTTAAATGTGTGCTTACCTCAGGTTTCATGTACTTAAATAGGTTTTCTCCCCGTTTTGTGTTATAGTGTTTTACTTTTCTATTTGTGGGAATTGCCTGCTTTTTTCTCTGTTAATTACCTTGACAATAACTTTTGACTGTATATGCAAAGCACAGAGAAATAACATTGGTTGAGATCCAGAGATCTTTTAAAATTTTTTCTGAGAAATCTTGGCAGTTAAGTACTAACATTTATGAGCCTGTAAAAATTAAGTTCTCAGCCTGGGCAATGTGGCGAAACCCTGTGTCTGCTAAAAATACAAAAAATTAGCTGGGATTGGTGGCGCGTGCCTGTAGTCCCAGCTACTTAGGAGACTGAGGTGAGAGGATCGCATAAGCCCAGGAGGCAGAGGTTGCAGTGAGTCGAGATTGTGCCACTGCACTCCAGCCTGGGTGACAGAGTGAGACACATCTAAACAAAAAAAGAGAAAAACTTAAGTTCTCTATTTGAGTCGTACAATCTTTTATTTAAGGTATATAATCTATTATTTATAGAATCAAACAAAAAGCACATATATTGTGCTTCTGGCTTCAGTGCACTGATTTACTGGCAAATCCATAATAATGCAAATGGAAGAAGTACTTCCGTCTTACATGCTGAGAGTTTTGATATTATAGATACTTTAGCTGTCTTGCACTAGCGGTCATTTAGGTCTTCAGAGATGATAGAACAGTTCTTGGTTTCAGAGGATATAGAACAATTATTTTTAAGATTGCACGGAATTAAAATGTAGGGAATTGATAGAAGATTCTAGTGCTGAGGCAGGATCCTTTTTTGCCTAGTTAGCAAAGTGTAATTAGTGCAGTATCTACTTAGTGGAGATCTTGTGAGAACTGAGAATCTGTAATCTATACACAAAATATTTTGAGTTCTCTGGCAGACTGTTCCTTGCATTTTGTAAGAAATATTTTATCTGCCAGTTTTTTATGTAGTGCACAGGCATTTCTGGGAAAGTATCTTGAGAATCTACAGATATTTGCTTGTTTTTTCTTAGAATCCTTTTCAGATTAGTTTGTTTTTTTTTTTTTTTTGATCCTGCACTTTTTAAAGGATAGGATAAATTTTCAGGATGGAGTCTTGGGTAAATAATATGGTACTCAATATTTGGTTAAATTTTGAACCTCAGTTGTCACAAGCTAATGGAAAGTGAATTACCTCAAGAGAATAGTTTACTGTGTACCATTATTTATAACCGTACTGCATATACCTTATTTTAGAGTTTGTTTTCTTTTTAGTATTAAGGGAACAGGCTGGGAGAACACTTAATACATGTCCTTTTGTGTGTGTTCAATGGCTTTGACAGATTATATAATGTAAAACCTGAAGTGTTTGAGGCTTGAAATATGAGCTTATGGCTTCATTACTATTGCCTCTGGAAAACAAGAATTATATGTGATTTATTGTCTTTTCTTTCATGCCATTTATTTTATTATCTTCCATGTTAAATTTGTTTCCTTTAGAACTGTTGAGGCCCTGTATCAATAAGTCTTTCCTCTTCCTGAACTTTGACAGTTTTAATAAATGCTCAAAGTTACACTGTGTAGGGCAAGTTTCTTTCCTGGTTTTTAAATACAGGTGTTCTTTTTTACTCCTAGAACCAGCAGACAAAAACATATTTGTCTGTCTTTGATAATGAGGAACAGACTTTAGCCTGGTTAGAGTACTTAAAAATGTGTCTTTGTCTGAAAACTATTAAGTAAACTATGTTCAATTTTAGAACAAAATACAGAATTTAAGCAAAATATTATAATGGGAAATGTTATATAAATAATTATATACAATTGAAAACATTTTTTAGGCATGAGTCCCTTAGAAAATGGTATTTGGAGTTAGATATGGGACAGTAACAGAATACACTGCCTTGCGTCACTGCCAAAGGTCTTGTTCCTGACTACTCATACTGGCTGCCACATTCTCTTTGCATAAAATAAAGCTTGTTTCACCAATCTTTTAAGGTTCTTTCTTATTTGAACTATAAATGTTCATAAAATTGTTGAAACAGATCTTGCATTTTTTCCATGATACCCCTGATTGTACAAATACTTTGTGTTATAATTTTTTTAGTGAGGGTTACCTGGAACCAGTTGCCCATGTTCTAATTTGATGTCGAAGGGACTTGACTTTATGACAGTGAATGAATGAAAACAATAACCACCCATCTTACTTCAGAAGCAATTTAAGGGAGTCTTTCTGAATCTATTCAGGTTTGGGGAGCTATCCTTTAAAAGAAAAAGTAATTCAAATTTATTATCTAAATAATTGAAAAATATCAATAACGTCAACACATAAGCATACAGATTAAAATAATTAAGACAATTTGTTTACCATCAGTGGAGTACAACCACTATTAATATTTTGGTATATTCTATTTTGAAATATAATAACTCCAATTCTGTAGGGTTAGTTCAGGGAGTTGAAAAGTTAGTCCTGGAAAATTTATACAGACAGAAAATTTTTATTATTAAATATCCAGAGCATTTGTAAAATTTTTGAAAACAAATATGGGTGTATAACTATGCATGTATCCAGGACAATGCCTGCATTTTCCAGCATTAAGAAACATCATATTATTTTATTAAAAGGAATGTCATAATTTGGAAAAGTTTTCTTACGATAAGCTTTTAATAAGCATTATAATATTCGGTTATTATGATTTGGTGAAATTAGATAACATGAATTAGGATGTATAATGAAATAGTATGATAGACCAATTGATGCAATAATATAATTTTTATTTCTGTTTTTGAAACGGTCTGTCTCTCTCTCTGTTGCCCAGGTTGGAGTACAGTGGCAGGATTTTGGCTCACTGCAGCCTTGACTTCCTGGGCTCAAGCGATCTTTTCCACTTCAGCCTCCCGAGTAGGTGGAACTACAGGCACACATCATCATGCCTGGATAATTTTTGTATTTTTAGCAGAGACGAGGTTTTGCCATGTTGTCCAGGCTGGTCTGGAACTCCTGGGCTCAAGTGATTCTCCCACCTGGCCTCCCAAAGTGCTGGGATTATACCATGCCAGGCCCTCGTTGGCATTTTAGTAAGTGACCTTCCAGCTTTATTTATTTTTTAAAAGCAAAATAATATAACATTTTATTTCATAGTTTAGGAAAACACTACATTACCTTATTTGGATCTTTACAAAATCACAGTGAATTTGATGGCGTGGGGTGGCGCATTGGCGTTAGTAGCTTAAGGCTGGGATTAGAGGCCTGAGCCATTGCACCCGGCCAGTATACATCACTTAAAACATTTTTTTCTGTTTATAAGAGTTATTTGAGCTCAAAGCATGAAAATTTAGAAAAATACAGAACCCCACCCCTGCCTCAAGAAAAAAATATTCCAAAACTAATAGGTCCATCAATGAGGGAAAACCTTGATTGGCGTTTTATTTTACTTTAATTTTAAAATTTATTTTGAGACAGAGTCTGGCTCTGTTGCCCAGGCTGGAGTGCAGTGGGATAATCTCGGCTTACCACAGCCTCCATCATCCAGGCATCTCCCACTTCAGCCTCCCAAGTAGCTGGGACTACAGGCGCACAGGCACAGGCCACCACAACGGCTTATTTTTGTATTTTTTTAGAGATGGGGTTTCGCCATGTTGCCCCGGCTGGTCTTGAATACCTAGCCTTAAGTGATAGAAAGTGCATAGAAATCAGGATCATGGTAGAGGTAACTTGACAGCCTGTCTCATTTAGTAAGTGCTGAAGCTGAGACTTCACCTAGGATTTTAGATTCCAAGTTAATTTTTTGAACCTAGGATTTGAACCTAGGATTTTAGACGCCAAGTTAATTTTTTTTAAACCATACTGTGATGCTTTGAAAGTTACTAGTTCCTTGTCTTCCAGGCCCTTTATTAGTTCGTTTAGTTTGAGTCTTCATCTTTGTTATAAATTACTGTTTTTAATTCTGCTGAAATACACATAACATACCATTTTATAACCATTTTTAAGTGTATACTTATGTGGTATTAAGTACATTTACATTTTTTTGTGCAATTGTCATCACTACCCTTCTCCAGAACTTTTTCATCTTCTACAAATTCATTTATATTTCCAAGTTATTTTGCCTTTCTGTATTAAGTGCTTTAATATGTGTGGTGTGAATTAATTAGATTACTACATATGAAGCACTCAAAATAATGCCTGGCGCTTAGCAAGAACTCAACACAGGGCCAGGCGATGTTGCTCACGCCTGTAATCCTAGCACTTTGGGAGGCTGAGGTGGGTGGATCACTTGAGATCAGGCGTTCCAGACCAGCCTGGCCAACATGGCGAAACCCTGTCTCTACTAAAATATGAAAAATTAGCCGGGTGTGGTGGTGCATAACTGTAATTCTAGCTACTTGGGAGGCTGAAGTGAGAATCGCTTGAACTCTGGAGGCAGAGGTTGCAGTGAGCTGAGCTTGTGCCACTGCACTCCAGCCTCGGTGATGGAGTGAGACTCCGTCTCAAAAAGCAAACAAACAAACAAAAAAACTCGACACATGCTAGCTGCTTCCTACAAACCAGGTGATAGAGGCTAACAGAGATACAGCTTTGCAGAGATGACAAACAGGAAGTGGAGGAAATGGGAGGTGGATGGAAAGCCTGTTTTTTCCAAATTGTTTTTGGTCTTGTCTTTTCCTTGTTAAATTCAAAGTGATTTTGGAGGAGCATACATATGCTGTACATACATAGTAGAATTGAAAAATCATGAAGTGAAATTCAGCACAATTTAGAGTTTGGAATCATAGTTTTACAAAGGGTTCAATGGTACAGTGTTAATGCATGCATATAAATACATGTAAGTATGAGACTCAATTCTTAATAAAAGTATTTAAATTTTGTCTGACAGGATTTGAACTTCTCGAAGAGCTACCAACACCCAAGTTCAGCTTTGGAGGCAGATCTGGAAACAGTGTAGCAGCATTGGTTTTCCAAAAAATGTGAGACTTTTTCTTGGACGAATTCAGGTAGCTACACAGAATCTACACAGCAAAGTTAACCTGACACAGAAAATCCTTGTGCAAATAAATGCTTAGTAAGTACACAGGATGCACATGTTGAATAGAGTATACTGGATTGGTGAAAGAAAATAATAATAATGAGCATCTAAGTGGTTGGGTTTTAGAGATCAATCAAGAATAATTTTAATTTTCTTTTGTATTTGAAATGTAAATAGTTTTCTTTTCGATTAAAAAAATTTCCTATAACTGCTAAACAGTTAAAAACTTTAAAGTAGTAAATGAGTTTATAGAAAGCATGTATTCTTGATTTTTGTGCCTTGGTAAAGTTGATAACTATTTATGAATATTTGACCAAATTATTCCAGCATCAGAATAATAAGCAAAATAACTTTGTTAGTGTTTTGTTAGACTGTTTATGAAATATAACAAGAAATACTATTTTGTGTTGGATGGCGGTTATTTTTAAACTTAATTAATACCTGTGAAAAGGCCTCTTACCTTTATGTATATAATTAAACAAAATCAGAGAAATGTATCAGTTGCTCAAGTTATCAAGCCTGCATTTTGCAGCTATGGTCTTCTACACACTGTAAGGGTAGTAGAAGGAAAGAGAACTAAGGAATGTTATTATTTGCTAGCGCTATGTTAAGTTGTCTTATTAAGTAATTGAGTCCTTTCAATGTCTTCTTGAGGTATGTATTGCTTGTTCTTGTTTCTACGTATAAGGAAAATGAAGCTGAGAGAAGTGAAGTCACTTTTATGAGGTTCAACAGTACAGGATGGAGCCAGGATTTTTATCTGGGTCTGTCTGACTTTAAAACACATACTCTTCTCCTAGCATATTCTGCCTCACAGGTGCTTAGTCTTTGCCTTTGTAGCATTTACAGTACAGCTGGAGACCCATGATGATTACATATAAAGTTCAGTTAGAAAAGATGGGTAGTTACTTTATTAGTGTTCATCTGTGGAGTATCAGAATAGCAGTCAGCCAACTCTGTCTCATATCATCCTTCATTACTTTTCCCCATCTCCCTACTCAAAGACTTGCCTCTATTAAGAATTTTGTCATTCTTCTGTGAAAGGGTAGTGTAAGTTATATAAGCCCTCAGCGATACATGCACAAAGATGTTCTAGTTAGGGGCTAATTTGGCAAGAGAAACAGTTTATTAATGTTTTTGAAAAGATAAGTCATATTCATACTTAATACCATTTTGTATTTGTGGTAATATTTTAATATTGGAGCTAAATACAAATTTTTGCATAATTTTTTGATGATTTTCAGCTTTGTGGGCCTATTGGGTTACATAAGTGACTTTTTGTTTGGCAAATGTTACTCCTGTATTGAGTAAGTCTAACATTACGTCCCTTTTCTTTTTGGGGAGGGGTAGCCAGAGGAGTGAGTTTTTCATTTAGATCAACATTGATCAACCATTAAGACAAGATAGTTGAAGACATGTATGTGGACTGTCAACAAAAATAACATTTTTTGAAAAGCTTTTATTTTCAACATGTAAAAAGTGAGAAATTACTTCAAAATATATGCAATTTAAATTTTTTAGAAGATTGTGTTGATTTTACCAAGACAGGAGATCTTAAACTGTAGAAACTTTTATAGTTTTTGAGATCGGGTCTTTGTTTTTTTTCACATTAATATTCTTTGATTTCAAATATAACATAGATAAGTACTCTTAGAATTTTGAGTTAAGTATATGCTATTTTAATGTGCTAATCCTACAAACTAGGCTTTCTGTGTGACTAGACTGAGATGTTGAGTTTGATTCACAAAAAGCTTAGAATGGTTCTTTGTTGAAAAGCTTTTCGAGTCACTATTTGGGGCATGTTAGTGCCATTTGCAAAGGTGAAGGTTTTCTTTTTTTTTTTTTTTTTAACCATAGAGCTTTTGATAAGGTTAGGAAAAGGAAGTTGTCATCTCTTCTTATTACTCTAATCCTGCTGGAAGCTAGCTTCTTAGGGACTAAAACCAGAACAAATGGAAGGTCCAAAAATGCTAATAAGAAATTAGTATTTTCACATAATACCAAACTGTAAAAACCAGGCCAGCAAGTGTCACCAGGTTCCTGAAACAAACCATAAATACATTATTTAACTTAGTATTGTTAAATTGTATAAATATGTGGGTAACTGTGACAGAAATTATGCACTTATAAAAAGCAGTAAGTTACATAGTGAATGCTGTTTTCTGTGGATAAGAAGCTGGAATTGTGATTTCATTTAATCGAAAGACGCTTACTTTGAGGAAACTTGTTTGAAATGCAAACGCGATTTCTCTGTGGAGCCTTCACGGAATTGCTGCTTTTCACTATGATTATTGCTGCATAACAGGCCACTTCTGTGTGTAGGAAGTGCGTGTGCAAGTCCAAAGGGAATTGAGGCCTGAATGGGTGGGTTATCCCAATTAACAAATACAAAGTTTTCAGTACATTTTGTTTTAAGCCAGGTGCACAAGTTAGAGTTGCTTTTTGGGACTGGCATTTATGTATGTGAGAATCAAACCTGATATCACTCTTGGCAGCCTGACTAAAGCCATTTAAAAATAAGTACAAATTGTCCTTGAATGATTTTTTTCCCATTGTAGTAGCACTGAATTTTCCTTTTTTCTTCATCTGTGGTACGCATGCAATCTTCTGGGTTTTGTTTTTTTGTTTTTTTTTTGAAGAAATAAGGGAGCTAAGTATATACAAAAGACTTTTAGTCTTTTTATGAATCATGTGCTTCAGTGGACTTACTTATTTTAAAATTTCTATGATACTGTAATGTGGTACTGTATGTTGACCTCAATTCACATTTATCCAGAGTATAATAGAAACCTCAATTTTTAAGGAACTTATATTAGTAGTTAAGTTTCTTATGGCCTTGAAATAATTTTCTTCAAATTGGTATACAAAGAAATAGTGTATCCCTGCTATGTTAATGACTTTCGTCTATGTTCTTTTAAGTAATTTTATTTTACGAATTGTGTGTGTGTATGTGTGTGTGTCTCTGTCTGGTAGCCTACAATGAAAATCTGTACAAATGTGAACAGTTTGTCTCCAGGGGAGAGCCCTGGGGTTTGATTTCCTGTTTTTGGCTCTGTAAGCTAACGTGTATGTGCTCCTGGACAGCCCTCTGCTTTGAGAGTATGAGACCAAGTGTCTTGTGTTCCACAGTAGTAACCTCTTTAGCTAATGTCGTGTGTGTGTGTGTGTGTGTGTGTGTGTGTGTGTGGGAGGGAGTGTTGATGGGCTCTGAAAGAAGTCTTGTCTCGTACATTTCACTGAATGAAGGCTGCCCATGACCTAGAGCTTGATTGTGGGAGGTGAAGAGCATATATGGCTGAAAGACAATTGCATAGTGGGGAAAAAAATTAGGAAATCCTTACATTTCTCTTGGTTAGGCAGGAAACAGAGATGTCCATAGAAGAAGAGGGAGCTCATCAGCATGTTTTATTAACAGTTAATGGAAGAAAATTAATGCTAATTTATTCTTCATATACACCATGCAATTTGTTAGAAAAGTAAAAGAATAGTTTGAAATTCTTTGGTCAATTGATGGATTCCTATGTTCAGGGCATAGAAATGAAACTCAACATCAAGCAGACAAATACCCAAGCCCACAGGCTACATAAATGCTGAATAAAACCAGCTCTACAATGGAACTCTGAAAAGCGACGGGTAAGAAGCCTAATGAATGATTGAATATGACCTTAGCAAAATCCCTGGAGTGTTGTTGAACGATCATTCATTTCCAGCTTAGATGTCAAGATGGGCTCCAGTAACCAGGAAAAAAGAGAGCTTGAGTCAGTACTTACTGAGTTTTAAAAATCTTTTGCAACACAGTGTATTAGACTGATCATTAAAAGGACTTCTCTAGCTGAATTTTGAGCTGTCACTATAGTTTAGGCCCAGGGAAATAAACTTAAAAAGATAGGAATAATTCCTAAGACATGAATGTATCAATATCCTATCCTGCTTTTCTGGAGTAGGACTTCAAAAACTGAAATGTATAGGCTGGCAGAATGTACTTTTGTCATGCTGATACCACTGTAAAAGAGACTTAAACTAGGAGATCAGTTGAGCCCTAAAGTATTTGCAAATTACTTGCCTAGCTTGTTAGAAGAAGAAATAAAAAGCCAAAATCTACATTTTTGTTTTCAAAAGAAATGATTTCTTTGTTTCCTGAAGAGATGAGAAAAGATAAATTCTTCCATGTTATATTTTTACGTACGTATTTTTATTACTGTACTGTATCAACAAATGATAAGTATTTTAATGAGTGATCTTTATTGTTCATAGTAGCTGGAAGCATCTTAAGAAAAGCAAATCTAATACATCTGTTTTCCCAAATATGTAAAAATTTACACATGTTCCAGCAATTAGCATATCGTGTATATTTCTGAGTAGCTTAGGAAAAAATATGAAAACACTCTGGTTGAATAAGGGGACTGTGAACTGTATTTCTCATTTTTCATTAATATATTACAGATCAGGCAGCTTATCATTGATGATAGCAGAATCGAAATGGCATTGGGATGGCTGTAGTTCCCCAGCTTTGCCTGCCTTACTGCTGCAAAGAGGAGAGAACTGTTGGGAGGAAGAGGCTAAATGTAGAAGAGTGTGGGTGCTGTCAGTTCACATTTTCCTCCTAACCCTTCTGCTAATAGGAAAATGTCAGGCCTTTGTTCCCATCTAATTTTAGTACATCCTGGCTAAAAAAATGTTAGGATGAAAAAATGTTAGGATGATTTCCAACCATGGAACTTTGAGGGGTGGGGTAGGGGAAGGAAGAATGGAGGAAAGCGCAGTTTATACTCCATATCCGTCTGCCTTTCTGCAACAGCAGCTAGCCCCTACTCTGTTGATTTGGGTAATGAAATAAATTTAGATGCATTGAAGCAGTGATAATTAGGTTTTCCTTCTATCTTCTCAGTAAGAAGCCTAGTTGGTTTCTGAATGGGGAAAGTCATAATATGGTATTTAATGAAACATACCTGGCAAAATTAAAGAGCTGTACGCAAGCTTTGGAAGAAAGGCCTGAAATTGTGAGTGCAAACTACATGTGGTGCTATGTATAAATAGAACCTTTGAGATGCATTTGTATTTCAGGGAAGCTGCTTTTATACTGTTATTTTGAATGAGAGTAATATTTTGATTTTTAAGAATCAGTCATAAGCAAGGCACACAAGGCTGAGCTGTTTATCCCCTCTGTAAACCCAACAGGCCTAGAGGGAAAGCCCAGATTCAGTGAGAGAGCCAGTTGGATCAAACAATTGATAATATAGTTTGTTCAAGAGATAGGACAGAATTATTGGCTTTGTAGTTGAAACTACCAACTGTTGTGGTTGTTATTTAATTAAAAAGTAATTAACTGAATTAAACTAAAAGGGCAATTCTGAATACTGGAGCTCACTACGAAATAAGCTGTCTTCCCCCAGTATTCAGTTAGTGAGCTAAGGTATCCTGTTGGAATTTGTATGATGAAGACATTATGTAGCAGAAGTGAGATCATTTCATTATTTGCAATGAATTAAGCAGATTATTTTCTGAACTTGAAATTCAGTTGAATTTATTTTGGTTCCTTTCATTTTATAACAGCAGGTAATTTGTTAAAATCTATTAAGCAATAGAATAGATGTCAAACAAATGATTTTTAAAAATATTTAATTTTGGAGAAAAAATGATTAGACCTAGCCAAGTTACTTTTCTTTTCTGGTCTTCAGTTTTTCTCTCCATAAAACAGGGGCACTTAGTGATATTTAACATTCTGTATCCTTGTTAGCTCATGTTGCCATAATAAAATACCATGAACTTGGTGGCTTAAACAACAGAAATTTATTTCTAGAAAGTTAGTTCTGGAGGCTGGAATTCCAAGATCATCGTGCTGGCAAGGTATGTTTTATTTTAAGGCCTCTTCTCTAGGCTTGTAGGTGGCTGACATCTATGTGTGTCTGCATGACTTCTTTGTGTGCAATGGGGTTGGAGGAGAGAGAGCGCATAAGCTCTCTGGTGTCTCTTCTTATAAAGAGCACTAACCCCGGCCGGGCATGGTGGCTCAAGTCTGTAATCCCAGTACTTTGGGAGGCCAGGGAGGGCAGATTACCATAGGTCAGTAGTTCAAACCAGCCTGGCCAACATGGTGAAACCCCGTGTCTACTAAAAATACAAAAATTAGCCGGGCCTGGTGGCACACACCTGTAATCCCAGCTACTCGGGAGGCTGAGGCAGGAGAATTGCTTGAACCTTGGAGGTGGAGGTTGCAGTGAGCCAAGATACACCACGGCACTCCAGCCTGGGTGACAGAGCGAGACTCCATCTCAAAAAAAACAAACAAAAACAAAGTAAAGAGCACTAACCCCATCCTGAGGGCCTCACTCTCATGGCCTCATCTAACCCTAATTATTTCACAAAGGCCCTATCTCCAAATATCATCACATTGGGGGTAGGGGGTCAGGGCTTCAATATGTGGATTGTAGGGGAAACCAGCATTTAGTCCATAATACTCCTGAAATCAATTAAGGCTTAGAAAAAGCCCTACAAAATAGGCTTCTAGAATAGCTGTCCCTTGGTATGCACGAGGGATACTGGGACCACCTGCTTATAACCAAATCTATACATAGGTGAGTTTTGCATCCCAAGAATATTGGATTATCCATCTGAGTTTGGTTGAAAAAAGCCAAGTATAAGTGGACCCGCATAGTTCAAACCCATGTTGTTCAAGGGTCGACTGTATAGATGGGGAGATTAAATACCCCGTTTGCTAACTCTCAGTTGTTAGGTAACTTGATGGTTCTTTTAAACCAAGGTATCTGTACTCATATATACATATGTACATAAAATATTTGAAGCAGTCAGATGAGTATTCAATCTAAAAAAAACCTTTGTCCATGTTTTCTTAAACTTTGTATTTGAGTATTGTCACTGATATCTATTTGATAAGTTTGTATACATTTGAGCAAAGGGTTTTTTTTTTTTTCTTTGAGACAGAGTCTCACTCTGTCGCCCAGGTTGGAGTGCAATGGCACAATCTTGGCTCACTGCAAGCTCTGTCTCCCGGGTTCAAGCGATTCTCCTGCCTCAGCCTCCTGAGTAGCTGGGACTACAGGCGCCTGCCACCACCCCTGGCTAATTTTTTGTATTTTTGGTAGAGACGGGGTTTCACCATGTTAGCCAGGATGGTCTCGATCTCCTGACCTCGTGATCCACCCGCCTCGGCCTCCCAAAGTGCTGGGATTACAGGCGTGAGCCACCGCGCCTGGCCTATTTTTTTTTTTTTTAGATAGGTTCTCTCTCTGTCACCCAGTCACCCAGGCTGGAGTACAGTGGTGTGATCATGACTCACTGCAGCCTTGACCTCCCAGGCTTAAGTGATCCTCCTGTCTCAGCCTCCCTAGCAGCTGGGGCTACAGGTGCATGCCACCATGTCAGGCCAATTTTCCTATTTTTTGTAGAGATGGGGTCTCACTATGTTGCCTAGGCTGGTCTTGAACTCCTGAGCTCAAGTGATCCTCCTGCCTCAGCCTCTCAGAGTGTTGAGATTACCAACGTGAGCTACCGTGCCTGGCCTAGAGATATCCAGGAAATTTAGGAATTTACATCTTATTGTTTAGTCCACTTCCATTTTTATATATAGAGATCAAGACTGGGCCTTAGGAAAATTGTGATAATTTGAGGAATCTCCCCAATATGGTTCTTTTTTGACACAAGACACAAACTACACACAGATTACCTAATTTGCCACTCTAAGATGAGTATAGTATATGGGTATAGTATATGGGTCTGCCCTTCTTTTTTTTTTTTTTTTTTTTTGAGATGGAGTCTCGCTCTGTCGCCCAGGCTGGAGTGCAGTGGCGCGATCTCGGCTCACTGCAAGCTTCGTCTCCTGGGTTCACGCCATTCTCCTGCCTCAGCCTCCTGAGTAGCTGGGACTACAGGTGCCTGCCACCATGCCCGGCTACTTTTTTTGTATTTTTTTTTAGTAGAGACGGGGTTTCACCATGTTAGCCAGGATGGTCTTGATCTCCTGACCTCGTGAGCCACCCGCCTCGGCCTCCCAAAGTGCTGGGATTACAGGCGTGAGCCACCGTGCCCAGCCCTTGCCCTTCTTATATATAGTATGCTGTATATACTACAGTGTATATAGTATATGGGTCTGCCCTTCTTATACATAGTATGCTGTATATACTACAGTATATATAGTATATGGGTCTGCCCTTCTTATATATAGTATGCTGTATATACTACAGTATATATAGTATATGAGTCTGCCCTTCTTATGCCCTGTGTCTCTCCAGGCTACTGTCAGTTTGTCTCTGTAACTGCTTATTTCCCCAGTGAAACAGAAGTATGTTAAAGGTGATAGCAAAGTACCTTCTGTATAGTAGGTACTTAAGGTTGGTTTCCCTTCCCTACATTTCTTTGAAACAGCTTGGAGAGAGAAGCAGTGGTTTAGACCCTGCATATTAGGAATGTGAATATTAAGTGAGAAATGTAAAGCAGCTTAGCGGGATTGCTGGCACACACCAAGGCTAAATCAGTGTTCATTCCTCCAAGGACCCTTCTTCCCATGGAGCTAATATGTTTAATTGTTTGAGATTTTACCCCTCAGTGCCACAGTTTTAGTATATTCAGTTCCATTGTAGGCATTTGTGTTCTAGGAGTGATTAAATGAGTGAAGAGAGGCGGAGTGCTAGACAAGTGAGAGGGAAAGTTTAGGTAGGCCTTTCAGAACTTCTTAGAAATCATACTGTGTAGCTTCTTCCTTAATCTCTAGCTAGCGCTGGTGCTGAAGCACTTATTTATTTTTTTGACAGACCAAGTCTCACTGTATTGCTTGGCTGGAGTCAGACTCCTGGCCTCAAGCAGTCCTTCTGCCTCAACGTCTTAAGTAGCTGGGACTCCTGAGCGGTACACTGTGCTGGGCTTGAAGTACTTTTTTTTTTTTTTTTCAGTCATTTAAGAAATGAGGATCACATATTGGCCGGGCGCGGTGGCTCACGCCTGTAATCCCAGCACTTTAGGAGGCCGAGACGGGCGCATCACGAGGTCAGGAGATCGAGACCATCCTGGCTAACATGGTGAAACCCTGTCTCTACTAAAAATACAAAAAAATCAGCCAGGGGTGGTGGCAGGCGCCTGTAGTCCCAGCTACCGGGAGGCTGAGGCAGGAGAATGGCATGAACCCGGGAGGCGGAGCTTGCAGTGAGCTGAGATAGTGCCACTGCACTCCAGCCTGGGCGACTGAGCGAGACCCCATCTCAAAAAAAAAAAAAAGAAATGAGGACCAGATATTATAATGCCAGATTTTCATGAAATGTCCTTTATGATGTGTCAGCAGAGACTAAGAATACCCCTCGGATTTAGATCGTTACCTGTTTTAAGTGGTAATTTTTTTTTTTTTTTTTTTTGGAGACAGGGTCTCACTATGTCACCCAGGTTGGAGTAGGGTGGTGCAATCATGGCTCATTGCAACCTCAACCTCCTGGGCTCAAGTGATCCTCCAACCTCAGCCTCCATAGTAGGTGGGACCACAGGCACGTGCCACCACACCCAGCTATTTTTTGTAATTTTTGTAGAGACAAGGTTTCGCCATGTTACCCAGGCTGGACTCGAACTCCTGGCCTCAAGCAGTCCTCCCGCCTTGGCCTCCCAAAGTGCTGGGATTATAGGTGTGAGCCACCGCATCCGGCCCCAGTAATTATTCACTAAGAAATGTGGGTATGGTGGGGGAAAATGTAAATGTGGGTGCATTTGAATTGAAACCAAATGGACAAGGATATGGTATACCTTCCTTCATTAGGTCTGAGTGCCAAGGCATTATTCCAAGTGATATCAGACAAAGGAACCAAGAGCATATCCCTGTAGGATCATGCATCAGGAAGCTGGTAGAACTGGATTTAATGAAAGTGTTGAATTGGATTTGGGTCTTGGCCATTTAGGAAGCAGTGGCCTGAGATTTTATAATTGATTTTTACTTTGCATCATCCAGATTTGATATCCTTGATCAGTGATTCAGGTTTATTTCCTTTGCTGTAAGTTAACAGTGCCATTCACGGTGACATTTTCGTTTGATGTTGAGTAATACTTTAGTTTATCTGATTTGTCCTTAGTTTATACTAGAATTGACAGTGTAGTGTGTAAAAAGTATGGTGAATCAGTTATTTATGCTACTCTAGAAAACATTTGGTTTGGCCCGGCTCGGTGGCTCACACCTGTAATCGTAGCACTTTGGGAGGCTGAGGCGGGCAGATTACTTGAGCTCAGGAGTTCAAGATCAGCCTTGGCAACATGGTGAAACCCCATCTCTACTAAAATACAAAAAATTAGCCGGGAGTGGCGGCATGCACCTGTAGTCCCAGCTACTCAAGAGGCCAAGGCAGGAGGATTGCTTGAAGCCGGAAGGCGGAGGTTGCAGTGAGCTGAGATCACGCCACTGCACTCCAGCCTGGGTGACAGAGTGAGACTCTGTCTCCAAAAAAAACCAAACAAACAAACAAAAGAAAACATTTGGTTTTTCAGGTTTGTTTATTTCTTTAACCTTTTTATTGGTGGTTATATGACTATCTCAATGTCTAGAATGCTTAGTATGACTATAGACATGTTGGCCAGAGCCATATTGCTTTCTCTAGTTAATCCTAGAGGGCTTTAGTCTTTTAACCATTTTAAGAAAGTTCTACAGAGTTGAGGTCAATATGATATGATGTACCTCTTTAGGACAGAACAGAATCAAAGCTTCAGTTCTTTATGTTAGGTAGTTTAAGAGTACAGTGGTTGACTAACCTGGTTTTGATCAAGGTGTTTTTTTTTGCTTTTTGTCCCTTGTAAAAGTTAAGAGAAGCTGTAACTAGTAATTAAAATAGTAAGCCAGCTTCTCATTCATGTCAATTCTTTCATATTATAGGTACAGTTAAACCTATAGCTGCAGGTTACGCACATACAAAATCGGCAAGGCTAGTCTTCTCTTAGAACAGTCATGGGTATGAATTCAAACAAAAGATCTTTGCTTTTGGTTAATATAATAGATTGACAAACTGCTGAGGAGAGTTAAGAAATTCACAGGCTAGTATGTAGGCTAAATGTTCTTTTCGTACTGCTCCCAGGAATGTTCTGCCTTTTAGAACTAGAGGCTGATTTCTTTTCTTGACATTTTAAATCCAAAGGATTCAGCCTTTAGATTGGGTTTTTAAGCTCTGTGAAATCACCAACTGTATCTAGTTTTAGTTTCCTTTCTACCTAATGAAAATGAAATTTACTCAGTTTCATTTTTAGGGGGAAAGGCAGGAGAGCAGTAGCTTTGAGCATATCACTAGGGATGAATTCAAAATCGATTTTTCTTGAGGCAGTGACTTATGGCAGATAGTTGACAAGAGAAAAATTAAGTTTTGAGCTTATATCTCAAATACTGAATGTGAATTCCACTAAAGAATATTTAAGAAAAAAAGTTGAAATGGTTTCATTTAAAGATGGTAACATAAACATTTAGCCTGGTCTACAGTTGAAATATTTTCTAGATTAAATGCAATTTATAATATAGCAATATGAAAATACTGTAATTTGTTTTTAGATATGTTTTTGGTGGGGTAACTGAAGCAAACTAGGGAACTCACCATGTTATAATGATAATAATTAGCATCTACTTCATGTAAGATCATAAACAGATGCTTTTGAACCTTAGTATTAGGATAATAAAATAGGCTTAATAAGTTTTACTTATGCCATTTACTTTGATTGTAGATAGTGAAAAGCCTTTCTTACACTTTTTTAAAGCTTTTTATTTACCATACATAAACTTTTAAATGTTTGTTATTCATGCTTGTGTTTTCTTGTAGCACATAATACCAGTAGTTACTATTAACTTTGAAAAAAAAATATGAAGTTGAAATAAGTTTTAACTGTTGCTCTGTTCTTTTTAGCTTACTTTACCAGAACTCTTCCCTCCAGTGAGTTGCAAGCGTGACATTTGCTGTGTTTTCAGCACCTGCCAACTTGGAAAGCAGGGTTTGTGTTCAGGACTTAGGCTCACAACCCATACTTTGTGGTGCACAATGCTGGCCCAGCTGGCATGCTTTCGTACCTCAATGGTGCTAGACAGTCAGTTACAAAGCTGTGTGGCTTCACATGCGCTGATCTCAATAGTCACTCCTCTTCAAGCTGCTTTCAACTCTTATTTTGTATCAAAGGAGTGGGATTGGTATTATTAAACTCATTGCTGAGGTTATTTTTCAGTGAAAATAAATTGTTTTATTTAGTTCTTGGATCAAAGAGTAATTTTGTCCTCAGCAACCAAATACCTCTTTAAAAAGGTGTGTGTGTATATATATGTATCATTCATGTATGTATGTATGTATGTATATACACACATGCATGATTCCAGCCAGAGCTATAATTCATTTCTTATTTTCATCAGTGGATAAAAAGAACAGACAGGAAAGAACAGAGGGATTAATGTGTCATGTGATCCCTACATGCTAATGTAGGTAGGGTTACTAGTTGTAGCTGGACAAAGATGTGGGAAAATTTACAGAACTTTTTTTTCTGAGTAAGACGTGAAAATTGCCCCCATGATAGGTTCAGATTTTTTATTTCCATCTGTAACCAGAAACTTCTTATATTTTCCAAAGAAGTATATTTTGCTAACATATTTCCAGTCACCTATCTTTTTGAAAATACTTAAGGTGGACTTGGTGATGTCTGTCTTCTCATAATTTATTATAAGCAATTTTAAAAAGGTTCTGCTTTTAAAAAGATCTTTTCAAATGTAGAAAGAACAGTGTGAAATGTGAATGACTGGCTTTTAATACAAGGGTTGTGACAAAGAGGCAGTGGCTTTTGGAAGCCAAATAAAGGGGTGAATACACGTGCATCTGCATACTGCTGTTGGATCCAGTGTATAACGTTTGGCGTTTGTTTAGTTCACTTGTTAGTCTAAAAAGGATAGTATGTTATTCTCTCAAACCAGTTTATAATTTTTTAGTGGTAAGCTCTTTTTACAACCATACCTACAGATAGATTTGATGGGAAAAACTGAACATTTGCTGGTACTTGTTCAAGCCTCAAAGCTCAGCTCTTTGTTTGAACGTCACATTTATCTGGTTCTAAAGGCATAAAAATAAAACACCCACTAACTACCTAAGACACTCCTTAGTGCATATCAAAACCCAACCTTTACCCTCGTCTGCACAAATGTGCTTAGGTGAATACTTTTATTAGCTTGTTGATACAAGTTATAGTAGGTTACACCCTTAATAAAACACACCCTTATTGTCATCCTGTTGCTTAAGAGCTTTAAACTTGTAATAGGGGAGCTCTCTAATATAGAATGATACTCAATTTCTATCTCCCAGGCAGTTTTGAGTGGAAATGTGTTGCACACCTTACACACAAGTGTGCCTCTATTTGGTAGTCCTCCTTTGGGAGAACTAGGATTGCTGTGTTTTATCCCTGGCTTTCATATATTTTTTGTTTGTTTGTTTGTTTGTTTTTTGAGATGGAGTCTTTTTCTGTCACCCAGGCTGGAGTGCAGTGGTGCGATCTTGGCTCACTGCAACCTCTGCCTCTCAGGTTCAAGCGATTCTCCTGCCTCATACTCCTGAGTAGCTGGGATTACAGGTGTCTGCCACCATGCCTGGCTAATTTTTGTATTTTTAATAGAGATGAGGTTTCACCATGTTGGCCAGGCTAGTCTCAAACTCCTGACCTCAAGTGATCCGCCCGCCTTGACCTCCTAAAGTGCTGGGATTACAGGCGTGAGCCACTGTGCCGGGCCGTCATATATTGGTCTTGATGTAAAAGACTGCAAGTAATCCCTGCATTTTATATTTCCCAGGGTGTTCT
Organism: Homo sapiens; assembly: GCF_000001405.40. Classification (NCBI taxonomy): domain Eukaryota; kingdom Metazoa; phylum Chordata; class Mammalia; order Primates; family Hominidae; genus Homo; species Homo sapiens. Next base: position 124,746,565 of record NC_000010.11, on the reverse strand, counting down.
CCGGCTTAATCAGGTTAGCGTTGGTTGGTGATAATGGAAAAGTTACAAGTAATAGTTTTTAGATTATTTATGGATTTATTCCTAAATTGGCCTATGAATTTGCATTTAGGTGTCTGGTTGTGTGCAAAATCTGGTTTTGACCATTTTGGATTGAACAAAGATAGACAGTTTAGCTCCATGTCCCCACCCCATTGCAGCTTTTACATAGCTTTAAATCTAGAGTTCTACATTTTTAGCTACTCTTCTGAATTGAGCAGAACTCTAATATAACAACAACCTTTTGGGTAGAATTTTTTCTTAGTAAAGAACTATGGAGCTGAGCACTAAGAAGTGAGGATGTTTTATAATATAGCTGTAGGATTATTATATCATGTGGGAAGAACCTATAGTATGGAAGGTTAAGTGTGACACAGGTCTTAATGTATGCATATCTTTTTAGCCTTTGGAGATACAAATCTAGAAAATGAGAAGTAACTATTTATTGGTTAATAGCATAACTTCTTAAGCAAGTATATTCTAGACAGCCTCAAGAAAGCCTCAGAACCAGAAAAACAGGCTGCTTTAGGTTGGAAAGGAGGTGTTACAGCAGAGGAACTGGCCATGACCACCATCCTTGGAATGTGAAACGCAAATCATCCTGAAAGCAACAAGAATAATGGTTGTAATAATTGTTTCCAGGCCTGGGACCCTGCATCTTGTTTTTTAAGTTGACCTGATGAACTAGTAATTGTAGGAATAAACTGAATGTTTGCCAGCAGGAGTCACTCTAGGCTTCCTAATAAAACGTTAGTAAATTAAACTCTGTCCTTAAAGCTCTGAAAGGCTGAGGTGATTGTGTGATATCAGATGGCTTTAGGGAAACACTGACTCTTTTCGTTAAGCATAGCAGCATTCTTAGATTATTCCTTGGGCCTTCTTTTGTTCACCATCGGTTCTTGGATCTTGTTCCTTTCAAGATTGGTCCTTAATGCATTTTTAAAAAGCAACGTATATGGGTAAGGATATCAATATCTTAGTATGCTGTATTCTGTATGTTAGCTCATTTTGGCTTTCTAGGATGAACTGACTCTATCCCACATCATGTAACTTGAAATGAATAGACTCATATCCTTTCCACTGATTGCTGTCCATTCTAATCATGCAGCAGAACTCAGTGGAGCGAGCTGTAGTGTGAAAGGAGATGTCAGTTCATGCTTTTCTGAAAAGAATGGGTCCGGTGTGATGATATTCTGAAATATTTCAGCAATAGCCATGAAATATAATAGTTTCCCAAGCACACAAAGCTCAAGAAGTTAATTGTTCATTTATGTTTGATACTGGGATTGAAACATTGGATTAAAACCAATTAAATGTTCCTAGAAGCAACAGAAAAAGTTTCCTTATTTATGAATAGAACCATTCAAATGGCGCAGACACAATCCATGTAAAGTAATGAGGTGTTTTGTTTTTTTGGCAAAGGAGAACACAAAACAGGCATAGGGAGTTTTAAAAAAACTTCTCTTTAAAAATCGCTTTTTGGATACAAGGTCAATAAAATAACATACACCAGTAGGAAGGAGTAATGGGAAATCTAGGGCTTCACAAGGAAAACAATCCCCCTCCCCCAGGTGAGCAGCACAATGAAAATACTCTGCTTATTCTATCAGGGTTACATTCCTGAACTTAAGTCAACATCCTAAGTTACAGAACTAAACATGCTCTGCCTCTGCTTAGCAACCACAAATCCTTCCTTCGCCAGTTGCATGTATTTTGGATGTGGCTTCTGAAGTACACAGTCACAGCGCCCCGAGTTAGGAAATTTGCGCTTTATTTTCCCAAAGTGTGACAACACTTTAAGGTCCCCCCTCCCCGACCCCACCCGCCCGCTGTCCTGCACGCCACTGAAGTGATCGTTTCTTTTGAACCTCGGCATCTAACAACCCGGAAGCTGGACGCCTGAAGCCTATGCGGCCCAGCGTTTTCATCCCGGCTCGTGCTGGGGGCGGGGAGAGAAGCCCGTAGGGCCTCTGGCGCGGGGCCCGGGCAGCCGCGGTGGCGCGGCCCAGGCCCGGGGCCACTTCCCGCGTCCCGGGGCCTCGCAGGCGCGAGCGCGGCGAGCGGCGC